>NC_000007.14:41452363-41755393 GCF_000001405.40 Homo sapiens | reverse complement strand
TCCTTTGTTTTGTTTTTCAGCGTCAAGGAAACTTTTTTTTGAGCTATTTACAGCTTTAAGCAATTGAGTAAAGTACACTCCTGTGAACAAAATTTGGAGCATATTTGTTCCTCTCTACCTGATTACTCCAAAATTTGGAAACTATTTTTGAGTATTCTTAATTTATGGCAATATAGTTACTTGCATAAATGCAATAAGAATCTGTTTTCTTTTGTCACAGGACACAATTGGAGAAATTGGTTATTTTACCAATGCTTTAACTAAAATGGTGTGTTTTCCTTTAAGGAATCAAACTTGACTTTTAAAGCCAACAAAAGCCCCTTGGAGAACTGGCCTCAGACCTTGTCTGCAACAGTCCCTGCACAGGGTTTCTGAGCTGTGGTAAGTAAAGAATGTGACTTTCTGACAGATCCAAGAGCCCCAACTTATCTTGAGTCCACAAGGGGAAGGGATTTACTCAACTCATGGGTGTTTGAGGGTACAAACCCATGGCAGAGCTTGGTTTTAAAAAGTCTTATGTAAGATTCCTTCTATAAAACAGAGTTCCATCAAAGCCCATTTAAAAAGATCCTATGTGAAAATAATTATTGTTGATACACTTAATACAAATAACCAGGCCAAATATAATAAAGCAAATCAATCTTACCATGATTTGTCTTTAGTAAAAATGGGAAACTGGAAAGAAAAATAATGCGTTTCAAGAACTATGGTACACTTGTTATTAAATTTTAGTCTCATTTGTTGTTTTTAAGTTTGTTTCTGCAATTTAGGCTAATGCTGCTTATTCCTGTGAACCAATCAGTTCTTTTTGTAGGAAGACAGGACAAGCTTACTGAATGTTTTCTTAAATTAAACACTTATTAATCTTCCAGATATCACCTTTTGTTGAAACTCAGGAGTTGTGAATGGACCTTACCATACTGATGCTTTCTCACTGAACTCATCCCTTCCCTGAATGCAAGAGACACTCATAGTTAGGCAGGAATATCATTGCCTCTGTTCAGCCTGAAGAAGTTACAGAAGATAGATCTTTGTCTCTCTGCAACCCTTAGGATTAAGGGTTCTCTTACAAAAGGGAGGGAGTAAATGTGAGAGGCATGTGAACCAGAGCAAATCTATCTTAAACAGGAGCTGGCTAAAATGAGGCTGAAACCTACAAGACTGCATTCCTGGACAGTTATGGCATTCTAAGTCACAGGAAGAGATAGGAGATCAGCACAAAATACAGGTTATAAAGACCTTGCTGATAAAACAGCTTGCAGTAAAGAAGCTGGCCAAAACCCACCAAAACCAAAATAGTGATGAGAGTGACCACTGGTCATCCAGACTGCTACACTCCCACCAGCACCATGACAGTTTACAAATACCATGGCAATGTCAGGAATTTACACTATATTATCTAAAAAGGGGAGGCCTGAATAATCCATCCCTTGTTTAGCATATCGTCAAGAAATAACCATAAAAATGGGCAACCATCAGCCCTTGGGGCTGCTCTGTCTATGGAGTAGCCATTCATTCATTCCTTTACTTTCTTAATAAACTTGCTTTCACTTTGCACTGTGGACTCACCCTGAATTCTTTTTTGCACAAGATCCAAGAACCCTCTCTTGGGGTTTGGATTGGGACCCCTTTCCTTTAACAAGTCTTGTGTGTCCTTTCTTCTCAATTCAGCCTGGCTTTCCCCATGAGAATAAAGTGTTTAGACAAATGCGATGTTCACATCTTAGCTAATTTCCTTTATCCTGATCAAAGAATTAAATATGTGACTGGAAATTCCTGATTCCATTTAAAAATCTCATTACTGTCTGTCTCATTGTTTTAAAAATATTTTTAAAGAAGCAAATTTTAGGATGATAATTGCCCATTCACATGATTATTTATATCTCTTCTAGCATCACAACTAAACTTGTTTTCTTTTCCTGGTGCCTTTTTTCCCCTCCTGCTTCTTTATTGCTCTTATTCTCATTGCCAGTGTTTCATTTTCTCACCAGTGCCCCTCCAATGAAAGGAGCCCTTCATATTTTACTACAAATAACTTCTCTGTCTTTGGCCCCCTAGAGACCTTCTTCATATTCTCTGTAGTTAACATTTTCTTAACTTTGGCAGCTCTATAAGCCCTCAAAAGAGCTCTTGAGAATCTCTCTTTTTGAGGTTATTACCTGGTAATCAATGTCACTGCCTTACATTGTAAAAGGCATAAAGTCTATGAGCATCTTTATAAACTCCTGATCATTTCAGCAATAAGCAACTATAACTTCTCACTATCTTCTAAACTACAGGTTTTCTCTTTAGAAAAAGAAAAAAATGTTTCTGGGATATTAGATGGCTGGATGCTTTGCTTTGCTAACTCTTACCATTTGGTTATTTATTGGAAAATATTTATCAAGTGCTGGCTATGTGTCAGGTACTGGTGTCAATACTTCGAATAGAAAATGGGGAATTTACTAGCTCTGGCTACTAGGAGCTCCTGGTCTAGTGGCTGCAGCAAATACATAAGCAAATGTAAGACAGTGAGATTGTCAGAGATTTTTGAACCACAGCGACTCCATTTTGAGTGAAGGCTGGAGAAATGAGGTTGAGACTTGCTGGGCTGCATTCTCAGAAAGTTAGGCATTCCTGGCCTCTAGATGTTTATGGTTAAGGGAAAAAACTAATAATGTTTACTAAACAGACCAGACTTGAGAGTGTCCAGATATTCTGATATCTGGACAACAAAGGCATTCCTAATTTTGCTTTAAAGATAATAATATAAATTATTGCAAAATATAATAATTAAGACAAGTAATCCTTTATCACAAACGCTTGTAGCAGAGCACATCTCCTCATATATACAAGCATTGTATTTAGGGTGGATGCCTTCCTCCTCTTGCTTTAGGGAACATCCTGCTCTGTCTATGGAGTAGCTGTCCTTTCACCACTTTACTTTCTTAATAACCTTGCTTTTATTTGCACTGCAGACTCGCCCTGAATTCTTTCTTGCGCAAGATCCAAGAACCCTCTCTTGGGGTCTGGATCAGGACCCCTTTCCTGTAACAAGATTACTAATAGAATTAGAGAAAAATCATCTGACAACACCATAAATGCCTTCTGTTGAGAGACTGGAGATGAAAGAGCACACAGAAGAGTAAAGAATGCCATCATATTCCCACAAAATGTTTGAACAAAGTTTTGAGAAATGACTAGGAGTTCTCCAGTCAGGGCACACAGCTGGGGGTGGGGCATACAAGGAAGAAAAAGCAGCAAGTGGGAAGGTAAGGAGACCTGGAGAACCCTGGCATTCTGAGAAAGTCATAGTTGGCTGTAATAGAGACTCTGTTTGGGGGCATAAGAGGAGACGAGGGTGGAAAGGTACTCAGGGGTCAGAGAACAAAACAGATGATGTGTTTGAGCTTCCCTTTTGCCTGCTGAAAGTTTGCTGAAAAATCATCTGATAAAAGGCAGATTAATAAGGGGAAAGGCATATGAATTTATTAGTCTGCAGAGGGGAATATCACAGAATGATTACCCAATATTCCACAGAGGCCCAGGTACTTACATAGCTAATTTAGGGGGTTGGGAAATGTAGGTAATTCTATTGAGGGGCGATAAATGATTACTAGGAAAAAATAAATGGATCAGAGAATGAATATCAACTTGTAAATACTTTGCTTTGGAAATTGAATGAGCCTGACAGCCAGACATTATCTTGTGAAAGGGATTGTTCAGGTGTGGTTAGATTCTTCACCAGATGAGATAACAGTGAGGAGAAAGAAAAATAATTATTTTCCTTGGTGGGCACCTTGGGTCTTCATGTAGGTAGGGGAAAATTCTGGAAACCACCTTTGCAAAAAAAAAAATTATGATCTCAGGTGAAATATGACATAGCTAACTGCATCTTTCTTCTAACCTCACTAGCTCACTACTTTGTTAACTTTAAAACATAGATGATAACAGTCCCTTCCCAAAACAAACCCTCTCCTTACTTGGGGACCAAAACTGTCCTTGTAAGACTAATGAAAGCCCACAAGTTTAGGATTTGGGAGGGGCCTGAATTCTGCCAAGATGTAGGTGTAGCTTAAAGATAACCAGTCATTGTTCCTAGAATTTCTTACTGTTTAATAACCATGCAGTTGGAGGTCACAAGGTTTGTAACTTCCCCAATTGCTTCTCTAGATGACATCACTGTCAGAGACGTTTGAACCAGAGCAACTCCATCTTGAATGGGGGCTGGGTAAAATAAGGCTGAGACCTGCTGGGCTGCATTCCCAGGAGGTGAGGTATTCTAAGTCACAGGATGAGATAGGAGGTCAGTACAATATACAGGTCATAAACACCTTGCTGATAAAACAGGTTGTGGTAAAGAAGCTGGCCAAAACCCACCAAAACCAAGATGGCAATGACAGTGACCTCTGGTCATCCTCACTGGTCATTGTATGCTAATTGTAATGTATTAGCATGCTAAAAGACATTCTCACCAGCACCATGACAGTTTACAGATGCCATGGCAACATCAAACAGTTATCCTTTATGGTCTAAAATGGAACTCTCAGTTCTGGGAATTGCCCACACTTTTCTGGGGAAACTCATGAATAATCCACCCCTTGTTTGGCACATAACCTAGAAGTAACAATAAGTATCTTTGGTCAAGCAGCCCAAGCTGCTGCTTTACCTATGGAGTAGCCATTCTTAATAAATTTGCTTTCACTTCATGAACTCACCCAGAATTCTTTCTTGTGCAAGATCCAAGAACCCTCACTTGGGGTCTGGACTGGAACACCTTTCCAGTAACATCTTTCTGGTGACGACAAAGGGACGATAATGAAGAGACCCCTGACCCAAAGGAAAATTGTCTGAATGCCCCAACTGGCCAACTTTGGGTTAGTGGGGTACATTTACACGGGTAGAGGATGGGATTGAGTTAGAGGCCCAACTTAGGAGAGTTAGAGTCTCTCCTAAGACGAAGAGAGTTAAAGGCCCCTTTTAATAAAAGGAAGGACACTTGACCAAACTTGGGTTTAAGGCCCAACTTAGGAAGATTAGAGTCACTTCTAAAATTTCAGGGATTAGAGGCCCCTCTCAGTAAGGTCCCTCTCAGCTAAGAAAGGATTTGGCACTATGGGATGTTAACTAGTATTTTCTTTGGATTAATCTGCCTTGTACTCTTTGCTGATGACTATGGGTGATAGGATTAGGCATGTACAGGAACACAGGGCATGGGGAGCTTTTGCTTTCCCAAAAGGGGAAACCTGAGAACTGATGAGACTGCTGGAAAAGATCCCCTGTGAGCGGCCACCTGAACTTTACAGTGTCACTGCGATGGGTGGGTCTTTCTCTGGCCTCTCTGAGAATGCTTTTCTCCCTTTCTCTTCTTTGCCTTTGTTATGTTTTCTGCTACTCAGGGTGACCATCTTGCCCAGAGATCACATGTCGAAGAATGTCCTTGAAAGCTTGACCTTTTAACCATGTGGTGGTACCTTCTCTCTGCCACCTGGAGGACAGAAATTTTGGGGTTCATGTCATAGCCCTAAAAATTATATTGAGCAGTTAAAAGCCTTTGCAAGCTCAGAATTGACTGCTCTAGGCTCCTTCTGGGAAGGGCAATGGAAACTGTCTAATAGCTGTAGCTCAGTAGCTAAGGCTTTGTCTTTTCACAATGGTGGCCTGGGTTCAGGGTTCAGTTCCTGACTTAGGGAATGAGTCCTTCCTAATTGATATATGTGTGACCTTCACCACCTGTTAATTCTCTTCTCATCCATGAACCATCTTGAATTTTTCTTTCTCTGAGCACCTGGGTGGTTACTTTTGGTAAAATTTAAAAGCCAGAAATATTGGACTTTTTGTCTGGCTGAAGTTAGGTAATAAGAAATTTGAAAGAATTTTTTTTTAAGAGCACTATGGTTAAAAGTCAGCTTAATTAAAAGCAGCTATTCAAGCTCTAACAGCCTGGAACTCCTTGGAAAAAAACAGAGGAGGTGGCATAGACCCTGTTTTGGGAAAAACATCTGCTTTCCTCATGAAACCTCAAGAATTGAAAGTGGATAGATCTCTCTCAAAAATCTAAGGCTCTGATCTGTTTTGCATGCATTATCTGATGTTTTTGACTTTTGGGGATATCAGAAATTACTTTGCATTATGAAAGAACTTTGGTGTGTAATAACTACTACGTAGGAAATATACTTTTGGGGATAGCTAGTGGCAATTATGGGGAAATACATGGCTTTTTGCACGTTTGGATCAGAGAAACATGCTCTTGGCCACTTGGAAGGTATGAAGATATTTCCACTCTCTCACTGAGAGATAAGACTGTCATGGGGGATCAGCTAATCACAGAATGGGCTTTGGGTTATTTTGTAATGAAATGCATGGTAAAATCATGTCACTGTCTTGTTCTGTAGCATTTCTCTTTTTGGGGATCTAGGATCTGATATAAAAATGGGACCCTTAATTTTTGGGATCTGTTTTGTCTTCCAGCTGTGCCTGCTTATTGGGCTGTGGAAACTGCATGCTTTCCTGGCCCTGTTCCTCTAACAGCTCCACCCTGAAGCCAATAATCCAATTAAGAAACTGGGAAATGAAAAATCTTACAACTATTGGATCTTCTTCTGTCTGTCTGTGTATTTATGTGTGTTGTGTATGTGATGTTTATATACGAAAAATTTCCAATTAATTGGCTTAAAAATAATAAGCACTTAGGCTAGGTGTGGTGGCTCATGCCTATAATCCCAACACTTTGGGAGGCTGAGGTGGGTGGATCACCTGAGGTCAGGAGTTCTAAATCAACCTGGCCAACATGATGAAACCCCATCTCTACTAAAAATACAAAATTAGCCCATGCCTGTAATCCAAGCTACTCAGGAGGCTGAGGCAGGAGAATCCCCTGAGCTGAGGAGGCAGAGGTTGCCGTGAGCCAAGATGGCACCACTAAACTCCAGCCTGAGCAACAGAGTGGGACTCCATCTCAAAAATAAAAATAATAATTGTAAGTGCTTAAATAAAATATGTGTCAGAAAAATAAAACTAATGCCTTTTAGTTCACATGCCTTTGGTAAGCTTTGGGAAATAAAGACAGTTTTAAGGATTATTGGTAAAATAAAAATATCTTCAAAATTAAGACATTTGGTCTAAATTATACAAGTCAGATATTAGGTTTGCTTAATGCTTTAAGGTCATAATCTTTTGACCTTCTTTAGCTTTTGAAAACAGTTCAACTTGCCTGCTTAACAGCTAGTTAAGGCCTGAGGACATGGGGTTAGCCACACCCTCTAGCTATGCTGGAAAGAGTCAGACCTTATCTGCACTTCTGTCTGGTGCCCCAGACAGATACATAATTAAAATAGCTTACTATCCAGGTTTTTCACCAAAAGTAAAAGTTGCTAAGAGTTAACAGCATAACATGTATTTGAGAACTGAAGAAACAGTTCTATACACAGGTGTCTAAGGAAAGTAGAATGCAATTTTACCAAAAGAAGGCATGAGAATGTGGATTTCTTGCCTAAGTTTAGAGGGTTAAAGGATTGTTTTAAGTGAGATAGGAAAAATCTAAAGGTTTGAACAAGTTGTTGAAGATTTATGAAAAATTAATTGTGAAAGAGATTCTGTGTGTGACTATATTGGCTAAAGTTAAATGGGTATTATTCAGTTATTCCATAAACTGAACATTGGAATAAAAGCACAACAGAGTTTTCTTAGAACATTGTTCTGCTCTTTAGCAACAACAACAACAAGTGTAAAGGGTTATAAAAGGTTTATAAGAATCTTACCTTATGGTCATATTGATTAATATTGGATAGATTTGTCTATAAGGTTTTATTAAGAATTAGGTGTGACATCAATAGTGCACTAATGCAAGGGTAAGACTGGCTTTCTCTCTTGAACAAGATTTTCATGTAATATTTTTTAAAATGAAAGATTTTTGTCTTCCTTTTTTTTTTTTTTTTTTTTGAGACAGAGTCTCGCTCTGTCACCCAGGCTGCAGTGCAGTGGCGTGATCTTTGCTCACTGCAAGCTCCGCCTCCCGGGTTCATGCCATTCTCCTGCCTCAGCCTCCCCAGTAGCTGGGACTACAGGCACCCGCCACCACGCCCAGCTAATTTTTGTAGTTTTAGTAGAGATAGGGTTTCACCATGTTAGCCAGGATGGTCTCGATCTCCTGACCTTGTGATATGCCTGCCTCAGCCTCCCAAAGTGCTGGGATTACAGGCATGAGCCACCACACCTGGCCTTGTCTTGCCTTTTGAATAAACTGTAGGAAAAAGAAAGGAAAGAAAAGAGACACATTGTTTGGAAAGCTATGTCTCCCCTCGTAATGAGGAAAAGCTTTTGCCTTTTAAAAATTTTTGATTTATTATTTTGGCTAAATTAATGACTTATGGTTACCTGGGATTTGACATTTGACAAAGTTTCCAAAATCAAATGATAAATTATGCCTTTTTCTGACCTGATTAATCTTTTAGTTATTAGGTCCTCTAAAGTCCAAATTGGCTTATTTAGTATAAAAATCATACAGGATGCATTGTCAAATATGAAATGTATTAGGCTTTCTTTGGGCTTTATTTGTGTAAATATGTTAGTGGTATGTGTTCCAAAATTATGGGAAACTGTTATGATCATGATATGACTTAGTGTATGTTATTAATAGTTATAATTGTTGTGTTAAAATTGTTGTATTCCACAGAAGTAATCAAAATTGCTAGTCCATTGTGGCTTTAATAGTAGCTGTCCTAAAACTTTTTGTCATCCACAGACAACTGTTGTTTTATTTTGATCCTCTTCAAAAGGTCATTTATAATCAGCTATAGGGCTTTGACAGGTGCTGTTGAATACAGGCTTCTAATAACTTTGGAGATTGCACATTAGAATAGAGGAAAAACTTTCAGGACTCTCATGGAGAGCTGGAATGTTCATGAATATCAAGCAGAACAGGAGTTAACTGTATGAACTGAACTAATGGAAGACTGACATAGTGTTTTTGACTTTTGCTTAAAACTAAGGGTCTTCAACTCAAAATGCTCTGTTTTTGACTTTTTTGCTTTTTTTTGCAAAAAAAGAAAAAACACCTTTTTTGCTGATCCTTTGTTTTGTTTTTCAAAATCAAGGAAACTTTTCTTTTGAGCTATTTACAGCTTGTAGCAATTGAGTAAAGTATACTCTTGTGAACAAAATTTGGAGCGTACTTGTTTCTATCAAATTTCTCCAGAATTTGGAGAAGACAAGAGTGATAACAGTGACCTCTGGTCATCCTCACTGCTCATTGTACGATAACTAGAATGCATTAGCATGCTAAAAGACACTCCTACCAGTGCCATGACAGTCTACAAATGCCATGGCAACATCAGGAAGTTAACCAATATGGTCTAAAATGGGGAGGAAGCCCCAGTTCTAGGAATTGCCTACCTTTCTCAGAAAACTCCTGAATAATTCACCCTTGTTTGTCATATAATCGAGAAGTAATAATAAGTATCCTTGATTGAGCAGCCCAAGCAGCTGCTCTGCCTGTGGAGTAGCCATTCTTTTATTCCTTTACTTTCTTAATACACTTGCATTAACTTTATGGACTCACCCTGAATTCTTCATTGTATGAGATCCAAGATCTTCTCTTGGTGTCTAGATCAGGACCCCTTTCCAGTAACACCAGTATTGTCAAAACCTAAGACTGGTCTTTGAGATATTTTTCAAACTTTTGCATTATGGCAACCAAATGATTCCAGCCAGACCTGTGAGTCAGACCAAGAAACTGACTCCCACCCAGGAACTTTCATCCACAAACTGACTTAGCACAAAGACAGTCTGGATACTTCTATTATTTCATCCTATCCTATCAGCAGCACTAATTCACTAGCCCTCTACTTGCCAAATAATCTTTAAAACCCTAGCATCTGAGTTTCCTAAGAGGCAGACTTGAGAAATGTCTCCTGTCCTTTTGCTTAGCTGGACTTGCAATTATTAAACTCTTTCTTTGCTGCAAAACCTGCTGTTCTCAGTGCACTGGCTTTTCTGGGCAGTGGGCAAGAAGAACCTGTTGGGCTGTTACAGTCTGTTGTTTCCTAAGGGTCTTTAACTCAAAATAATCTTTATAGCAAGAAGCCATATTTTGGGATGACGTTCCCTACACTCTTTCAGATGCTACTGGATTTCCATTTGCTCTGTAGGTGACGATAGGATATTGAAGACTTTAAAGACTGAATGGGCTTGAAGTGAGGAATCAATTTGACAGGCTCTTGGAGAAATGAGAGTCCCAGGAAAGGAAAACTATTTCAGCAGTTTAGGTGAGAAATTAAAGGCCATGGCAATGGAAATGAGAGAGCAAATTTTTAACAACAGGCATTCAACAAAGCCTTGTTGACATCCATCAGCCAGACACTACAATTAAGGAAAGCAAAATGGCAGAGCATGGGTGCTGATGAAATTTGTGGAGGGAGGAACAGGAAAGAGTTAAAGTTCTTTGACAAGATTTTGGCTTGGGGCCCCTGTGTAAATTCTGGTGCATTAACCAAGATGTGAATTCAGAAGAAAGAAAAGGATGGGTGGTGGTGAGGTGGGAACTTGGTTCAGTTTTCAACATAATAGAATGTGAGTTTCCTAATGGTCATCAGAGTGAGGTCTTAACTTAAGAGAGAAGACATTGCTGGAAAGGAAAAGGGAAGAGATAATTCATTTTTTATTCTAGATGCTAAGCCTTGTTCTAGTTACTTAGGCTGCTGCAGGGGCCCAGTGGAGAGGGATTTTAATGATTTAGTGAAGGTATTAACATTCTGGGTTCTGGTAGTTTCCTGTACTGGAGATTTCGCTTGATTTTAAAAATTCACACTGGGCCCTCTAGTTACATAAAAGTAATGAAAAAATTACTCCATGATTCTTGGATAAAAATGCAAAGGCATTATAAATACAAATGCAGATGCCGTAACAGAAGATGCTAAGTGGTCTGTTTAATCATGTAAATTGGGTATCTCTGTGGCTGAACTATGGCCTTGAAGGGTTAGAGGCAAGTTTTCCTTACATTCCAACTTAGACGGCCCTTTGGTATTTCCCACATGGTATTTTTTTAAGACTGACAAATCCAGACTTTGGCAAATTCATGACAGACAATTATGGGCTGTGGAGGACACACGAGCACACAGCCTGTGGGAAAAATGCGGGTGGGAGTCCTCCTGAAAGAACCCAAAGAAAACAAGTAAAACTCTTTCTTTCTTTCAATAAGAATCTGGTAAAAACAGACACAAAAGTAAAATCCAAAGAAACCTGGTGATTTTAGTGAAAGAGACAGAGATTTGAGCAGGGTATGTGGGACCCTTATGGGAGATACACAACTCAGTAACAGTTGGAATAAGGTAGGGGTAAGGGGGAGACAAGGGAAATGCTTAAAGGAGGTGATGTTGGCCCTGAGTCTTGGGTGGTGAGCAATAGTTTGCCAGATCAAAAGATGTGTGGAAGGCATTGCAGGGAGAGAAAAGGGTGAAAGGCAGTGTGTTGCGGGGGTACACAGGTGCAGAGGCAAGACAGCTGAATGAGCAGGAAGAGCTCATACACTTCAGTGTCCTAGTGTAGAGGGTTAGAATGGGAGGGGTAGGGAGTAGTGGGTTGGGCTAAAAAACTTGAGCTACATCTATGGAGGATCATAGCAAGCCATTCTATGATTTAAGCAGGAGACCAATACACCATCCCAGCAGTTGGGTGGAGGATTGAGTGGAGAACT
Organism: Homo sapiens; assembly: GCF_000001405.40. Taxonomy (NCBI): domain Eukaryota; kingdom Metazoa; phylum Chordata; class Mammalia; order Primates; family Hominidae; genus Homo; species Homo sapiens. Next base: position 41,743,722 of record NC_000007.14, on the reverse strand, counting down.
GTCTAAAGAAGGGGAACACAGATAGCTCTCACAGTAGATCAGGCCAAAAAATTGAAGACCTGAATCAGGTCAGGGTAACAGGGTTAGAGAGGAGGAGCAGATCTAAAATGGATATTAGGGTGGTAAAACTGATGGTCAGCTGAGACTTTGGTGCTATTGATCAAAGTGTGGAATAAAAAAATAGCTTTAGATGTACTAAACTTGAGTTTCTATGGACATTGAGAGAGACATCTAGGCTAGAAACAGACCAAAGACCCTCACAGCAGGTGATGGGGAGGACTATGATAGCATTTACTGAGCACTTAATTTATGTCAGCCTCTCTGCTAATTGCTTTGCATTTATCAGGTCATTCATTCTTGCCCTGCTTTATTCTTCATAGCTCCCATCACTGTTATGTATTAAATAATTCATTGGCTCATTAGTTCAGTGTCTGCCCCACACCATTAATAGAAGTGCAACAATGATGAGGATTTTTAATATGTCTTGTTTATTCCTGCATGGCATATATGAGGTATTCAATACTTTTGTTGAATAAATAAGGGAAGCTTTGTGATAACTGTATCAGGTAGGGATGATTATTTTGCCTATTTGATGGATGTGAAAACTGAGGCTTAAGAGATTACATCTATTGTCCCACATCACATGGCTAGCCAGAACAAATATAGATCTTCAGATCTATATTTGGATAAATGACCTTTGAAATCACAGGGGAGTACTGAACTGGTTTCCTAGAAAGAATGCAAAGAGTGAAAAACGGTCAAAGAGGAAATCCTAGGGGACCCCCAACCACTGTGGGAGAAAGAAGAATCTCCAGAGGAGACTGAAGAGCAGTTCCAGGGACATAAGAGGAAGCCAGGAAAGGAACTGTGTTCTAGAAACCAAAGAGGGAGAGCCTGCCCTGAATGAGGGGGTAGTAGGCAATGCCACACTCAACTTAGGTTTTAGGGAAGATGTGCTCTGTAAATCAGGGATCTCTGTGGCAGAACTTTGGCCTTGAGGAGTGAGAGGCCAAGTTTTGCTTAGGGCACTAATGAGTGCTGGAGAACATGGTGAGTGCTTTGTCAGCGGGATGGCAGTGACAGAGTTGGCCTGGGGTAAGAACTGAAGTGAAGGGAATGGAGACCCTGGGGGTCAGTAGTGTCTATGAGTCACCCATTAGAGAAAAGAGGAAAACAGACAGTGACAAGCAAGAAAGAGGTGATTAAAGATTCCCTTATTACAATGGGAGAGGATCCAGTTCTGTGGCTTGTGCTTGCTGCAGAATAAAAATGTGTGCATATGTGGGGGATGTGTATGTATGTGTGGGTGTGTGTAGGTGGGGTGTATGTGTGTTTGCACGTGTGTGTTTCATTAGTGAATCAATAAAATCTAATAATGGCTGTAAACCTCCTTTGTACATTGCAGAATGTTAAACAAATATGAAGACTTATTACTTTCTGCTTAGGTTAACTTTGAGGAGATGGTGCCTTCAGACTTCCCACCTTATGCCACATAACCAGAAGGTGATGGCTGTGGCAAAGATCCTCATCAATCCTCCTGTCACAGGGAACTGTGCATTCTGCTCAATGCTGTCGCTTAGAGGGAGGTTATAAGAAGGAAATTCTTCCTCCTTTTAAGGAGAGAAAGGGCATTGTGCATCTGTTACTGAAACACCAGGGGTTCAGTCTAGGTCCTGATGCCCACACACAAAAAGCCAATCACTGAGACAACAAGTATTGCCAGGGAAGAAGGCTTCAATTGGGTGCTGCAGCAGAAGAGTGTCAAATCCATCTCCTTGACCAACAAAAACTGGGGTGCTTTATATGATGGGTAAGGCAGGAAAACAGGAGTTAGAGAAGGGCAAGGGCAAGGAAGCAATCATAAAAAATGAGAGGCCTGGATGCAGTGATCTGGTGAGTTTCAGTCCCTTACCTTAGGGTCAGTTTCCTGAGGAAGAAACTCAGATGAGACAAATGTAAGTTTCAAGTTTTAAGTCAGGGAAGGTCAACTTCTATGTTTATCAAAAAAACCTGTAAATATCAGTTCTATGAGACAATTAAGCTGGTATCACATCATTCCTCTCTCTGCAAGTGTTCCTATGCCTGGAGCAGACCTGAGAGGAGCCACAGTGAAGGCCTCCCTGGCCATGTGGTCAGTGGGCTCCTCCTGAGCTTAGGCAGCATGCTGTCTTCTCACTTCTAACAAAAAGAGAAAAAGTGGAGATGGTCCTCCACTCTATTCCACACACAGGCTTACCTGTGGACACAACCCACTACATGATTTGCAGGGCCCAGTGCAAAATGCTAATGTGAAGGCCCTTCTTTAGCTATGATTATGAACACAAAGTCAGTGACCACAGAGCGTTAAACCAAAAGTGGGTCCTTCTCAGCACACCGTCCTTTACAAGGGCCCAGGCATGAGCTCTGCAGCTGGCCCTGCTGCAGACTGGACTACAAAACATCGTCAGTTTGGAGGGATGCTTGAGTTCTCAGCATGTGTGATATCTTTGAAAACCTGGCCAATACAGAATTTCTTATATTACAAAAAAAAAAAAAAAAAAAGATTATTTGCTCAGACTGATTCTAACTCAGGTGATTTATCCCCCCCACCTTTCTGGCAGGTTCTTTTCACTCTCTGTTGTTGTAGACTCCTTGTCCCTGCATCTGAAGTACCATCCTCAACTTTATTTTCTCCTTAACCACTACACTATTTAGGCAGTATTGGAAATTTAATTACTTTCAGTCCTGGGAACCAAGACAAAAATATCCTTTGCTTACATATTTGGTGAGTTCATTAAAATGTGAGCTCACTGCTATTATTTATATTTGATATTATATCCTCCCACAGGTGTCCATTACATTTTCAAAGACTTCCCCACAGGTGACTGCAGAGCATCCCAAACACTTTAAAGAATACAGGTGCACAATCATCCAAAAATCTGAGAAAGAAAATACAAGTCTGCAAACTTTTTTAAAAAATTATTCGATTTAAATAATCAAATTATGTGAAATAATTTAATAGTGTTTATCTCACTTAGTGTGAATATTTTCAGGTTTTACTGAAGAAAATTTAATGTGTTTGAATGCTTCCCCCAACTCCCGATGGGGGGTGTTACACAATACATAGTTTGTGCTCACATTACCATTCAAAAAATACAACAGATCCCAAAGTATGGCCCACATGGGTTATGGTTCAAGAATTGTGACCCTATATTAATATTCACTTTGGGAAGCAATTTGCGCCAGTCAATGTATAATCTGTTATCATCTGATTTGTACACAAACTCTCTGGGAATGTAATTTAATGGTCATTTAAGCCATCTCTTTTATATTCAAATAAAGGCCAAAAAACATGGTTATATACTTCCCAGATATTTCCATTTCTTTGGGAATATTTAGTGACTGCACAGAATTTTAATATTTAGCTCATAAATCTTTATCTACCAATTCCTCATGAATTTATTGGAGTTAACAATCCTATATGTAAATACTACAATAAAGAGGTTTCTCTTTTTAAAACTTCTGATATTACTGCAATTAATAAACATTTCTAACTTCACTGTAGACAAACAAAATATAACCCACAAACAGATGTATTCTATATGTTGAATAATTTAGGAAGAAATGAAGGCATTTTATTTTTCTGGAAAGCTATGTATGTATATACACACCTAATGAGCACTTTTAGTATTGTAGTTAGTGAGTGAATACTAACAATAGTTATAAATTCTGCAAAGATATAAATCTCTACTAAGCGAGGGTGATTTGAGCTGTTATCCCTATTTACCAGATAAGCAAATTGAGGCACAGGAAGAAGGAAAATATTCTGTATTCGACCTTTGAGTTTACTGTTGGTCCAAAGTGTAACTGTTTAGTTCCTATGTGTTCCTTAGTTCCTCCTCTCCCTCCCCCTTCCCTCCTCCCCCTCCTCCTCTCTTTCCCCTCCTTTTTCTCCTCCTCCTCTTCTTGTTCTCTCCTTCTCCTGTAGTTGAATGCCATTAGCCCACTGTTCATTCTCCTGTGACTTAGATTTTCTATTATCTTCATTGTCACTAAGCATTTTTCAATTCCTATGTGAAACATACCATTGATGTCTTCAAGATTAATAATTCTGCCTTCCTGAAGACAGAATTAAATACAGTGATAACTTATGAGATATTGGATGAGTTTTACTGGCCAACTCAAAAACCCATTACTTGATAGAGCCATTGAGGTTTAATACAATGAATGCCAAGAAAGATCTAGCAGCCATAATTTCAAATGCTACCAAAATGTTACTAAAAATGAGTAATATTTTAAAACATTCCTGCAATTATGTCTTGGTAAATTTTAATTTATGGAGAGCCACAGTTCATAAAATATCGAGGGGCTGATGCTGGACAGGTTGAAGAATCATACAAATCTCAACTAGACTTGGCAGAGGACTTCACAATAATTTGGTGTTCCTTATAATTTGGTGAAGTGAGTTTTCCCTTCAAGGAGACAGAGGCATGGAGACATTTGATAGTATACCTATTACAGAAATGAAGTCAGTGGTAGAGCCAGAATTAAAACTCAGGGCATCTGAGGATCCTATATCTGATATCACCCATTTAGCCACATAAAGGATGAATTGAGTCACCAGTGAAAATTCTGGGGGAGGGGGCCCTAAAATAATTTCTTCTGACTATGCTACATCTTATCTTGCCACACTGTGGGTGACAGAGCCTGTCCTCATTATCTTATGCCCAACCATGAGCCCTTGTGTAGGAGAAGTGAGAAAAATGAAGTCTGTGGTGTGATTTTGATTGTCATGTGGGAAGAGGATGTAAACGGCTCCCTCCTCATGGACTGGGGATCTGAGTGTGCAGGCCTTTAAACATGGATCCAGGGCACGGCTCTCTCTTCTCTGCCTGACAGCTGAGAGCGCACCTCCTACTTCCTTGGCCACAAGCACACATTTTTAATAAGACATCAGTTGAGCAGTAGAATATCGGATATGAGTTTTAATTGCATTCTGCTTCCCATAAGTTCTACCCCCTCATTGTTAAGGAAAGTATCACTACCTTTGGGTTCACAAAGAAGCTTTCTTGATGGGCAGTCTCCAAATTTTACATAAAAATTCTGATGAAGATAATACCCACTTCACCAGCGTGTGGTGCAAAATAATGTCTCCTTTCTTCTGGTGTCCAAATCCTATTGACTCCAAGCCTTTGTTCCACTGATCGCGAGAAAGCTCTCCCTCTGCATGTGCTTCAAATGCATTCTAAGTGGAAGGGGACCCGTGGTGATTAATAACCCTTTGCAGAGGAGGAAACTGGGAAGTCTGGCCATTTCCTCTGAGGGAGTGCTTTCTCTACTGCCATTGTCACTGCCTGGTGTGATCAGCAGGTGAATATTCTAGGGCAAGGCCACAAGCCCCAAAGCACTGAAGAGCACCTGGCCTTACTTCTGAATCCAGGGTGAGGAAGAAACTGCTTTTCCTCTCAGGCTTATTCTCATCTATGGGTGCTTCACACCACTCCCAGCCCAAATTCCAAGATATAATCCTATCACTTTATACTCAGACACAGACATTTTCTCCAGGGCGCATCATGGTGCCTGGACACTGGTTCGGGGGCGGGGAGAGGAGGTTACAGAACCCGATTTGCCAGAAAGTGCTCACCCCACCAACAACAAGGCCCCAGCGTTAAGCCTAAATCCACCTCTCCTGGGAGCCCCTTGTCTCATCTGTTGGCCTCATCCAGAAAAACACCATGATATCAGATATCCTCTAATAACTCAAAACCTCAAAGCTTTCATTTCTTTCCTTGCAGATGGCTATTTGGCCCTTAATAGAAATCTGTTGCTACAAATAGATGCAGATGAGAGGGGCAGTGCCCAGCTTTATCCACCTGGGAAAATTGTGCCTCAGCAACTTGCTATATTCACAAGATCATGGTTTGCTTGCCTCATATCACAAATGGCTACCTATTCTCCCCCCCAGAAAATTATTTGTTGTGCTGCTAAAACTAGAAATAACTGGAGCTGTTTGATGTCAGTTTTCAAAAAAATAAAAATAAAAATAAAACAAACAAACTAACTAATCAAAAAGATCCACTAACATGTCTTGGGCTAAGTGGTCGTCTCAATAAAAACATTGTTGTTGAGGAAGAAGAGAGAGCTCTGATAAAATAGTTTTGTGTATGAAACAGTAACCATCAACATAGATGTTCTGAATATGTTATGGACCAAGAGAAAGCTCATGAAATCTAATATGGCAAAGAAACTGAGGGTTGGAGGAAGAAAACTCCACCTCAGTCATATAGATCCCAGAAGATGCCCAAGTGCTGGATAATGAGGAAACAGATATCAGAGTGACCTGCCAGGACCCAAGTGGACCAGAGTTAAGAACATTCCACACATCCTTTCTGTGGACAAAGTTAAGGCTGGGCAGATTGCACCCCACTCAAGTTTAGGTAGGGTGGAATAGCATCTAACATAAGCCTAGATTCAGCATATAAGGCAAATGTTATGTATAATTAAAATATCTTGAAAAATCTCACAATCCATCCATAGGTTCAGAAAGTATTGTTTTGTGGGCATAACCCCAGAAGAACATCAGGTTCGCATCTATTTCTCTATTCTTGGGCATACGCATTGAGTGACAGGTGGTATCACCTACGGCATTGTCATGTTCTCTCTTTTTCTCAAGTGCATAGAGTTGGAGTCACGTGAGTTGCATGTGTATATGACGTGGCTACATTGTATGCGGGAAGGGGAAGCATGTCCATGTGGCATCTTGAAAAAACTAATCACACAAGGGAAAGGCAGTATCTGTCAGAAAATACAAAAGAAAAGCATACCTCTAAAATAGTTTTGGTATTGAAACACAGAAAAACTTTTTTTTTTTTTTTGCTGTTGCCAATAATCTGTCTATCTGAGATAAAGCCAAAAAATTACAAGAGCTAAAGAAGAGATTGACACAATTCTTGAAACACATTTTAGAATATTTCTCAACTTTCTAAACACTTTCTAAAGTGTTTCTAAATCTGGCTCCCAGGGCACTACACTAGTTCTGCTCCGATTGTACTGGTCATTCCCTGTCAGTCTCCGTTACTCCTTCGCCCTCCAAACTTCTCAACCTCCAAAGATTGACGTCTCACTAGGCTTAGCCTTTGGATCCCTTCTTTTCCATGTATTCACTCACTTGCTTGGTGATTACTTTTGTTCCCATGGCTTTATATGCCACATAGCCCTACATGTATATGCTGATGGCTCTGCATTTATGTCTCTAGCCCAGAGCTCCAGACTCACATGCATAACCAGTTACCTAACATTTCCACTTTGATGTAGCAAAAATCTTAGGCAAACGTGTCTAAAACCAAACCCTTGAGTTGTTGTTTTAATCATATTGGCTCTTCTTCCTCTAGTATATCCCCTCTCTGTCAAAGGCACCACTGTTCACCAAGTTGCTCAGGTCAAATATCTAGAGTCATTCAGTTCTCTCTCTCTCCCATGCAGTGTCTAATCTATCAGCAAATCCTGTTGTCTGGATCTTAAAATTTTCTGCATCATCATCTCTTTTGACACCACTCTCATCCAGGCCACTGACATCTCCTGCCTGGACCTTCGCTATCCTTCTCTAACTAGTCTTCCTTCTTATACTCTTGCCCCTCACAGACCATTCTCCTCACAATGGCCAGAGATGCCTTTTAAAGATATAAATTAGATTACAAGTGACTCCGTTGTTCAAAAGTTTTAGATGGCTTTCCATTGTGGTTGGAATAAAATCTCAAGTCTCTTCATGGCTTTCAAAACTCTTCATGATCTGGCTCCTATCTAACTTTTCAAACATATCTCATGCCTTTGGGCTCTTATAAAACTAATCTCAAGTTTATTTGGCCTCTAACAGTTTCTAGATCCACACCAAACTTTTCACCTCATCAGAACATTTGTGTTTGCTAGTCCCTTAAGCCTGGAACCACCTTCTGCAGTTTTAGCATAGCTGGTTCCAAGCCTAAAAATCTATACATAGAGCAGATGGAAGAGTGTAATTAAAAGAGCTAACCAGGTCTTACTTCACACTTCAGATCCTTAGCACCATGGATCAGACCTGTGTTGGGAAGAAAGAAGTCATTTAAATCAAGTTTATGATTGAATCTTTAATCTAGATACATGTTAATACAGAAAACACTGTGGAATTTGCTTAAGATGTTATTGAAAGATACAGATGGGAAATTCACTATACCATGGTTGAAGGCAAAGTTTGGGGGAAAATTAAGAAAAAAGAATAAAAAGTACATCATATCTACAGTGTCGCCATTTAACACTTCTCAACAGTTTTTGTGGTTTAGGAAAGGCCACAGATGCACACTTATATCAGAACCAACCTCATGGTGAAACTTCCGCCTTGGTTCTAATAATATTCCGGTTGACTCCTTTTAGTTTTCTAAGGAAAGTATCTGGGATGTATTATAAGAATCTTATACCCTAATTAAGTAGTATTATGTGTTAAGCAATAAAAACAATTCTCACAATGCAAGCAGTCAAAAAATGGAACTCTTGAATATATTTACTAAAATAAAACAAAAAAAGCAAAGGTGTACTTCAACTGATGGAAGTGAAAACTTAGAACAACTTAAGAATAAAAAAAATCTACAGTAAATATTAAAACCAATAAGTATATAGAGTGATGTATATTGCTTATAAATATTAATTAGAAATATAAATGCACAAATCAATATGGTTCTTTAAAAAACAATGGCATATTATACCATTAGTCATGTAATTTAAAAATGGATTTAATATCCCAGGTGAATTAACAGCAAGTAAGAAGTAAAACAAGTAGAGAATAGATGAAGTAAAAATGTACCAAATTCTTTACTACCAATATTGTTAGACTTAAAAGTTCTTGAGAATTAGAGACATGTAGATTTAGATGTGTGGCTTGATACTCTGAAAGAGCTTCAAGTGGAATAAAAAATATATGTAACTTGCAAATCACTATAAAATATTAAAGAAAAGCCTTAATATTGACAGTCTCAAGAGCTTTCTGTGAACTGAAGGAAAAATCACTTTCGTTTTATACAAAAATTGTTTGCAAATATAGGAAAACATAGGGAAATGTAAGAGTGTTGCAGTTATTAACACTGTGTCTGTTAAAGAAAGTTACTTTTTTAAGTGTAGGCACATAAAATATATATTAATATAACGGTAAATTAGTATGCATTTATTTACTTTTGACTTAAAAATAAGAGTATATTTTCTCTTTACATGTTCATAAAATATTTGGCATATATTAGTGTACAAAACATCAGTAATTTTCCAACAACAGATATTGCACAAAATATCAAATCAAAATTCCTTAAAGTTGTACCAAAATATGCATTTTTAAAACTTCAGTCTCATTAGTTTCTTTGGATCTTTCGTTAGCATTTAATATATAAAATTTCAAACACTCAACTCTCAATTTTCTCCTTAGTAACAGAACCTCCAATTTTTGGCTACACAGATGGCCAACTAGAATAAGGACTCCCCTTGCACCTAGGTTAGACATGTGACTACATTCAAGCCAATGAGATGTGACATGTACCTGTCCTTCAAGAGAAGAGATATCCCTTTCCTTGTAGTTTTCTTTTTCCTGCTGCCACAGCAATGAATTGGAGCATAAGTAGCTGTCCTGGGCTCTGGAGCATCAGCTAAGGATGGCTGAGCAACGCAGCAGATAATCCTGGGAACCTGATGGTACTGAGACCTCTCTGGTTACGTTTGTTGGGAGCCGTTTCTGGTCAGTGATAGAAAAATAAACCCAAACTGGGTTGTGTGGAAGTGGAAGTGGTTGACAAGAAGCAACAGAAAGGAGTACAGGCTACTCTTTCTAAAAGCTTCACAGTGAAGCAAGGAAAATGTGGAGCAGCAGTTTGTGGGAAATTAAGACTGGGAGAGGGACAACCCTTTCTGGGGGCATTCCAGAAGAATCTGGAATGTTTATAGTCTGAGTTCAAGAGAGAATTACCTGGGAAGAGAGAGAAAAATTGAAAAAACTGTTGGAACAAAATCTAAGAAGGGCTAGGAGGGAATAGAATCAAAAGCAAATGGGGAAGAGACTAATCTCCTGTGGCAGAAGGGAAGAATAGAGATAAAGACACATTTGGCTTAATACCTAGGTGATGGGTTGATCTGTGCAGCAAATCACCATGACACTTGTTTACCTATGTAACAAACCTGCACATCCTGCACATGTACCCCAGAACTTAAAAACAGAAGTTGAAGAAAAAAAAGACACATTTTAAAGTTCAGGGTAAGTGAATTAAGGATGCAGTAGTCTCCATTTTTTCCCCAAAACTTGTGAAACAAAGCAAGTCTTAAGAATGAAGAAAGTAGTCAAGGTTTGAATAATCCTTGAGGGATTTGAAAGACAAGCAAACAGCAGAAAAGAAAAAAAAAAAAACATTCTTGAGCATTCCCGAGGTCTCACCTGAAGGCCATAGAATTTGTCATTTCCCAGTGAGCAAAGCAAAATGACTTCCTTCAGCAGTGCTTCACAGCTTAGAAATCAGAGTCGGTAAGAATGAGTCATTAGGCTGTTGTAGAATAGACTATTTGCAAGGCTTATACAGCAGTAGATCAAAGGGTTGGTGGAAATGTGTGTGTTGATGATAGTGTGGTGGAAACAATAAACCATGAAATCCAAACAAGTTAGGAAATACATTGAAATAAGAAGGGACTGAGAGTCTGATTCAATAGAGACAAGGGAAGGAGATTAGGCTTGGGCACGCTGACAGTGAGCAGAGCAGGCATGAAGACATGGCGGTGACAATGGAAAGAGGGAACCTGGTGGTTCGCACAGGAAAGGTCACGGCAGAATACGGGAAGTCAGAGGTGGAGCGGAGAGGCCAAGGGGTGGCTGCAAATGAAGTTACAGCAGAGAGGGGGGACAGCGGTCAGAGCAGAGGGGATCAAATGACCGTGAACCTGAGAAGTGAAGTGCCTCATCCAAATGAAAGTTGAAATCACCCTTGGTTTTGGAAGGAAAAGGCTTAGAAAAGAAAATGGATCCAGAGTCCAGCCTTGTTCCAGAGGCTATGGCTATCAACTCAAAACTCATAACATGGAGACAAGCAGTCACTGGAAATAAGAGAGCAGCCCAACCAGCTAAAGAGATGCTTCTTATCAGTATCACCCAGGACTTTCCATAAATGTAAAACCCACAAAATGCGCACTGTTAGGTCTGCTTTAAAGTAATTTTTAGAAAAATATTTTATTACTATTAAATCACTGTGAGTGAGATACGTTGAGTTCTTACTGTTATTATTGTTTTCCTAATAATCATATCTTAGTAGTTACGACAGAACTATGCAAGATCAAGGTAGTATTGATTTTTTACTTTTTCTCTTGTTCCAGTAGAGGGCACTCAAAGCTCAAATAAATGCATGCAATCATTTTTACAGCACTTGTTGTTTTATATAATTAAAACTCATCTTTAAATGAAAAAGAGAACGTCTAATTTAATAAAACTTAATTACTAGTCATGCAAGTAAATTTTACTAAAATGAGATGAGATCTTGTAAGTGTCTAAATGAGGACATGCCTCCCCAGACACAGTTCTTTCATTTTCACTCAGCACACACTGAAAGCGGAAAGGAAATTCTCTTGTCTAAGAAGCAAGTTGGGCTTTCGAAACACCAAGTCTGCCACAGACACCTGATCCTCAAGTTCTATTTTCATTCCTATCTGGTCTTCATTGATAAGTGTTTTCAATAAACTGGAAAATAATCCTGTGGGCTACTGGACAAATATCCTTCAATGGAGAACATCTAAGAGTTAATAAGACAGAAATGACATTGGAACTAGAGGAGCCACCCTCTGAAACATGTACAACCAATGAATGAGATGGTTAATACTGAGGTTGCTGCCACTGCACAGTCCACAAGAAGTTCTCAGGAAAGTTTCAAGAAGACCTTATGTTTTAGAGAGTTAAGAAAATGCAAGTATTATTACTGCTTGAGGGAAGACTATCTTCCAAGCACAAGATTAATTCTGTGTGGCTTTGGTTGCCATGTGGCAGAATGACAGTGGAAGATTTCAACAGTGGTGACGTTGCTGTCCTCCTAGAGGAACTAGGCCCTGGGGTCAAATGATTCTACTGCTGACGTCTTTGCCATGATGGGGCTGCTATGATCCAAACATGGCAGCTTTTCCAGACACAGAGGACGTTTCAGTTTGGATTTATTTTTTTATGTTGGAGTAATGATTCTTTGCGGGGAGCAAATGGGAATCATACCAGCATCCTTCAATAATGGTGATGCATCAACATGAATTCACCTGTTCGGTAGGGTTCAGGATGCTACAGGGGGGAGAAGACTGTCTCCAAAAAACTCTTTTTGGCAAGGATGGTAGCCCTGGCATTATAAAGAGTATGTTATGACTTATTTATAACAGATTTTTTTAAATAACTAGTTGCAAGACTCTGAAACATTATGATTTAAGAACTCCCTTTATCTGCACCTCACGCTGACTAAACACACAGTCCTCCCCGCACTCAGAAACCAAGTCCGTTCTCCTCAGGAATAGTGCAGCGCTGGGATTCTCCTGTCATATCAGAGATACATCAACCCTGTTACACTCAGGATGCAAAGGCCAAAGTCTAAGAAGCTATGCAATATTGAGTTTTTTTTTTTTTTTTTAAAAAGCACTTTCCCTTTTTCCTAATAACATGGCAGTACAAGATAAGGGATTTAGAATTGAAGACCCTGAGGGTGTCCACACATCAATAATGAAAATCAAAGTACTTTAAGACTGTAGGTTAAATATAGAATATTTATGGGTTGGTGTTATTGTTGGCCATATCTAGCCTTGCCATCTATCGTTAAAAGACCAGGCAGCCGCTGTCTCATTGTTTATTCTTCTTCTCAGCTCTCTGACAGTGGCTTGGTTTATAGTTGTAGGCAATAAATTACAAGGTTGAGTCTAGTTTCTAACCTTGTGGCTAAAGAGTTCCCATTACCCGGTTAGGCAAGCTAAATGTTTTATTTAAAATGACATCCATAATCACTATAAGAAAATCACTCAAATGAGAGTGAATGCTGATGGCCTTAACATGAACAAGCAATTCCGTATACAACAGTGTGGTAGAGTGGCAAACATACATACAGTAGTGCAGCCAGAAGGTCTGCCTTCTATAATTTAGGCAAGTATTTCTTCCCTATGAGTCTCAGTTACTCCTTCTTCACCCAAACCAAATAATATCTAGACTCTGTGCCTATAGGGATGATTTTTGTATCGCCTAGGATGCATTCTGCTGCAAGCAACAACAACAAAAAAAAACCTAGCTAAAAGTGGCTTAATAAATAAAGGTGCATCTGATCTTACCCAACAGGAAGTCTAGGCACCAGGAAATTCCAGGGAAGTTCAGTAAGGAGCTCAGTGATGTCAACCATCTCTGCAATCATCTTGGCTTTTGCTTCCAGATCACAAGATGGCTGTTCCCAGTATCATATCCTCACACAGTGACATTTAGAGACAGAAAAATTGGTATTTTTCTTATTTTCATTTTCTTAAGGGCTGGAAACACTACTCCAGAAGTTCCAGACTTCACCTCATTGGCCAGAATTGTGCAAACTGCCCATTCCTGGGTGAACCACTTGTCTAGGATATAGAATTACCATAGTTAGCCTGGATCAATCAACATTCTCCCCCTGTGGCAGGAAAGAGTTCCAGACTGCCCTGCCATACAAGGTGAGCATGAACAAAATCAGGGTTCAGTGAGGAAAGGGTGGTGGCAGGTGGCTGTGGTTCCTTCCCAATCTCTATTTGCATGGAAACATATACACAGATATACTCATTCATACCCCTAATGACAAGTGTTTCTATCTAACTAACACAGTTCCATCAGGTAAACTCTGCCCTCTTTGCTGCACAGTTTGGAAACTGTCCTTTTTAGAACATATTCGCAGTTTGGTCAAAATACTTAGGAGCACATACAAGGCCCCACATGTTAAATTCCTCAAGCAGGATCTACTAAGCCTGCTTTACTTTATTGAATCCCAATCCCTGTAATTAATGACATTCCGTGATATCAATTATGGGGAGAGTTGAACTATCATCACTGCTAGAGCCTCGCTAAGTGGCGATGGCATAGGAAGGGAGAGGAACATAGGGTTGCTTCTAAAACTCATCATGATCAAAAGTTCAACTTCATATAACCAGTTTTTTTCTGTCCCTGTGGTTGGATAATTTCCTTCAGAAAAGACCGAGAAGCCTCCCTTTACCATATATGTCCTCATGTTTCCATTTCAGGAAACTGCTTCAATTCACGATGGTCTCGCCTGTGTCCAGCATGGTACGCTGTCTTCCCTTACCTCCACGAGGATGGTTCCACAGATGAAAACAGAGGCAATTTATGACCAGGGGCAAAGTGACATGGCTTCTATTCTTTACCCTTTCACCTCTGGCTTCACTGTCTTTGTCTGAAATCCTGTTACTGGGGGTGGAGGGGAAATGGAGCTTTTCTTCTGGAGTTGGGCTGGAGTTCTTCCTCATTTCAGTCCAGCTGAGCTGGGACTGCAATTTGTTCTAGGAGACTGTCACACTGGAAGAGTAACCGAACTCATAAATTAGAAGAGAGCTGAGGTCCAAAATACCAGAAGGTGAATCAGGATGTTCTCAACAGTCAGAGAAGCAGGGCAGAGGTGGATGTCAGTTGGGAAGTGGATCCAGAAATTCAGCGCCAGGACAGTGTAAGCGGGAGAAAGCATCCACAGTTGAGGGAACAAATAGAGAGAAGGGGACGGAGCAACTGATGGACATGGGGGTCAGCCAGTCTGGCTTAACCAGGAGTCGTTTGGATAAAAAAAGCCTTCCAAGTTGTTTACATCATCAATCTACTGGGGCTTTGAGAATGGCAGTCAAAAATAAGAACGCATTCCTAATTCTTGTTTGACATAGAGAGTGATTGCTTTGGGACTGAAAGCTATTTATTCTTAGAGTAATCTGAGGTTCTCCCTTGTTCTCATACTTTAACCTCATCTTACTCAAGACTTTTTCTAGATTTGGGGATCATTATTCACATGTAGTTAAATTGTATCTTCAGGGAAAATGAGTTGGCATGGAATTTGTTGTGTCTGTCTCCCTATTATTGCTATGGATTTAGATGTGCTATTTTGTAGAACATGTTAAAGAAAATAACCTGGAGACACTACGCATGTACATTTGGGTTCAGATGACAATTTAGTCTATCAATTCATTCTGTGTAGAGTAATTAAGCTGTATTTTCTCATACATGCCTGTATTGAAAAAGAATGGTTTTCTAGAGATAAATCTATCTATTGATAACTATATCTATATCTATGTCTACATCTATATCTATACCTAATCTCTATCTATATTTACATCTATCTTAGTTGAGAAACCTTTTGGCTTCAAGGAATAGAAAACTTGGCTAATACTAACTTAGCCAAGCAGAGGCTTACATGTCTCAGTTAACAATACACTTGGAGCCAGACAGTCCAAAAGCTGCTCTGTTTATCTTTTTGCTCTGTCATTCTCAGCATGATGGCTTATTGCCTCAGTGTCAAAAGATGGCTGCTGCAGCTCTAGCCATCTCATCTGTGTCCAAGTCAGGAGAAAAAGAAAATTGCTGGCACCTTCTATACTTTTATCAGGAAACGATGGGCCTCATTGGCCAGAACTAAGTCACATGGGCTTGCTACCTACAGAGAAAGCTGGGAAAATGTGCATTTTATTTTTCCAGCCTTTATGGAAGAGGTGGCCCCGGAAGAATGGGGCTGAGGATGATTCTGAAGTAAAGCAGCTAACAATGACCCACACCTTGCTGCAGTGAAGGCCCAACGCAGGGCAGCAGTGACAATCTAAGGACAAAATCTTGATTGTTGGTTTTAACTTGGGCATTTTCATAGGGTTTTCTTATTTAAAGGAAACTTTGCTTGGAATGCCATAACAGCCCTGAACAATAGTAGACGCTTAGAGCTTCAGAAGCTGGATTTAGAAACAGCCTGAGGGCTGGCAAGTGGGAATGTTAAAAACAACTTTTTAAATCTAATGTTTACTTATTTGCCTTGCATTTCTTCACTTATACCTATCTTTTCATAAAGAGATTTCAGGAGTCTTATAAAGGAACATAAATTATTACAAAGTAGCACCAGTTAAAGTTGGAGCAAAAAAGTGTATGGAGGAGAGCAAACTGGAAGCAGAAATTTAACCAGAAATGCACTTCATGTTGAGATAAACATGTACTCTGGGAGGGACCTAAATCTGCCTTTAATCTTTTTATCTGTCAAAAAGGACAATCATGGCAGTGACATACATAGGTCACAGGGCATATGAGGTGCAAACAGAGCCAAGGTATCAAGGAAGAGCACAGAAGAGGGTCCTACATCGAAGTATTTCATTTACTTGCCCAATTTCTCTTCCTTATTTTTTGCCTCCTGTTTCCTCTAGAACAGACCCTATCTAGGTTTCCTTCTGCTGTACTGGGAATGACTCCTTGGGTCCCGGAGCTGAATCGGGGGAGAGCAGGCATCATCCATGGGTGCCCTCCTGCCTCCCAGTATTATTAATATTTGCACCCCCCTCTTGGTCCTGAGGGCTCCACAGCTGGTTGGCCATTTGGAGTATTTTTTCTAGTGCCTCTCGTGTGAAGGGACATTATTTTTGCTTTACTTCTTTTCTTGGATAACAGGAGAAAGAAGACATACTTTTTAGAACATGTAAGGTATCAGGTACTGGTCCTCTGTCTTCTAGTAGCTCATTTAATCTTCCTGCTGGCTTGGAAGGAGTCACATATTATAGTTGGGTTGAATTATTTGCCCAAGGTTAGAGCTAATCACTGGCAGAGCTGGGATTTGAGCTTGGATATGTCTCTGAAGCCTTTCCATTATACTGCTTTTTTTTTTTTTAAACCTGCATTTATTTATAAAACCGAGTTCCACTGCTGAAGTTGGGCATCTGAGGTTAGATTAATCTCTCCTCTTACCTCTACTCCCCAGCCAATTTCTCTGAAGGCTGTGCTCAGAAGTTTCCTGGAGTTGGAATTGGAAGGCTCATTTATTATTTCATATTCTTTTACTGAGTAGCTGTGTGACCATGGGTAATTCACTGAAGCCTTCTCAAAGCCTGTGGAGTGGGAACTACGATTACAACCCCACTGGCTACATGGTAGTGGCAGTGGGAGGGAGGGGTTGGTGTCAAACTCAGACTAGATCATATTTGTTGTAATTACTATGGAAAAATATAAGCTTTAATCACATTCAGTGCATTGTTTTTTACTTATTATTATGACCTCAAGATGTTGTTGTTGAGAAAAATCCTACTTCTCCTTTGGTTTTCAGCCCTTGGGTCACTTTTTAAGGAAAATCTGGCTGTCTTGTCTCCAGGAGTGCTGAATCCACGAGCTCCCTGTTCTGTTAATGTCTGCCTTCTTCCTGCAAAAAAAGGGGAGGTTGGCTGTTTTATTCAGGGCTGTATTCCTAGCCTCTACCACAGGAGTTAATACAGATCAATAGGAATATCTCTGAATTTTAATATCAGGTTTACTATCAGGTTGAGAGATCACGCCTCAAACCTAGAAGAGTGAAATTTTTTAGCAAATATTTCTTGCAGTGAGGTAGTTGCTTTGGGAAGGGAGGGCATTTGGGGTCGTGTTAAAGGTGAATAGTTTGTAACTCAGACATCTCTTAAGGCTGATCCTGCTCACAGTTCTAAGAGGAAGGACTCATGCTGGGGAAGTAAGCACAGGAGCTACTGGATAAAACAGATCCTAACTGACATTTTAGTGCCTCTCTGAAACAGAAATTGCTGATGTATTGTATTTACACACACAAAGCTGTATACACTTACACCCATCTCTGTGGGCTCATGTGCACAGACACATGACACTGTAGTTGGACTCTGAGGAGCACACCCTGGGAGGAAGGGGCTTTGGAAATTCAGCTAATCATTCCTGCAGATCCCTCAGTTACTAGCAGGGACAGCGGCCATCCTGCAACCACAGTTGGGCAGCCTCTGCCCCTGGCTGCTCTACACAACTCTGCAGCTCCCCAGTCCTCTGCCTTGGCAGAGTTTCCAACATTTAAAAATAAATAAGTAAAGAATTTTCTTTTTCTCATAATGAATGGTTGCAAATCAAGCTCAGCTTATACCTAGAATCCAGGAACATATTCTTGGACTTGACTACCTGGAAACAAGAAATTTGAGGCAACGTCTTCCCAGCATGACTTCCTAACCACCAACATAGTTTAGGGTAGTATCCATGCACAAGACAAGGGGGAACGGGCTGAGCTGCAAAAAGAAAATGGAAACATTCAGGGGAGACCGTAGGAAAATTTTTTTGACTGTGCAGCCAATCGGGCAATGGAATAAATGACTTGGGGAAATATTTGTGGCTCCCTAAATAGAGGTGTTCCGGAGAAAAGTGAGATGGAACACTTATTCTCATTGTCATTATTAAGCAGCGTTTATTGAGTGTGGATAGAGTACAAGGTAGCTTTCCAAAGGCTGAGGCACCCCCAGTTCCTGTGGAAAAGTGTGGGGAAGAACGGCATTTTGGCAGCTCTGGGCCATGGCGGAACTCATGACTCACGAGGACCCTGCTGGCGGTCAGAGTCTGTGACTTTGTGGCAAGTTTACAAACTCTGAGATGCCTTCTGCTCAGAAAACTGAGTCTCAGGCTGGTTATGAACATGAAAACATTAATAATTGCTGTGATAATTAATGGTAACTCTAACAGTTTAGTTAGAATTCTATGTGGAATTTTTGCTATTGTGTTTTAAACATTATTAGTCAGACACATCATTTTTCTTATTTGATAGAGAAGATTGTGATTGGGAATAACCACTAAGCGTTGATGTATTCTGCCTCATTTTGAATTGAAACAGGAGGGCTAACAGAGAATGGTATGAATAAAGGGGAATGGGCTGGAAAGGTGCATGTGAGACAGAGAAAGCTATGAAAAGTCTAGGCCTTTGTTCTTGTCCAGAATCTTATCATGTATTAGAAGGAGGAAAAGTAGTTTGTCAAAATGCTCCATAAAAACCTTCCTCATGACCTGCTTTTCCTTAGAACTATGGCAGGGGTAAAAGACAGAAACATAGAATTGTCTCATTATTTCACAGAAAAGCCATCCTTCTAGTTCCCCTTTTTGGTTACCTTAAATAACCAAACAACCAAACTGATAATTTGGGAGATATTTTCATTAACTCTGATTTCCTGGGGCCTGACTGGCTAACTTATGCATTGACTCATTAAATAAAACAGCACTTTTCATCAGAAAGAAGACGGGGCTGGGTGTGGTAGCTCATTCCTATAAACCCAGCATTTTGGGACGCTAAGGCGGGAGGATCACTTGAGGCCAGGGGTTCGAGACCAGCCTGGGCAACATGGCAAGACCCCCTCTCTACAAAAAAATTTAAAAAAAAAATTAGCCAGGTGGGGTGGTTCATGTTTGTAGTCCCAGCTACTCAGGAGGCTGAGGTGGGAGGATCACTTGAGCCCAGGAGTTTAAGGCTGCAGTGAACTATGATCACCCCTCTGCACTCCAGCCTGGGTGACAGAGTAAGACCCCATTTCTAAGAAAAAAAAGAATTGAAGTTAAAAATTTTAAATATTAAAGAAGGGAAAACAACTATCCTTCCTCCTGATTTTTGACTCTTAACTAAAACTAGTCATCCTTTCCCCACTTTCACTGCACAGAGAGGACTTTCCAAATGGGCTATAACATTGCCTTTTTCCCTCTCTCCCCTCTTTTCTACCCCTGTTACTTTCTGCATCAATCTTGGGGCTGTCACTTCCAGAAAACAAGGGAATACTGACACATTAAATCTTGAAATCACCACCCCTTAGTGAAGCCTTCCTTTAGGGTAAGAAATGGAAGCACCTCTATAGAAGTGTGTCTTGGAAATTGTAGGTTTCCATGTATACCACTGATGTAGAATATCAGAAAATCAATGATCCTAAGAAGAATGCTTAACAGATTCTAGGAGTTACTAATTACCTTCCTTCCAGGGTATTTTACCAGGTTACAAAAGTCAGAAAACAAAGCCAAAGAATCTGTATTATCTGTCTAATTGCAAACATCAAGTATGAATGGCTCTCTTTCCAGATGAAAAGCAAAAAAGAAAAAAAAAACAACAATGAAAGAACTATATGTTTGAAAAAGAGAAGTGTCCAGGTTATTTAGCATTCAGTGGAAAAGCATTCTTCTTAAAGTTATTTACTAATAGAAGGACATTGTAGAAATCTGATACCCTGAAGCAGTCCAAGAAAAAGTGGCCTGAAAAAGAGAGAATGATAAGATTAAAAGCAGTGGAATAATTTAGAAAGAAATCCAGGATAAAAAAGGGCCAAGTGAGATAAAAAGGATAAAAAATTGGCAATTGCAGAATTAAAATCTGTACTAGAGATTATAAAGGACAGGATGGGTATTGAATAAAATTCCACACAGATGAGAGTGATACACTTCAGTAGCTCTTCCAGTAAAAAGAGGAAATATACCAACAGTCGAATACTCACAGAGGAAAGATATAGGGTTCACAAAATGGAAAGCCAAACTAGGAATTGGAGAGGAAACCAGACTAATTGTAAGAAAACTTTCTTGAGCTAAAAGAAACCACCAAAGTATGCAGACTGAAAAGGGCTAAACATGTTTCAGGAAGTGTTAATAGAAAATATCCCATATCATTCCACCATGGTGAGTTTTTGAATTATGAAGAGAAATAAAAACAAAATAAAATAGAGCTGAGAAGTATCCACGAAGAAAATTTAAAAAGACAGTAACAAGCTAACTTTGAGAGCAGCAAAAAAAAAAAAAAAAAAAAAAAAAAAAAATCAGGCTGACTTTAGACTTCTCCAGAAGCAAACAGAAGGTCATAGAGGGGTGACATCAATAGAGTGCTAAGATTAAAAGATTATTACCTGAGAATTTGATTTAATCAAGTCTTGATTCATGTCTGACAACCCAGGAACACATTCCCTGGTATGTGCCAGTTAACACAATGTGTTATCACAGGCTTTTTTGAAGGAACTCTTGTAAACATAGGCTATGGTACAATTATGAGTTTAAAAATGAAGCCTGGTAAACTGTATTTGTAAAATGAATTGTTTCTAAGATGACTGAAGTATAAACTATTTACTTAAATTCCCACAAAACCCTGAGAAGCAAGCAGATAAGATTTACAGCCTCTGTATTTAGAGAAACTAAGATTTAGAGGGTTAAGGGATGTATCTCAGGATCTCACTAATAGAAATGGAATCAGGATTCCTATCTAATTCTCAATGCAGAGGGTGTGAGCTATCAGATCAGCATTGCCCCTTTCTGTTTTAATTTGATTTTGGGAAGTTTCTGTAATAGAAGCAGGAGAAAATAAAAGAACATTGGCTTGAAGGGTTGACCACGCTTAAAATACATTCCTCTTTCTTTCCTGGGATTAGGTTAGTGCCTATGTTTCATTAGAAGTCTCTTTAGATTCCACTAACAATCTTGTCAACTACAATAGGAAAAGCCCTTCAATAACAATGTGCTTTTATTTTGGGAGTCCTTATTATGTGCCAGATGCTCTTCTAGGCATAGAGTTCAAGATAAAGAGAAATAAACCAAACAACATCACCTACTCATGTTTCCTATCAAGAATTAGATGACAGGAAACAAACCACTTAGACAACAGCAAAAGGCACTCACTCTAGCTCTGGTAATTAACATGCCCATTATAATAATTAGCATATTCCATCTTGAATACAAAGGGACAAGCTAGAATCACTAGGCATGAGGAAAACCAAAGTTATGAAAGGTGAACAAACAAAAAAATAGATGATATGGAAAACAGAAATTATTCAGAGCACAAAACAGAAAGTGTCTTTTCTAAGGGCACGTTGAAAAAATGTTCTTAGAAATATTTTAAAAGAACTTAAACCCAAAGACAGGAAGGAAACAGCAATTGAAATGCTTTTACAAATTAAAAATATTAGTTAAAACAAAAGTAAAAGGAAGGATAGAAGTTTAAGTTGAAGAAGTCTCATTAAACACAGAGCAAAGATATGGAAATATGAAAGAAAAAAAGAAAAAAAAAAGGACACAATAGGGACATTAATTAAAAAGATCCAGCGTCTAATTAACAGCCGTGGTCTGCAGTGGCACAGTCAGTGTGTCTCTGTTGTGGTAGTGGCTATTGTCATTGCTTATATATTAGCAAAAACAATAGCCAACATTTCTTGAGAGTTTTCATCGTGCTAGAACCTGGGCTAAGGTCCTAACCTACAATGTCCTGTTTTATCATCCTTTAAAACTACATATAAGGTAAACGGTTATGATGAGGTTATTGATTGCATTCAGTTGTGCGGACTGAAAAGAAAGTAGTCAGGAAAGAACTCTTGGGTGATTGGACACCAATAACAGATCAAAATTCAAAAGTAGGAGCTTGTTTAGGGAGAAAGAAGTTGGTTAAATTTTAACATGCTGAGTTGAAGGTGCCTAAAAGACACCTGAATGGATAAAATCAATATATGGTTGTTTGTATGAGTCTGAAGCTCAGATAAAAGATGTTGCCAGAGGGAGATTGGGAATCACCAATATTATCAGTTGAAACCAGGAAGTAGATGCAATCACTCAAAAAGAGAACACTGAAATGTTCTGTAGAGAGGATTATTGGTAACATTTGTCAGAACAATTTTAATGGCATTCTTGGCACACACCAGATTACAGTTGAAGAATGAATGAAGAATTAGTTCATCACATTCTTCATCTGTCTCAGATGCAAAATGGATTAATAATACCTATGTGAGTGGATACTGTAGAATTAAAAGATATCACGTTTGAAGAGTCTTTAGCAAGTGCCTGACACATAGTACATGCTCAACAAATGCAGGAGAGAGATATATACATAACTCTCCATATATCACCCAATCACTATAACATAATACTGGAATATATCACTTTATGATGGCAGTATGCTGTAGTGATTGAATGCATGGAGTTTGGAACTGGATAGACTTGGGTTTGTCGTCTAGCTCTGCCACTGTATAGGTGCATGAAGTTGGACTAATCACTCTGTTTATGCACTTTTTCTTTCATCTATAAAATGGAGAGTAGAGAAACAACTATCTTCTAAAATAATTTCTAGACATTGTATATTATTTTGTCCTATAAAATGTTATATATTTTCTAAATATTTGTGTTCTGTTATCTGGCTGAACTTTTAACATAAGTTTGTAAATTAACATAGTTAGGGTTTGTTGTGGTCACACAATGGTGAATACAATTTGTTTTAATATTGGTTTGTGTTTATCTTTTGTATTGTTCTTTTTCTTGTATGAAAGGTAGAAAGCCAGGGCTTTGTATATCTTTGCCTCAGATGCTTCTGCAGGGCAGACTTTTACTAAATTTGGAACAGGCAATGGTGGGTATCTGGCACATGCAGCGCAGAAAGGAAAATGAACTGGACATGGCCAAGGGAGGAGAGGAAGTGGTGGGTGAGAGGCTGGCACACCCCTCACAGGAGCAGTGGAGATTTGCAGGCGGCTGGGCAGTACCTAGGAGAGCAGCAAGGTCTCAGTCCTTGTGGGACCTCTCGGAGAGCACCGGCACCCCAGCACTAGCCAGTGGGGACCCATGAACAGAGGAACTTTCCTTTGCCAAGACCAGGAAACTTTAGAATGGGGGGAGGGCAAAAAACCATAAGAGAGATTTGACTTCCCACTGATGTGTGTTGATTTCAGAACTGAAGAAATGTCACATATTTTGCTATGAATTTGTGCACTGAAAAATTATACCTGTAGCACACTCACACCATCTACTAACAAAGATAATTTTGTCACCACTTTGTTGCGTTTTGCTCATTATTTTTATTTTTTTGCCTTATTATACTGACCAGAACTTGAAAAATATTATAATAAAAGGCCTCACAGTTATCAATGAGGAACAAGTTGGCTCTGATCTGCCTAGACCAGGAAGGAAGAAAGGTTCTCTGTGGACAAAGAGAAGACAGGTGCTAAGCCACATGTTACACTCTCTAGCTCAAGACTGAAAAAACTAGACAAGCTCTCTCATCCCTCTGTTCTACTCCATCCACCCTCCCCCATTCCTGAATTTAGGTACAGAAAAAAATGTGAAGACTTCAAAGAGAGTGAGGCTTATTTACTAGCATATGGCAAATTGAAGGCTCAGGGTAGGAATTTAATGCAATCACAGAAAAATAAAGTAAATTACCTATCCTGACCACCTGTGTATGTAGATTAAGATTCATTCCCACTCTTATCTCAGTGCTTCTGGAAGTTTTTATCTTGTGTAATACTCTCATGGAAGCAGGTGTAGCAAGAACCGGTTGAATGCCACTATGCTAACCAGGCACTCCTAAATTTAAAAATGTTTCCTGTTTAGTGCCATTCTAATATCTGTTAATATATGTAAGCATTATACTTAAATGTTTCTCATGGCATGAGATATGAGTATTGTGCATGCCATATATATTATATTTTAAGTATGAAAGTTTAAGGTCAATTAATATTAGCTTGTCAGCCTTTTGCACCATCCCAAATGAAGGCCTTCCAAGGACTCTCCTTGCCAGGAAT
This sequence comes from Homo sapiens, assembly GCF_000001405.40. Classification (NCBI taxonomy): domain Eukaryota; kingdom Metazoa; phylum Chordata; class Mammalia; order Primates; family Hominidae; genus Homo; species Homo sapiens. Next base: position 41,719,206 of record NC_000007.14, on the reverse strand, counting down.
CTCATCCAGTGGGCTCTGTGTCCCCACCATCTTCCTCCTACTGCATCCCTTCCTACTTTCCCACTTGTTCCATTGTAATCTGCTGCCATAACTCTCAGTTTCCACTCTAAGCTTGCCCACCAGCTAACTTCTCTGACATGGAGTCCTCCATGGACATTCCACCTCCTAGCAAGCATGCATGTTTTCCTGCGGCTCCTTGATCTGGGAGACATGGATGAGGATGGATGTGGGTGATAGCCACTAAGGACTCTTACTGCTGACCACTGCTGCTCCAAGTATGAAGGCTCAGATGAGAACATGAAATATATAAAGAAAAAAGAAGAAAGCAATGGAGCTTAGTGCTGGACAGCATGAGCTTTCTTGTTTTTTTTTTTTTTTTTTTTTTTGAGACAGAGTCTCACTCTGTTGTCCAGGCTGGAGTGCAGTGGTGCAATCTCGGCTCACTGCAACCTCCGCCTCCCAGGTTCAAGTGATTCTCCTGCCTCAGCCTCCAGAGTAGCTGGGACTACCCAGTAGCACCACCACACCCAGCTAATTTTTTGTATTTTTAGTAGAGATGGGGTTTTACCATGTAAACCAGGCTGGTCTCGAACTCCCAACATCAAGTGATCCACCCACTTCGAGCATCCCAAAGTGCTGGGATTACAGGCATGAACCACTGCACCTGGCCAGCATGAGCTTTCATGCCAAGCTGCTTGGATTGAAATCCTAGCTCCAAGGATATTGCTTCAGGGTATATCCTTGGACAAGTTATCTGGTCTTTCCAAACCTCAGTGGCTTCATCTGTAATTAGCAATAATAAGAAAACCTATTTCAAATTGTTATTTGAAGGGTGAAAGGGTATTACACATATATCAAGCACTTTGCTCCATGCGTAGCAGAAATGAGTGCTTGATCAATGATAACTAACAGAGCATCATCTTCATCGTATTTCCACCTTCATCTAAAAACAGCCTTGAGGCTGTGGCTATCACATTATACATCTCTGTGCCAGACATCTACCCCAGGTTTTTTATTCAGCCAACCCTCTCTTACAGACCTTTGAATCCCTTAACACCAAAGACTTTCACAACCACTCCACATAAGAAACACATCCTATGCCCATGCCCTGGGCTGTTTCACTATTCACAATGGTTTGTCCTTTGAAATCTTAATCTTCAGCATTCCATTTTCTGAGACCCAATGCCCATTAGCTCTCACTCTCTCTCAACATACCTACATTTCACATCATCGATATCTCTGATTCCTGGATGATGCTATTTTTCACAAACTATCAGTTGCTTTCTGGCTTCACTTCTTTCTTCACCTGGTTCAGATTCCTGAGGGCACAGCTCAGTTTCTTTACTGACCTTTCCTTTTACTCCCATTCTTTGTTGTCCTTTCTCAGCTCCTGCTCTGCCAGAATCTGAGTCTGGATCGCCCGATGTGCACTGTGTAGTGTGCAGCCAGTCACAATAGCCACATTCCAAATGTTCAATAAGCACACGTGGCCAGTGGCTACTCGATTGCACGGTACAGATTGTAGAAACTTTTCATGATTGCAGAAAGTTCTACTGGACAGGAGTGCTATATCTAAACAATTGACCTTCTCTCTTCTACACTTTACAGTGAAGAACACTTCTGGGTAAGACAGAACAACTCTGTGGTTTGGTGTTCCTGAAACTTCTGTGCATTCAGTCTCAATGACTTCCAGAATGCCTGGAGGTGTTCGGAAGCCCCCTCATCTCCTATCTGCTTCTGCCACTGTTATAACATTTCATCTGTCTTTTCAAACCTTCCACTCCACCACCTCCACCAGCTTTGACATCTCTCTCAGCAGATGAGCTTACCTTCTTTTTTACTGCAAAATCAATGAGATGAAAATTCTCTTAATTCCCTTCTCTGTCAGTTATTATCATGTCTCTCTATGCCTATCCTTTATTTTTTTTTCTTCTTGTTTAATTTAAGGCTAATCCTACCACCTATGCTTAGGATTAATTCATCAGCCAACAAATATTTATTGAGCAACTACTACATGTCAAACACAGTTTCAGGTGCCAAGATTTAGCTGTTAACAAAACAATGTCTCTACCCTCATTCTAGTGTTGTCACATAGGCAATAAAAAAATACCTCAGATGGTGATAAATATAACAGAGAAAAATGAAACAGCCTGGGTGTTAGGGTGTACCAGGATGGAGTCCGTTGCTATTTTATATTGAGTGGTCCAAAAAGGCTTCAGCGATCTGGAAACAAATAACAAGAAATTCAGGGAGTGAGCTGCGAGGGTGTCTGATGGAAAATGATGAAATTCCTGGCAGAGGCGACGTCAAGCACAAAGGCTTGGGAAATGCACGAGCTCATTCTGTTGGAAGGATAGCAAGGGGGATCACATGGGAAGAAGACAGAGACCAAGGAGAAACAGAGAAGAAGGCACGTTCGGGGATGTGGCCAGGTCACGTAGCTTCTCTCTGGCCACAATAGTGAGCGAGTGGAGAAGCCACGGGAGGGTAGGAGCAAAGGAGAGACCTCATCTGCCTTGCATTTTTGAAAGGGTCATTTTGAGTGTTGGATTCCAGATAGTCTATGGGGGCAAGGATGGGAGTAGGGAGATTTGCTAGGAGGCTGTTGCAATTATTCAGGTGTGGTGGTATATTTAGGTCAATAGGGATGGCAGTTTGGCCTGAGGGACGGTGGTGGAGGTGGTAAGGAGTGGTGTGAATGTGGGTCTATTTTGGAATCAATCCATCATTTCTCACTTCAGCAGGAAACTTGCTTATCTGTCTTCTCTCATATTGTAAAATTATTTACCTTTAGCAGTTCACTTCTCTCCGAAGAGCTTAAATCTCTATCTTAAAATTTAAAAGGGCTTTCTCTCAATCCTCAATGTCTCCTTCTCTAGTCATTACTCAATTTCTTCTTCACGTTTGACAGAATACATCTCCTTAGTCTTCTCATCCCCTTCTCTTCCCACTAAAATCTATCCCCAAGTAACAAAGCTGATCTGCTCAGGCTAGCACTGGCACTGATTAGAATATTGCCAGATCTATTGGGCCTTTCTGTCAGTGTCTTACTTGACCACATCGTGTCATATGACCTTTTCAAACTCTCACTTTTCTTGGCTTCCTTGACAATGTTCCCTACTTGTTTTTCTCCTACACATCTGACTCCTTCTCAAAGCTCCTCACAGGCTCCTCTTCCTCCACTCACCTCGTAAATATGAAGGTTCCCAAGCCTCTGCCTTTAAATTTCTCATCTTCTGCTCTTCTCTGTCTTGAAGGTAATAGTTGCTAGAAGAAATAGTTCCCAAAATGATGATGCCTCAAAATCAATAAAGGCTTATTTCTCACTCAAGCAATAATACAAAACAAACATTTAGTGTTTTAAAACTAGTATAATGTTTTAGAATTGAAATTCTAACCCAGGGGCCAGGATACCAGATAGCTATCATATACCAGAGTGAAGGGGATAGAGACCACTGCAAAGGAATCTTTAAAGTAGATATCTGAGAACAGGTTCCATTAGTTTTAAGACTCTGGAGAGATGTTGAGAATATAAAAGTTTAAGAGAGTGGAGAGCAAGGCGGGGAGGGGGATGAATTTTGGGAGACACCTTCAGAAGAAGCACCTGCCAGGTGTGTGTCAGTCCCAGCTCTCCCAACAGGACAGGGTTAATTAATCTTCTTCAACTCCAGGGAAGATAACTAACATAGGCTTCAACAGCACCTTCTGCAGCTGAGGGACCCCTGCATACTGATGCTTGACTCATGCCTGAATAAATGTAAATTGGTCTAAGGCAAGGTAAAGGATAAAAGGAGGAGGGGACTATGTTTATGAAGAAACCACATTCCCATCAAGCGTGGGCTAGAAATGCATGAGTTTCCCGTGGAGCTAATAGGGTCTACATGGGAGGGAAGGCAGGCCTGGCGCTGTTTTAGGTCCTGCCCAAGAGGATGGCCTGGGAGGAGAATGTGTCTTACAGAGAGAGTCTGTATGCAAGGGACTGCAGAGAAGCAGGGTCCAAGTGGGGACCGGGGAGCAGCCAGCCAACAGACAGCTGTGGTAGCCGTTGGGTGAAGGACCCGAAAACAAGAGAATGAGTCAGGTGTGAGCATCTGCCGAGCCTGGAGTGCATGGGTGATTTTAGTTTTCTCTCCCTAAGTTTTGTTAACGGTGGCATAAGCTTACATCCAAGGATGGAGGAACAGAGGCTTTGTCACAGGTAAGAAAAGGAAATGAGGAGCGAGAGCAGTCAGCTTGAGACACGATGAAGAATTTAACACATGCAGCAGTACAAAAGAAAAAGGCTGCAAACTCCAATATCTTTCTAACCCAGTCCATTCTAAAACTAGGGAAAAAGCTGAAACCTGAAGGGTATTCCTCCAACAGAAGGGACACGCTCCTAAGTTGGCAAGACAAGCCCTAGCTGCAGGGTCACTGGAAGGCTCCGACCCATGACCTCAGCTCTTGTCCTAGGCCTCAGAGGCCACCCAACCCTTAGACAAGACGTAGATGATGTTGAGAGAAGTAGAAAGGAGGATAGATGAGAACACACCTATGCTATTTTAGGACAAACAGTAGACCTGCTGTCTTATCCCATTCAAAAATGAGTTAACAGAAAAGAATAAACAGCAACATAGGGCTTATGCATAAATTCCTCAACTAACAAGAAGAAACGAAACAAAGCGCAAAGAAAGCTAAAGAGCACACTCAAAAAATAAAGAATCTTTAAATCAACAATTTACACATTCAAGAAAATTTTAGAAACAAACAAAAACACTTGTCAAAAATGCAATAGAAGAAAATGTTCCTGAAATGAAGAAAGATCTTTCCATTTCTGGAAAGACATAAACTATAATTTTGTTTCTGGTTTTCTTTGAATGATTAAACTGTAGGAGCCCTCTATCCCTCCCTCCCTCTTTTTCTGCCCTCCTTCTCTCCCTTTCTTTGTTTCCTCTTCACCTCCCTCCTCTTTCTCTTTCTTCCTTCCTTTCTTTTTTCCTCGATGGTGCTTGTATTTGAAAAATGAATACCTATTATTTCTAGAATTAGGAAGAAGCTTTTTCAATCAAAAACATTGTTTAAGGCCAGGCATGGTGGTTCACGCCTGTAATCCTAGCACTTTGGGAGGCCGAGGCAGGCGGATTGCCTGAGCTCAGGAGTTCAAGACCAGCCCGGGCAACATGGTGAAACCCCGTCTCTGCTAAAAATACAAAAAGTTAGCCAGGCATGGTGGCGCTTGCCTATAGTCCCAGCTACTCAGGAGGCTGAGGCACGAGAATCACTTGAACCCAGGAGATGGAGGTTGCAATGAGCCGAGATCACGCCACTTCACTCCAGCCTGGGCGACAGAGCGAGACACAGTCTTAACAAACAAACAAACAAACACACTGTTCAATAATATGCTACCATTAAATGACAAACTTTGAGTAACTGCAGGTAGAGAAAAACCTAGAATTATCTACAGTTGTTATAAAGCCCTGGCATTAGGAAATGATATTTTAATCAAGATAACTGTTGAGTTGTGGATTTGAGTCACATACGTGAAAAGACCTGGGATAGGACAGAACCAGAGTTAAAAGAAAAACATTAAAACTGGAAAAAGATATCAATGGAACGGGATCACAAGCTTAGCAACACACTACAGATCAATTGAATGAAATTAGTGCTCATATTTATACACATTCAATAGGTGATGAAAATGGCATTCCAAAGTGAAAAGTTCATAAATGGTGCTCATTCATTCAATCTTTGGAAAAATTTCTAAAAAGTCAAGCTCTTCCTTGTTCTGTATGCCAAAATATATTCCAGATACGTTGGATTAAAGAATAAAGTGCCAAAAAATATTTAGTGAAAAATATACATGAGTATCAATTTGATTTCCTGATGGAGAAGCCTCAGCAAAAAGATAGTAATTCCTAGATTAGTTCATATAAAAGTGTAAACTCTCTTTTGGCCTGAAACACTATTAATATAAACAAAATTAAAGGGCCAGGAACTAACAGGGAAACAAATTACAATAATATGTAGCAGACAGTAGGTTAGGATCTTTAATATAAAAAGTTCTCATTAATAATAAAATATACTTTACTATAGATAATATAAATGTATATACAATGAAATTTTATTTAAAATATAAAAATGACAATAGGGTTCTTACTAATAAAAGAGAAACAATGGGCAAAGAACATGAACAGTGACTCAAAAGAAAGTTGTTCAAATGGACAACAAAATGTCCATTTTAAATAATAATTTAAAAATTCAAATTAAATCAAAGCATATACCATACTTGGCCTGGGTGGGAGAGAACTTTGATAACATCCATCCCAAAACACAGGGAAAGAGTCATGCCCTTACACTATTGGTTGGAATGTAACAGGTAAAAACTTTCAGGAGGGCATTTGGTAATATATATGAAGATTTAAATATGTCCACATTTTTATTTTTTATTTATCTTATTTAATTTTAATTTTATTTATTTATTTTTGAGATGAAGTCTTACTCTGTCGCCCAGACTGGAGCGCAGTGGTGCCATCTTGGCTCACTGCAACCTCCGCCTCCTGAGTTCAAGTGATTCTTATGCCTCAGCCTCCTGAGTAGCTGGGATTACAGGCGTGCACTACCACACCCGGCTAATTTTTGTAATTTTAGTAGAGATGGGGTTTCACTATGTTGGCCAGGCTGGTCTTGAACTCCTGACCTCAAGTGATCCACCTGCTTCAGTCTCCCAAAGTGCTGGGATTACAGGCATGACCCACCGCGTCTGGCATAAATATGTCCACATTTTTAAATCCAGTGATTCCACTTCTAGGAACTTATCTCAAGGAAATAATAAGAGATGCATTTAAATACATATAAGGATGGATGCAATACTTATACTTACAAAATTTGGGAAATGACTTCAATATACAATAATTGTGGACTGGTTTAAAAATAAAGACACACCTATTTGAAAGGTTACTCCCCAGTCATTAATATTTTCAAGAAATAATTTGACTATTGAAAATGCTCAACATACAGTGATAGGTGAAAAATATCAGTATACAGGATTATATTACAGTAGGATTGCAATTTTTTTTTTTACACATACACAGAAATTTTAATAACGATTATTTCTGGAAGGGATGATTACATGTGATTTACATTTTTTGTTCTGCGTCTTCAACATTTTATACAAATAATATGCGTCTTTTTTAAGCTTAGGATGGATGTCATTTAAAAAGCAACAATTTTTGGTATTGGAAGCAGACAGATCACGGAGAAGGTGCCCAATTGCTACAGGGTTTCTTTCTACACAGGGTTTCTTACTATTCAGATGCACCAGAAGGGGGCGCCTCAGCCTCTTCCCGCTGACAGACAGCTGGATCACCTGGTAAGTCTGGAATGTTCAGGTCTGCAGGAATCACTTTCCCTCGTCGTTACGCTTCTTTTCTGGGTCTCTCAGAAATTTCCATAGAAGAAGGATATGGAAATTTGAATGCCACCATGAGAGTTTTCTCTAGTCACATGATTAACAGTCTGTGCTGGTGATGTGTCCTTTGGTCAACACTCTTCTACCTGGGCAGCTGCTGCAAATCAGGAGTGCCTCTCCATCAGGAAAAGACAGAAACAAAACAGACTCTACCCGATGACTTTGCCTTAATCGCAACAAACAGGTTCATGGAAATGGCCAAATTCACAACTATAACTTAGGAGGTTGACTCAGCCACTAACTAATTGTACCTGAATCAGACTTTGTTTCTTAAAAAGTTATGTGCTGTTCTTCATGGTACCAGTTAGGGGGCAGCAGATAGCCTGGCATCTTTTGTTGTCTAAAGGAAGCTTCCAATTAGGAGATCCTAAAGTTTCTATGTATTATTTTATTTATCATGTGACATGGTCTGACAGTTCCATCCTGCGCCAGCTGTTCATTTTGGAAGCCAAACCTCTCACCTAGTAGAGTGCTTATAATTCACTACTGAGCAAAGGTGAACCCAAATAATAAAGTATCCTATATAATTACTGCACTCTGCATCAGCCATTTCAGTTTCATCATTATCTAAATATTACGAAGCCCTAGCCTTCTCTTTTGGTCTATCATTCTGTCTCTCACACACGCCTAAGTAAACTTTATTTTGACTCCTTAAAATACCCTCAGGATGAGAATGCAAGTAATGGGATGAGTGTAGGCATCTATAAAATGGCTTCTGCAAAGACCTCAAGATGCTAGTTTAAGAGGATGAGGCATAGCCAGCCTGTGGTAAAAACATTTGCTTTCCTGATGCATGCAACATTGTGGAGATGCTACTTTTGTGTGTGGGGTGTGTGTGTTTGTGTGTGTGTGTGTGTGTGTGTGTGTAGCTACTGAACACTGAGAATTTTGTCTATTCAAAAAGAAACAACAGAAACATGATGCTGAGCTCTTGAGGATCCTTGAACCAATGTCTTCTTTTGGTTTTGATTACGTACCTATTTTAGTTTCCAGAAGCTCCTCATGGGATAAAGAGTAGTAGGTGTGGAAACCAGATCACAGAGAGGTAGGCTGACTTGTAACTTTCCAGCCAGGGACAGAGCCCCTGTGTGTAGTAGGGTCTTTTCAGTACCAGTCTACCCTGGTGGCTTGTCACAGAGCATTTGCCCATCTTTCCAAGGCTCTACAAAATAGGATGCAGGGAATTCAGGTCAGCCAATAAAGCTTTTTTAAAAAAGGAAGAGAAATAATACCAGTAAGCAACATTGACTGTGTACCAGCACATTCTATGCGGCTCACACGACTAACTCAGCTATCCCTGACAACAATCCTATCTATGAATATTATTATCCATATTTATTATACTAATTGTGGAACCAAGTCATTTGCCCAGGAGTTTGAAAGTGGTGAATCCTAAATTTGAACCCAGTCAGTCTGACTGCAGGACCCACACATTCAACCACTACCTTTTGCCTCATCTTCAAATGGTGTTTTGCATACTTCAGAGCACTGAGGTGGCTGTGCCCTTGGTCACTGGGAGGCCATACTTGGCTGCACCCATTTGGACTGTCAGGATCTTCTCCAGTCAGAGGCCACCGCCAGGGCCAGAGACAATGGAGAATTATTTAGTATCCAGTGGTTCTAGAAACTGCCTCTGTTTCAAGCCCAGGAAGAAGGCTTTCTGAGGAGGACATTCCTTCTTGGGACAAGGACCCTTAGTGAGATTTGGCCTTTATGCACCTCCATCTGAAAAGCTAAGCTTTTCTCTGGGAATTTGAATTGAAGGTTAGGGATGATTGCTCAGATGGGGAAAGTGTGAAATGGTAATCACTTTCATATGACACTCGAGAAATGTTATAATAAAGCTGAGTAAATTGGAGCATGAGTTAGCCGGTCCTTTGCCTAATGATGTCACTCACTTTGTGCTTCCTCCAGCCTATGATTAATAAAAGAGGGGTTATGACAGTAACTCACTCCTAGTGGGCAGCAGTGACGTCAGCAGCAGCTGAGCAAACTGACTACATTTAGTTGTGCGTGTGTATGTGGGCATTTTTTTTTCCTGTGACTAACATGAAGATAACAGCATCTAATAAAACAAAAGCTCCTTGAAATTTGGGAAACTTATTGGGTGAACTCTTTTCTACAGGGAGCACCATTTTAATTATTCTCAGCTCATAGTTAAGTGATGTTGGAGTTGGCCAAAATTACCTTGTTGGCTTTCTGCCCCTGTTTCATTAAGGGATCACAAATGAACCCCTGGCCTTTTGGAGAGAGGTTTTCTGGAGTGTTTTTTTCCTTCTACTATAGAGGCTCCTCCCTCATTCATTATACTCTTCCATCTTTTAAGAGGAACTCAATGAGTAGAAGAGGGATTGTAGCCATAAGTTATTTTTTGAAAGTTTAAAGCTGGTTGTAGAATTCAGTGATTCCATTTTAAACTTTGTAAGAATATTGTGCTTAATTACAGTTTGCTTTTCCAATCTAAAGTGACAGAAGTCCTACTTGCTATTTCACCTTTGCAAACTTGACCTTCCTAAAATTAGAGTGGGCCACCTGGAAATATTTACTCACCTAGCTGAGCTGCTGCCAGTGTCCACGCGAGTCCACAGGACTCGTGAACAGCAGCACTCAGCCCATGCCTTGGAGCTGCTCCCACAGAGGGCAGAACCTTTGGACTCTATTAGGACACGAGGGAGGCAGCAATTCACTGATTTAAAAAAAATACACACAGAACTGCCCCCAGGCTTTTCTGTCGGGCTTTTTCCCTCCAAGCAGCGATTTGGGAACAGGTTGTGGGGGGATCTTTGTGGACAGGCAAAAGTGGATGCAAATCAAGATTGCTGCTCTCTTATCAGTCCAATGGAATCTACGTGCTAAACCACCATGTCTTCAAGTCACCAATGGAACTTATTACCCAAGGGGATCCAGGTGAGAAAAATGATTACAACAATCTGTTCCGCATTCCTTGGGGGGTATTTTTCAATAATCTTCTGAGGCAATAGGAAGATAAATTGTTGAAGCAGATGTTTCCTGATTGGGTTAGAACTGAGTCATGATAAACAATTTTGAAATATATATTGGTCAGGAAGAATGTTGAGGGCATATTTCTTCAGGTTGAGTTAGTCTGGGTTTTTTTCAATATATGTTTTTATATAGTGGTTGTAAATGAGTATTTCTTTCAATATTGAATTTTTTTTACATGTACTACATGGTTACTTCTTGGGAAGAAGTCCAGGCATTTCTGAATCATTTGAAAGTTGATTGAGGCCTTTGGTTCCAAAATGACCATTTACCTGAGGAGACAGTGATTCACACGTTGGAAGAGATGATACGGCGTCAGAGTGTCTAAGACATTCCCCTCATGGCTCCCTTCATCTTAAAATGATCTCTGACCTACCCTTTCCTTTCTGGATGACCCATTTTACTCAGGAGCTAAGTGATGAACCAGGGAAGTAAGCACTCACTGTATGGACAACAGGATTTCAGTTCTAAGCTAGTTTTATCCAGGCAACTTCCCTCTTGTGCATTTCACCAATACTTGTTGATTACTCTTACGATTTTCCATGAGATGGAATCCTTCACAATAGTTTCCCCAGTCCTCACAGGAGAGCAACACCTGGAAGGGCATGGCCTTCCTTTAATAGACACACCACTTCCTTTTACAAAGGAAGTTTGGAGAATATAATGTTGCTTGCAACAGCCATTAGGATTTAGCAAAACACTGTTTTATCTCTTTGGATATTGATTGTATGTCATTCCCCTAAGGTATTAAACAAATAAAATCAAGCTACATCATATTTGTTTGCTCTAGGAGAAAGGCATGGTTATCCTACGTTTGTGAATTTTACTTCAGGGAATTCTCTATTGCATGGATTTATCTGATACTGAATTGCTAAAATGAACAACTCAATCCTTTATTCATTTACTCTTTTGCATGAGTCTCTTGTCTCCTAACAACTTGGGTGTGGGCCAGCCCATCTCATTTTGTTGCTGGTCACCAAGATTCTGCTTTAGGTCAGAACAAAAAGCCAGCAGGAAAATGTATTGAGACCATACGTGAAAGTTGGTTGGAACAACGAGGTTGCCCAAGAGGAACATTGTATCTGTAGTCTCCAGTAATCAGAAAACATAAGATGCAAAAGGAAGCAGAATCACTTGAATTATTAGTATTTTGTAGAGCTGCAATTTTTTTTTTTTTTTGGTTTCCAAGGCCTCTTGGAGATGGATAGGGAGAAGGTTGAGTGAAACTTTACAATTATAATATGAAATCAGGGTATCTCAACTGCAGAACAATGAACACTGTAGGCCAGGTAATTTCTTGTTGTTGGGGGCTGTCCTGTGCATGGTAGGATATTCAGCAGCATCCCTGGGCCCTACCCACTAATGATCAGTAGAACCTCCCTCCCAGCTGTAACAACCAAAATGTCTTCAAACATGGCCAGATGTTCCCCGGGGAGCAAAATCGCCCCGGTTGAGAACCACTGCTGTAGAATGAAGAGTAATAGGTTACTTACTGGGTTTTCTTCCTCCTTCTCTTTTCCCTAATTGTTTTAGTTCTAGTATCTGGGTTCCCTTGGTTCAGAAAGCAGCATTTCCAAATAATCTAAAAACAGAGTGCTCTTACATAGCAGAAGGCCTTGTGGGATATTCTGGTGGTTCTGAAAGAAATGTGAAGCTTACGAGTCAAGTTTCAGATTAACCATTTCTGACCCTGTTGTTCTCAATGAATTTCAGGGGACTTTTTAATGCTTTCCTCTCTCTCTCTGTTTCGATCTATTCATTCATTGATTTAACTTAAAAGCAAAACAGCTTCCCAGTTCAATTTTGAACGTGAAACGCTGATTCTCCTTTGTCCCAAATCTTTCTACCTAACATTCAGCCCAAGCTATGTACAGGCTGCGGCTGTCCAGGAAACAGGCAGGGTTTGCCAATCCCATGTTCGATTTAAACCATTTGATGAGACCCTTCATCACAGACTCTCGCAGTCTCCCTGCAGCAAATAGTACTCTGGATCCTGCCCACGTTCTCTGGATTCTGAGCTGCCTCTGGAGGGAGTCACCCCTCACCAACAAGGCCAGGTTTTCCGGCCTGAGCCCCAGAATAACACATCAGCTGCTGGGAACACCTCGAGTCCTTTTGATTTCTCTCCATAGTCACGTTTTATGTTCGGTTTCCCAGACGGGATGAACCAGAAATCATGCTTTTTTGGAAACAGATTTTTTCATAGGAAGGAAAGAAAACACCGTGACTCGTCAGCACTCTTGTCCGTGCCTCTGAACCCCCAGCCTTGTGTCATTTCAGCTGAATCAGAGAACAACATCCCAGTCACCTGCTTGGGGCGTTCGCGTCTCCTGGCTTGTATTTTTGACTGAATAACAGCAATCCGTGAGCAGCAGCTAAAATAATAGAGCCCTGAAAAATGCCCCAACCCCCACTCCCTTTTCTGGTCCTGTCTCCTTGCTCCAGGAGTAGTGAGGAAAGAGACCAGTTAATAGCGTGGATGAAAGCTGAAGGACAGACGGTTTGAGAAGAAAAGTGAACATTCTTGCTTCCTCATCTATGCCAACTTTGAACAGGGACAGCTGCTGCCACAGGTAAACACCACTATAGGGTTGGCCGTGGCCCTAAGCTAGGTGTCACCGTAAGCCACGGGCCAGCACACGAACGCTGGCCTCTCCCCCATTCGCACAATTGAGCTCTTATCCTTAAACGAACTTTGTTTTTTGACCAGCTCACTAATTGTGATTGAAAACACCAGCTCCCCAGCAATGCACACGCATTGGAGTTAGCAGCAGCAAGACAGGCCCTAATTGCTCCATTTACATAAAAGTAGAAACATACAACTTCTAAATATAAATCTCTGGCACATCGTTCCTTTTGCAATTACAGTAAAATAAGGTACCACAGTTTCCCTCCCGGCTCCTTCTCGCAGCAAGCTGCTCCACCGGGTTCGCTAGTGGCTGCTCCTCGAGGCGAGAACAGAGCCATGCAAATGCTCCAGCGTGGAGTTGGGTTTGTGAAGTCGCCAGTAAATCAGGCCGCCTCCACTAGGTGAATAACGCGGTGGCAGCGGGCCACTTTGCTAGTGCAGTCGCTGGAGGACCGCGCTCCGCACTCAGAAGGGGGCAGTTGGCTGGTGCGCGAGCGCTCCCGGCTCGCCTCTGTCCGCGGGGAGCCAGCCGGCCCCTCCGCAGGTCCCGCTCCCTGACATTTGCTGTGGTTTCACTCCCTGGCACTGAGGGCTGGGTTCAGAGATTCCCAGCTGCACTCACTGAACAGTGATTTTTTTCCCCTCCCTGAATTCTTTAGCTGCCAAAAGGGGGGAAAAAATCAAGAGCTGCTCTTAAAAGAAGTTGCCCTTGCTGGTGCTCAGGGTAAAAATAGAGGCTGCCGCTTAGACCGGCTTGGCCCTGGCTCCAGGCATCCTGCGAGCTGGGCTCGAGCAGCGGCCGCGTTCCGGCGTGATCCCTGGAAGCTGCCAGCAGGTGCTGCTCAAGGTACAGTAGCAGGGCCGAGAAGCCGGGACCCGAAGGGCCTGGGGTGCGGGGAAGCTCCGGGGGAGGGGGAAGTGAAAGAGAAACCAAACCAAGGAAGGAGAAGGAGATTCTGGTCAGGACTGGGCTGACCAGCTTGTGCCCCGGGCCCTTGAGTTCCGCAGGGAAAAGCTGATTCCCAGTCTAGAATATTCCACAGAAGCTATTTTAACCTGCCTGCTTCCTCCACCACCCCCACCTTGATTTGCACCGAGGGAGGAGGCATTGCCACTGTGGTGCAGGTGGTTGCAGAGGGGTTGCAGCACGGCTGGTAGGCTGGCCTGGCAGGTGGGCACTCGGTGGCATCAGATGGCCAGCGGAGTTTCAGAGTCACACTTGTGTTGTGGCTCCTCTGGTCAGAGAGCTGCAGATTCCTGTGACACCCATGTTTAAGAACAGCCACCAGGCTTCTCAGAAATAGTATCACTTATTATTATCTGACAGCTGCACTTGACCCCCACAGGTTCATATCATGGATCCCATTTTATAGATGGGAACACTGAGGCCTGAGTTTACACGGTGAGTGAGCAGAGGAACTGGGATCTGATCTGGGTTTGTTTTGTGCCCCCCACCCCCACCCCACGTCACCTACACACACACACACACACACACACACACACACACACACACACACACTACTTTGTGTGGAGGCGGAGGGGATGTTTTCAGGACACTAGGGTTCATGTGTGGGTCAGGGGTGAGTTTAGATGCCCTGAAGGTCATTGACTCCACTAATTCTCAGCAAAAAGGGTGGAGAAGTTTCTTTCTTATAAAGGGTTTGAGTTCACCCAGTGCTAAGCTGAGGGGCAGGTTTGGAGTTCACCATCATTAATCCTATTTCTGTCTTCGCCACTCAGATTCACTCTCTTCCTCTACAACCTAATGATTTTTTTCCTACTTCATTTCTGCATATGCAGTTCTTAGAATACTCCTTCCCCCCACCCCCATGCAGCTCAGCACCCACACTTTCTCTGTATCTAGCCAAGAGAGACCCTTTTACACAGAAAACTTCTGGTGTCCTAATGGAACCTGCTTAAGCCACACATCAGGAGGCCAGAGCCTCTATATTTTGCTTGTGGGCACAGTGAAAAGTTTATTTTATGCATGTTAAATCCTGCATACAAAACAACATATCTGGTCATATGGCTCTCATTAGCTCCCAATTTTGCACATTTTATCCAACTTGTCATGAGAACTGGGCTTATGCTTCAACTGTAGTCCTTCAAACAACCCTTCACCGTTCTTGTCAGAGGACCCCTTCCTCCTGTGTTATTTACCAGACTTGCCAACACCCCTCCCCCACAAAAAAAGCCTGACCAGCTTTACCCCTATTTCAAGGAGTGTTCACTTCTTTTCATTAATCTGCTGTTATATTTGTAACAATTTAGAAATTATAGGAGTTGAAGTTCTGGTAAAAAAGAATGATGCATGAGGGTTTTTGTTGTTGTTGTTGTTGTGTGTGTGTGTGTGTGTGTGTGTGTTTGGTTAGTTAGAATGAGATTCTAAAGACCTGGGAAGGATACTTATGAAGTTCATTTAAAGAGAATTACTATTTCCAAAGTTCTTGATTTATGAAGCAGGCATTCAATTTCAAGATGTAAAATAATAGTGTAAGTTGGTTGGGGTCGGGGGAGACCATCATCATATGATTATACAGATTTTCCCAATTTTTTTCCTCAATGAAATAGCTTATTTTAAAAATATAAAATTAGAATCCCTATAAAGAACACTACCAATTTTCTTTCCTGAAAGAAACAATAAAATACTTTGTAAATAGAAGCAACTTCATGAAGTAACAGATGTTTTATGTAAAGACATAAAACTGAACCTGAATATAACGAGACGTGTGTGCGAGTAGTAAAAGTTGAAAGTTGGACACACTCATTGAGACATATCTATTTGATTCCAATGTTTTTCTAAAAGGTAGAGTAATCCTAGCCAGAGGTTTCACTGGCTCAGTGCATCACCCAGTAGTGTCTCAGAAGCCAGGAAGGGCTTTCCATTAGATAATGAATTATGAAATGTCTCACACTGGAAAAACCAGTCATCCGCTGATGTCATGCTGATTCCAACCAATCCCAAACAAAGCCCCAGCCCTCCTCTGTTTCAGTGGTACCAATGTGTGGTGTACAAATAAGTAGTACAGTATAAAACTTCACAGTGCCAATACCATGAAGAGGAGCTCAGACAGCTCTTACCACATGATACAAGAGCCGGCTGGTGGAAGAGTGGGGACCAGAAAGGTAATGCTTTTTAACTCTTACTTCTGAGCTCTTTACACATTCAAAGATAGGAAAGCTAGGAGGAATTTTACAACTAATTGGCATTT
This sequence comes from Homo sapiens, assembly GCF_000001405.40. Classification (NCBI taxonomy): domain Eukaryota; kingdom Metazoa; phylum Chordata; class Mammalia; order Primates; family Hominidae; genus Homo; species Homo sapiens. The sequence goes on along the minus strand of NC_000007.14, from coordinate 41,702,918 downwards.
CCAATGTGCATTGTGATGTGTACCTTTTTATATTATTCAGGCAGGTTAATACAGCTTTTAATAGTCCTAGAGCATGCAAATAGATTATATGTTTATACAAGCCACTCAGCACATATATACAAGTACATATGCCAAAGAGAAAGCTATTTTTAAGAGTTACATTCGCAAACAGTAAATTCAGGGAACACACACATACTCAGATGCAGAGAGAATCCAAATATTGATAAGTTGCACTTATCTAAATGCTGCTATTAGGACTCCTGAGTTGTTTAGAGCCATTAAACTTTTGGTTGTATTTCAGACTTTCTTGTAAAACTTAATTGAACTGCAAAACATTTTGGGTACTGTATATGTGACTCCAAATAGGTGGATGATGTTAAGTATTATAGCACAAAGATTTTTTATAAAACCATTGTAACACAAATGTCCCCTGCCTCCCCCATTCTCTTTCACCATCCCCGTAAAAAATATGAGGCTTTTTAGGCAATGTTGACAAAGTTTTAACAATAATGGTGGAGTAATTGATGTTTCTGGAGCTGAAACCCCAAAGGTGTTAGGTTACTTGTAACAGAAAAAGTCTTACAAATAGTTGTTTTGGAAAAGGGGACAGTATATATAATTCAGAAAGCATTGTTAACCTGTGCAAACTGTAATTATAACTTAGTGTCACAATTTTCTTGCCCTCTTCCCCTTGCACTCAGATCTTATCTTGTAGTAATGATATTTATTAACTCTTTCCACCTAAACTGCATTGCTTGACTGTAATGCTATGAACACACTAGGTGTCAGATATAAGCTGAGTGTATCTTCAGAAACCAAGAGGGCTTATGTGTGGGAAAGAAACCGAGAGGGAAGGAACGCTTTAACAGATGGACCCCTTAAAGATTCTTCTGCAAGATAAAAGCAATAAGACAGAAAATGAAAAAGAGGGGAGGGGGAAGAATTTTTTTTAAGCCTTAGAAAGGCATTGTTAAAAAATTCACATTTTTCTTTTTCTGTGCACACTAAAATCCATGATGATTTCATCTGCACTGTTCCTTTGAGGGAAAAAGAAGCAGTCAAGGAGGCTGTCTATGAATGCACTGGTCGGGACAGGCTTGGGGCAAGCTGAAAAAACTACCACATGACAGAGAAAAATAATTTGCCAATATATTTTAGAGAGTCTTTTCCCATAGGACCAGTTATTCAAGTCATACGAGTGCACTCTTTTTATAAAAGGATGTGGGAAAGGCCAAGAGAATTTTGCATTTTATCTGTGAAGTCCGGCGAGTGGTGGTAGGCTGTAATGTGTGAGAGTGAGTGGGTCCCCGGCAGAAGGGGGCAGCTGAACGCGACGGGGAGAAAGCGCTTCTGGAACTTGGGCTTGTGACAGGCTGCCTGCCCTCTGGTCCTTCAGTGCCCTGCTGCATTTCACAGTTGGGAAGAGTGGAGTGTATTATATGACCCCAAACAAAAGTTCCATTGCGCTCTCCTCAGATTGCCTGCCAGTGTTGATGACCTGAACATTTAAATATGAATGAATTGGGGGAAAGGACCATCTCCCCTGGATCCCATCAGGCCAGAACAATCCTCTGTTACCCCTGAGTCCCTCTTCCCTGACCTCCACTACCTGTCCACTGGACCTCCCTGCACCCTCTGCCCCACCACGTGGCCAGGTGGGCGTTCTACCACCTAGGGCTGTGGCTTGGCTGGGTGGAGGGGCGGTGGGAACACTTTTTCAATCAATTCATCCCTATTGATTGAGACACTGTGTTTGTTTGGGGTTTCTTTTCTCCCCTCCAAAAAAGGAAGAAGGTGAAACCAGGAGACTGGGCAGAGAAAGAAAAAAAAATAGTGAACAAAATTAGGATAATTTATTTTAGAAGAGAAAGTAGAACCCCCGAAAATGGTGATATTTGAAGAGAGGTGTCTGTGAGGAAGCTAAGAGCAGAAGGAGAGCAGCCTGTCAGAAAACGGGCTGTCCCTCCCTCCCTAATCACAGCCCTACTCACAGCAAACTCCCTCCCTCTCCATTCACTCACTTACTTAGGGCCAATCCTTTCTCTCTCTCTCTCTCTCTCTCTCTCTCTCTCTCTCTTCCTTTCCCTCTCTCCCTCTCCCCCTCCCTTCCCTCCCTCTCTCCCTCTCTCTCCCCCTTCTTTCCCTCTCTCTTCTCTCCCCCTCTCTCCTCTCTCTCTGTCTCTGTCTCCCTCCCATCCTCTCTCTCTGTCTCTGTCTGTCTCCCCGCCACCCTGTCTCTCCCTCCCTCCCTGTCTCCCTCCCTCCCTCCCTCCTTCCTTCTCTCTTACTCGGAGACAGTCAGAACTCTCCTCCCTGACAGCCACAAACCTACAGCACTGACTGCATTCAGAGAGGAACCTGCAAACAAAACTTCACAGAAAACTTTTTGTTCTTGTTCCAGAGAATTTGCTGAAGAGGAGAAGGAAAAAAAAAACACCAAAAAAAAAAATAAAAAAATCCACACACACAAAAAAACCTGCGCGTGAGGGGGGAGGAAAAGCAGGGCCTTTTAAAAAGGCAATCACAACAACTTTTGCTGCCAGGATGCCCTTGCTTTGGCTGAGAGGATTTCTGTTGGCAAGTTGCTGGATTATAGTGAGGAGTTCCCCCACCCCAGGATCCGAGGGGCACAGCGCGGCCCCCGACTGTCCGTCCTGTGCGCTGGCCGCCCTCCCAAAGGATGTACCCAACTCTCAGCCAGAGATGGTGGAGGCCGTCAAGAAGCACATTTTAAACATGCTGCACTTGAAGAAGAGACCCGATGTCACCCAGCCGGTACCCAAGGCGGCGCTTCTGAACGCGATCAGAAAGCTTCATGTGGGCAAAGTCGGGGAGAACGGGTATGTGGAGATAGAGGATGACATTGGAAGGAGGGCAGAAATGAATGAACTTATGGAGCAGACCTCGGAGATCATCACGTTTGCCGAGTCAGGTTGGTGCTGGCATTGGCAGGGGGTGGGGAGGGGTGGGGGGTGGGAGGGTAAAATATATTTCTTTGACAGTCCCAGGAGGAACTTCTTTTCCCTTCAGCTGGAAACTGCCTGGGAAGGTTATTAGTTATTAGGTGATGGTAGCGGACTAGCCGACGGAGGGCAGGCAGGGGAGGGGGAGAGGACTTTACAGAAAAGGAATTCTCGGTCGAGCTCTGCCTGGAGATGACTGGCTTACACTTACTAAACCCAGCGGGTCACACAGAGAGGAAGCTCGGGGCCAATGTTGAGCTGGAAGGCAGACTGTGAGGGGCTGCCTTGCCCTGCCTGTGAAACCAGATCTGAGCAGCCGGAGGAAAGCCGCGGCATTTTCGGGTGCTAGGGGAGCAGAGGAGGCTTCCGGACCCCATCCAAGTTTTTATTGAGGGTAGAGGGGTGAATGTACCAGGATTGGAGTGGAATGGCACAGATGAAGTCACTCTCTTAAAACAAACCTTCCCCTTTAAAAGTCCAATCTGGGGCCACATTGGAGAAGCAGGGCATATTTATGAGTGACAGTCATTTTTACCTTTAGAAAATGTCTATAAGTGCACAGGCACCACATTCAAGACAGGGAAGAGCTACTTTGGGGGACAGTTGTCATTGAACCAGCAGTTACTTTTGGGACACTGACTTTTGCTCTCTGAAAGAAAAAAAAATAAATAAAACAACCAGTTTTGTTCTTTCTAAAGTTACTAAGAGCTCTCTGCCAAGGAACGCAACCTTGACAAAGTACTCTCAGATACTACGCTGAACTCACTCAATCCTTAAGAGGAAGAACTTTAATAAATAGATTCTAATCGTTGGCCCAGGACCACACTAACCTGTTGCTGAATAGCAATACCTGTCAAAAGTATGGGCCCATGGACTTGGAGCCAGGCTATTTTTATAGTTAAGTGACACAGATCCTTTGCATGCCTGCAAGCCCATGCACGTCAGGCACACAGATGTGTTAATACCGTGTTACTTTCATGGTAATGCCAGGCTAAAGAATTGCATCCTTTGCCAACTCCATTTGAAAGGAATGCCATTGTTTTGTTTGGTAGAGCATATGGCCAGTAAAGTATGTGCAGGGACTCCCAGCATTTTTGTTTAAAAGTTTGCCGCAGCAGTATAAACAATTAAGGCAACACTCAGAATTTCCAATCTGAAAACCTGTTGACTCAGATGTTCTGTTTTCAAGAAAACCATGAAAGACCAGGGCATCTTTCCGGGGGTGCAGATAGCCTGCTGGCTGTGTGGCTTCCCCTTGCAGGAGAAGCCCTGGTGTCCTACAAGCTTCCCAGTTTGGCTCTCTCACCAGAAGCCTCTCTCACTTAGGGAAGATCCTACTTTCTTTCCCTAAAGCTCTTTCTTAACCCAGCCCCAAAAGGCATGATCATTAGGACTTTATCTTCTGGAGCTTTTTGAGGAAGAAAGCTAGGTTGGAACTTTTCAAGTTGACACCCATTTTTTTTTCTCAACTTTTCATGGTGGGAAAAGGTAAAAAAGAAAATATTTACAATATTTGGCTGTGCATGTGAAACAGATTTCAGTGGTCTAGAGGGTTGCTTCCTGTCTTTGTATACCAACCTCCACACATGATGGATTCAATGACAGCTCGTATCCAGTTGCCTTTAACCATGTCATATGACTAAGTATACCTATGCCTTTGACCACTTTTAACCGCACTACCGTTACTAGCAATATGCCCCTCTTTCTGACTTACTGGACTTGTATAGCAAATCACTCTCTTAGCATTTAGAGATTTGGCAGTGAAAAAATTTGACCATTTACATTCTTTCTTATGTGTGGTCTTCCTTTCTGTGACAGTCTTCTCTCAGTTGTATGAGATCTTGTCATTTTTTTACTTCTCAGTTAGGTGTTTAGTTTGAAAAAAAATGAGCGACTTTTGAAAAAGCGATTCGTTGGACGTTCACATTGAGTCAAGTTTAAGATTTGTAATGGGAAACTCCTGGTTGACTTTACAACTTGACTTTGGATTCTTAGAAAACACTTATTACAATTGCTTATTTTTCTCTGAGGGATTTCACACATCAACTTCAAGTTGATTTAATGTAATTTCATGTATTTAATGATTGCTGTATGGACTGTCTACTCTTCAAGCAGAAAACCACGTGAGCATTTTGCTGCTGATTTTGCTAGTCCAGAAAAGACATTTATCATCCAAATGATTGTAGCAAATATATGAACATGAATAGAAAAGACCTATGTCTTGTTGCTTTTGGAATAATTCAACTTTAATAACATTCCAACTATGTGGAATGTCAAGAGTTTTTGGAGAATAGAAAAAGGAATGCATTTTTCTTTCCCTTATAACCATTTTGTGCAGCATAGAATCCAGACATTGTCACCCATGAGCATGCCACAGATGCAGACCCATAGCAGCCCCTTTCAACCTCAAGATTCTTCAATTTGAGGCTACGTTTAATTTTTGCCTTTTCTCTCCTTGATTGTTGGATAAAGCCAAGGCCTGGCTACAGAAGTAGAGAGCCTCCAAAAGCTGAAGTGCTGAGGACTCTTTTAACTGAGTTTGTCCCATCCTGTTTAGGTAGAAAGTGCTCAATTTTTGTAAAGTTGATGCGAGTTGTTATTGACTAAACAGCAGGGAATCACTCTAAGGCTCTCTGAAATGTATCCCAACAAACAAAAATTATTTTATTTTTATATATGTCACATCACCCAAGATTTCTCACCAAGGTTAGTGTGTTCTTTGCATGGCTGGCACAAAACCCTCAATGTTTTACCTTAAGGCCTACAGAGTTCTTCACAAGGAAAGATAGAAGGGATGGGTAAAGCCAAGCTATCACTATAAATGTCATGAAGCTAAATTCAGTGGCCTTTTCAGCTGATGCAGCTTATTTTTATTTTATTTTGACTCATGACAGTAGGTGGTCAATCAATGCATAATAATAATGTACCTCTAAGTCTCCATATGCTGTCAAACCTGGATGTGGGTTCTGGTAATTAGCTTAGCAATTGATAGCACTTGTTGTAGAAAGAATAGGGAAAGAAAGACAAATGACACACCAAGAAATGGATGTGCTCACGTAGCCTAGGTGTTGTTAAGCGCAACACATAAGTCTACCCCTTGGAGGATACTATGTATGGAAGATTTGAGTTAGAAGTTTGCACTGCCCAGACAGGGATCCAAGAAGCTTTGCTTGGATGACCATTTTCCCCACCCCAAGAAAGCCATCTCAAAATGAAGCTGACTCCCACCATTCCAATCCCACCTTCCGAACTTTTCTGTGAATCACCCCTCCTTTAGGGATGCCTTTAGGGGTTACACGCTCTCTTCCGTGAATAATGGGGAAGAGCGGCCACAAGAGGGCGCGTTCCAAAGACTTTTGCTCCTTGTCAGTGTATCCAGGGAAAGGCAGTTGCGCGTACTGGAAGCCCCTGTCTGTAGCGCCCTAATCTTGGTGATTATCAGTTACCGCCTGCTCCCTCTCATCCTGCAGAAAAAGTTAGGAATTTATGAGATGGGAGAAGCATGACTACCTGTAATACATTAAATGAGACAGAAGGAAAGGAAATGGAAATTCTAGTGATACATGTGAACATTCCGGAGCTCTATGGAAGGCAGACGAGTGATAAATTTCAAAAGCAAACAAAGCGGAGCAGGGAGAAATGTGACTATGAATCATCAGCGATACTGATTTGCTCACAAGTCTCTCCCTAATACGGTCTCCCGGGTCGTAACAAAAACATCTTCCATCTCCCCTGATTTTGTTGCCTAGTTTTCCTGCCTTATCAACAGTTTCCACCAGCGACAAATGACAAGTGACTTCAAACAGGGAGGAAAAAGGTTCTTTCTGTAATGCCTTGTGGGAACATGGTGTTCGGCTTCTGAGGATGCGTTTGTTTCCGAACTGAGGGTGTGGAGAGAAATGGTGGGAAAGATGGGAAAAGAGATTAATAGTGGTCTGCGGCCTGTGCAGTGGATGGACTGGGCTGGGGGTGGTGGAGATGCCAGGGTGGAAAGTCCGTTGTAATATTTAAAGAACTGCAGTAATACCTTCCCAGGCACTTTTCTTGAAAACACATATTTGTCTTGGCCCCTCTTCTGCTAAAAAATACTTGCACGTGATCTCCTAGCTGTAGTTCTGAATTCTTCGTACTCGACTGGTTCCTAAGTCCAAAATGAGAAGTGCCAAAGTTCTCAGGAACTTTGGAAGAAGTCTCTGAAATTTTGTGGGTTAAACCTTAAGAATTTTTGCTACTTGTAGGAACCTAAAACCCCTTTCTCCCAAAATATTTAACCTTTTTCATCACCACTTTAATGGAAGAGGCATGGATGATGGACGTTTGTGCCAGGGCATTTATAAATCAATAATGGACCCTAAGGAGGGAAATTAAAGCTAAAAAATTAATCAAGATAATTTATGGCCAAACCTATAGTTCTACTGCAGGAAAGATCCTCTACTGTAGGTCAAAGGAGGAATAACCTTAAGACCTCACTTGCTGCTTTCTGCAGAAACCCCTGGAAGCAGTCCAAATGCAAAGTTAGGGCTTCAGAGAATGCACCCTGTAAATGGTAGTTGTGTATACCCTTACCATTGACTATACCATATCTAGGCACAGTGAAATCTTGATGAAGAATGGAAAATTAAAGGAACAGACGCTTTTTACAGGGAGGCTTCCCCCAGCCCCCATCCCATGGTAAGTTTAAATGTGTTCTATAAACAACGAGGCTTTCCACATTCACATTAGAGACATAACTATTGCCCATATGTAAAAGAGCAACATATTTTAAGCAGGACCCTGGTGAGGAAAACAAAACCAAATCGAAACACTGCATGTGTGTGTTGCTTATTTAACTGAAAATGTTCATAGACCCACAAATCTGAGATGCTGGACTTTTGGATGAGTCCAGCATTTTGCATCTTAGTGTAGGGGGAGGGAACAACAAGGGGCTTAGTTGCTTAACCCTTGCCATGCCTTCATGATTGACTTATTCAAAACATTTTTAAAATTCTGAAAGCAAAGGAAAATGTGCTGCAAACACCCTTCCAGCTATCTTTCCTTCCAGCTTACACAGTCTCTCCTCTGTCCAATCCTTCCCACCCAGCAGCATTTCAGAGGTATTCCCTGTGAGGTACAAAATTTCTCTTTGCCCATTTTTCTGCACCTCTTTTTCTCTCTCTTTGGTATGTGTCCACCAAGCTCATAGAGGTTTAAGTGATGAAATATTATCACCCACATGGGTTTGCGTGGGACTTTCTTAGTGAATTACTCAGGCAGAGCAGGCTGTGATACAGCCTTGCTCACAAGCCTCGGGAGGGAAAAAATAGCACAGAGGATGAAAAGAATATTATTAGAGAGCAGGTAATGAAAGGTTCGCAAAGCAACCAGCTATATCTGGTTAGCTAGGTAATAGTGCAGGAACCTAGGTCGCACCTGTACAAACTAATGCAGAACCTGCTCACGGCGCACTATGGGAAGACATTCATTTCAAGAGTTTACAGCATGAGATATTTGAGTAAAACCTGAAACTGATTAGAAATTGATCCTGAACATCCCAGCCTTAGTCAACCTTCCCTTTTTCAAATTGTTATGCATGGAGATTGGAGGATTGGGGCATCTTGAAAGTGTCACTGCAGTATAGCAATCTCTCTCAGGTAATATAGAGATAAAGGGAATATAATAAATTGACCTGTTATTTATTATCTTTTTCATACCTAGGACATTCCGAGGCTTAATATATTTCTGAAGCCTACAGCCCTGATAAACATCAATCCCACGTCAGTTTCCAGCAGTCTCATCTCCCCACACCCTTCTGCAATGAAAGCTAATGTAAAAGAAAGAAATATGCACTGCTTAATAAGTCAGAATACAATAGAACTTGTAAAATGTACCTGCATATAAGGTAGACATTAGGAAGACTTGAATCTCTCTCTTCCCCCTGTTCTCCTGAGCATTATGGCAACAGCATTTTCATGAAATTAGATCTGTTTTATATTTTTTCCTGATAAAATATCATGCAATATACAAATAGCAGTTCCAGAAATGGACACCAGGAGAAGGAGGCGACAGGCATGTCAATTAGTAGGGGGAAAATCCAAATGTCAGAAATATGGGGGAGAGAGAAAGCACGCAGGCAGTGGATGCAAATACAGGGAACAGAGTCTTTCAATTCAGATAATTAAACGGATGCATAAATCAGCACCCTTGCCTCTCTACAATACGCAGGCGATGCCATGCAGTTAATTATCAGCCAAGACCAGCATGAAAGTCATTTTATGATGACTCTCTGATCCTAATATAACAGCACCTGACAGATTGAGCCCCCTCTAATGAGTACTCTCTTTGTACAATCCTCTCTCAGGAACACTAAATCATTTGCTTCCAAGTACAGCTGCCTGTGAAGAAGGGGTGGGGCTAGATCATGCATCAGAAACCTGCTCTTGTGAAATCAGGGGCTGTCCTGTAGGCTGTGTGACTGGAAGCCAGCAGCCTCAGCCTCTCTGGCCCTAAAAAAGCAATTTGCACACGGCTGTCCCTAATTCTAGTCAGCCAAGTAACCCTCCCTCGGCACCCCCACCTAAACATCTGTAGTCAGCCTTGGGTGTTATTCATGGAAAGTCCACTGCATGCGGGTCAGCACTGCTGTCCATCGGCTTCACCCTGACCCCTTCTGGCAGGTGTGGATGAGAGTAGAGCAGAGCTCATGGGGATGAGTTACCCCAAACCTATTAAGCCTCCCTATCCGGGGCACTAGTCAGACACTCCAGTTTTACACTCTTTCCTAGAAAAACAAAACCCAACCTTGTGCCCTCTGGGTTCTCTAATTTAGCAGCTACTATCTGTCTGTTTTTGGAGTGACACCCTGTGCAGTTTAGGATTTCAGAAGCTGTCCTGCATAGAGGCAGAAGGGAAAACAGCAGGTATCTTGTTAACATTCTCTATGGGGCAAGGCAGATGTGCCCAAGCTGGAGGAAACCTGCACACCCTCCAGGCTAGTTATCCAAGGCTTGGGAGGTTTCCCTCGGCCTTCTCCTAAGGCCTTGGCAGGACCCTGCCACCCTAAAATCAACTGCTGATTGCCTTTTTAGATTTAAATGATTAAGCTCTGCTTATGGGAATCTTCTTCTCTTTTATTTTGTTAAGAAACAAACAACAACAACAAAACCCACACCAATTCTTAGCAAAGGGGAATATCGAATTCAGATTTTGAAAAAATAAGTCATCATGCTTCCTAAAATAAGACAGCTTCTCCCTCTAACTGCTCTCTCTGCTCTGGTATTCTATCTAATCATAAACCCAGCTTTATTATTCATTTCAACTCCTGCCAAAGACATGAGGTCGGAGTCAGAGGAACTCCCCTTACCACCGCCACCATCATCATGGCCAGCATCCTCGTAAGTTTATAGAAAGATGCCAGAGAACCTTTCCTATCCATCTGCAGCCCTGCTTGGCCCTTGCCTCAGTGAATTTACCACTATCATAATCACAGTGTGCAGAGTGTGTTAAATTAAGAACAGAATCCACAGTACGCAATGCACAGAAAAGCCTGCCTTCTGCTGCAGAGAACTTGAAACTGTGCCTAAAATTTATAGTACCGTAAACATCTCAGGGCCTCGAGTGATAAGTATGGCTGGATTTCCGTTAACTATAGAAATCCAGGCAGGGAGATCCTCCCAGGGAGTTGCAAGTTCTAAGATGAACTTCTTGAAGATTGTTCCCAGATTTGTGCATGGGATACATGTACAGCAGACAGTTGTAAGGAGGTCCACGGTCATGGAAAAGAGGATATGTTTCTATATGCCACCAAGTGGGAAAAATGGAAGTGAGGGAAAATATTTGATTAATCAAAAAATTTTAGTTTGGATACCTGCTTTCATAGTAATTGTTGCTGTGTCATTAAACATACAGTTGCTTAGGAAAAGAGAAGGAAATAGGTGACTTTCTAATTTTAGAGTTAGGCTGGAACTGAGTGGTTGCTAAATTCAACTGCCCTGACAATGTGGGGATTTCCTGTCCATTAGCAGCGATTGCTATTTGACATATGTTTCTGGTGCCCATTAATCTGCCCTGTAATGGGTCAGAGGCAAAAATGGGGGATTCAGAGGTACTAGGTGGCTCTCTTAATTTAATAGAACTCAATGCTAAGGACGCCTCTATTTGTTAATAAGTAATCAAGTCATTGGCTACTTTCTGCTAAACACTAGACTATGATAGTGACCTTAGACCCCGGGCATTCTAAACCAGGCTGGCAGGAGGGTGGTGGTGGAGGTGATGTGAGGTAAGCCTCCTAGAGGAACTGTCATCCAAACAATCTGAAAATTGAAACATTATTAAAGGCAGCACTAAGGGTGGTATGTTGGAGTTGGGGCAGGAGCACTTAAGGCAGAAGGAACAGCAGGTGTCACTGCCTGCAGTTGAGAAAGGGGGTGGAATTCTCAAGGCCTTAGACCCCAGAGAACAGGACTGGGCAAGAGCTGACATTCAAGGGAGGAACAGCATGTACAGAGCCCAAAGTCCCAGCCACTTTCTGTTGGATACTGAGCAATAGGAATTCAGTAAAGGACTTTCAAGAAGAAGTGATGTGATCAGATCCACCTGTGGGAAAGATGCCTTTAGCTGCTTCATGGAGAAATGACTGGAGAGGAGGCCTTCCTTAGTGTTGCAGAGGCAAAGTAAAGAAAATGCTGCTGCAGTGACCCAGCAAAGAGGTGATGGCGGAGGAATCAGGCTGTGACAAGGGAAGAAGAGGCTGGCTCAAGTGTGTCTCGACTGCACAGACTTACACAGCGAGGTGGGGCCAGGGGCTGCATTTTTGTCTGAGAATAGTATTTCCTTAGCTTTCTAGAGCTTACAGTGTCTTTTTGTTTATGTTATCTCATTTGACCTTCCTAAACCTGTGAGATAACAGGTCAAATGTCCTTATGTCATTCCCATTTTTATAGAAGATGAAACTGAGGTTGAGCAATTAGTCAACAGACACAGACTCGCAGGCCCTCTTCATTCTAAAGCAAGGGTCCAAAACCTTTTTTCTATAAAGGGCCAGAGAGTAAATAATTTAGGCTTTGTGAGCCAGGCAGTCTGTTGCAGCTACGCAGTCCTTGGTTATTATAGTGCAAAAACAGCCATAGGCAGCATGTACAGAAATGAGCATAACCATGCTCCAACAAAACTTTATTTACAGGCACTAATGTTTAAATTTCAGGTAATTTTCACATGTCACAAAATATCACTTTTCTTTAACCACTTAAAAGTATAAAAGCCATTCTTAGTTTGCAGGCAGTACAGAAACAGTTTCAGCCCATGGGCTGTCATTTGTTGACCCCTATTCAAGAGGGTCTGTCACAGAAGACTCCTGCTTGCCTGAAATTTACGAGTGCATGTAAATGTTGGAATTAACAGGTGTGCCTGTTTTCTCTTATGCTGTCTTTCATCTTCAGGAACAGCCAGGAAGACGCTGCACTTCGAGATTTCCAAGGAAGGCAGTGACCTGTCAGTGGTGGAGCGTGCAGAAGTCTGGCTCTTCCTAAAAGTCCCCAAGGCCAACAGGACCAGGACCAAAGTCACCATCCGCCTCTTCCAGCAGCAGAAGCACCCGCAGGGCAGCTTGGACACAGGGGAAGAGGCCGAGGAAGTGGGCTTAAAGGGGGAGAGGAGTGAACTGTTGCTCTCTGAAAAAGTAGTAGACGCTCGGAAGAGCACCTGGCATGTCTTCCCTGTCTCCAGCAGCATCCAGCGGTTGCTGGACCAGGGCAAGAGCTCCCTGGACGTTCGGATTGCCTGTGAGCAGTGCCAGGAGAGTGGCGCCAGCTTGGTTCTCCTGGGCAAGAAGAAGAAGAAAGAAGAGGAGGGGGAAGGGAAAAAGAAGGGCGGAGGTGAAGGTGGGGCAGGAGCAGATGAGGAAAAGGAGCAGTCGCACAGACCTTTCCTCATGCTGCAGGCCCGGCAGTCTGAAGACCACCCTCATCGCCGGCGTCGGCGGGGCTTGGAGTGTGATGGCAAGGTCAACATCTGCTGTAAGAAACAGTTCTTTGTCAGTTTCAAGGACATCGGCTGGAATGACTGGATCATTGCTCCCTCTGGCTATCATGCCAACTACTGCGAGGGTGAGTGCCCGAGCCATATAGCAGGCACGTCCGGGTCCTCACTGTCCTTCCACTCAACAGTCATCAACCACTACCGCATGCGGGGCCATAGCCCCTTTGCCAACCTCAAATCGTGCTGTGTGCCCACCAAGCTGAGACCCATGTCCATGTTGTACTATGATGATGGTCAAAACATCATCAAAAAGGACATTCAGAACATGATCGTGGAGGAGTGTGGGTGCTCATAGAGTTGCCCAGCCCAGGGGGAAAGGGAGCAAGAGTTGTCCAGAGAAGACAGTGGCAAAATGAAGAAATTTTTAAGGTTTCTGAGTTAACCAGAAAAATAGAAATTAAAAACAAAACAAAAAAAAAAACAAAAAAAAACAAAAGTAAATTAAAAACAAAACCTGATGAAACAGATGAAGGAAGATGTGGAAAAAATCCTTAGCCAGGGCTCAGAGATGAAGCAGTGAAAGAGACAGGAATTGGGAGGGAAAGGGAGAATGGTGTACCCTTTATTTCTTCTGAAATCACACTGATGACATCAGTTGTTTAAACGGGGTATTGTCCTTTCCCCCCTTGAGGTTCCCTTGTGAGCCTTGAATCAACCAATCTAGTCTGCAGTAGTGTGGACTAGAACAACCCAAATAGCATCTAGAAAGCCATGAGTTTGAAAGGGCCCATCACAGGCACTTTCCTACCCAATTACCCAGGTCATAAGGTATGTCTGTGTGACACTTATCTCTGTGTATATCAGCATACACACACACACACACACACACACACACACACACAGGCATTTCCACACATTACATATATACACATACTGGTAAAAGAACAATCGTGTGCAGGTGGTCACACTTCCTTTTTCTGTACCACTTTTGCAACAAAACAAAACAAACAACATTAAAAAATTGAGAACAAGTATGGAAAGAATGAAAGATCAAGGAAAAAAGAATACCAAGTTACATTTCGTTAAGGTGCTTATGATCTTAGAACTATGCAACCTAATAGGTTTGAAACTGTTTACCTGAGAGAGAACAAAAAGAGAGACTTTTTTGTATTGGAAGTAATCTGATTAATTTTTATTTTCTTCAAGGAGAGATACTTGAAAGGAATATGTTTGTCCATCTGTTGGATCCAAACATTTCTATATTTTGTAAATGTTGTTGTTGTTTTTTTTTTAATCGTTTACTATTTGCACTACAATGGTGTTTGACCTGTCTAATCCTTATTTAACAAGTATTTTCTTTGGTTGGGGGTGGGGGTGGGGTTTAAGAGCTGCACTTAATGTGAGCTATAAAAGAACTGCTACAGCACACAAAATAGCTATTTTTATTATTATAATTATAATTATTATTATTATTTTGTACCTTAAAAAATAGACACATACACCAAAGACATTTGTGTGAGCCTTTAAACAGTCTGTCTGTGGTTGGTATCATTCACCATCAATGAGTCAGGGGTTGGGATTCAAGGTTGAGTAGTGTGGATTGTGTTCAGGCTTAAAAGACCTGAGAAGTTTGGTTTTTGACTCCTTTTACATCCATGAAACAGGACATTTCATACTGGATGTACAGTAGTTGTACACTGTTGGATATCAAGTTCAATCAAATTCATGGAACTACATGCTTGTATGTGTATATATACATTGCTTGTGCATATGCATATCTGTATGTATATATACATGTATTGTACCATGTCCATACACATTTTAAGCACTTCAGGCTGTCATTTTTTAATGTTCTTAAAGCAATGAATGTTTGTGTGCAAAACACAGTATTTTTAAGAAGGATAGGCTATAGTTTTTGCTTTTACTCTGAACTAGGTGGGCGCATTTCAAAAATTCGGATGGGAAAAAGCCTGGAAATTCCAGTGAATATTCAGCAAGGCCCTCTTTCATTGTACAGGGATCAAATTTCCTCCTCTTTTTTGTGCCCCCTCCCACTTCTACAAGTTATCCCCTGTGGGGAAAACAGGATGATAATCAAAACTCTGGGCTGATGTTTTTCCAACTTAGTGTCTATTGGAATCAATCTTAAATCAGAAGCTTTTTCAGAAAAATAATATTTAGGCCAGAATTAGAGTTGAGTGTATTTTTTAAAAATGATTAAGGCTTGGTTGTGAGAAATATTACCTGTACCAGCTGGGAAAAATAATGTCATCACTAACTAAAAGATAATTAATTTGAGAGAAAGTGTTAAGAGAGGGAGAGTAAGGAAGAGAACAGTTAAGAGGAGGCAGAGGTGAGGGCAGTAGTAAAAATCTCTAAAATTTTAATTTACAGCCAAAATTCTTCATGTGTAAATTTGTATTGATTCAGATGCAGAAATGAAAAAAAAACACCTTTGTTTTATAAATATCAAAGTACATGCTTAAAGCCAAGTTTTTATCTAGTTTATTCTAGTACTTAGCTTGCCTGGAATAGCTAATAAATTATTCATGTATGTGCTTTTGAAAATCCAGAGCCCTATTTTTACACACTTGTGTGAAGTTGGCAAACATTTTGAAAAATGGAAAAAAGTTTCTAATAATTGGGAACAATTACATTAATTAATATTTTGTAAAATATTGAAGCTTTTAGCCCTATGTCAATTTGTAGATTAAAATAAATTAATTATAGGAAAGGAAGATAACAGTGAGAAACCAAACATTACAAAAGGTGGTTTAGCTCTCCTTGAAAAATATACTAAGTTGGTATACTATAACACTTGGCTATATGTAGGCAATGTCACTACTGGGCAAATACACTTACTGTGTTCTAGAGGCAGCCCTTTCTTATGCAGAAAATACAATACGCACTGCATGAGAAGCTTGAGAGTGGATTCTAATCCAGGTCTGTCGACCTTGGATATCATGCATGTGGGAAGGTGGGTGTGGTGAGAAAAGTTTTAAGGCAAGAGTAGATGGCCATGTTCAACTTTACAAAATTTCTTGGAAAACTGGCAGTATTTTGAACTGCATCTTCTTTGGTACCGGAACCTGCAGAAACAGTGTGAGAAATTAAGTCCTGGTTCACTGCGCAGTAGCAAAGATGGTCAAGGCCATGGAAAAAGCAGAAATTTACCAAGAAAGCTGATACCCATGTATAGTTCCCACTCATCTCAAATACATCTGCTATCTTTTTAAGCTAAGTCCTAGACATATCGGGGATAACATGGGGGTTGATTAGTGACCACAGTTATCAGAAGCAGAGAAATGTAATTCCATATTTTATTTGAAACTTATTCCATATTTTAATTGGATATTGAGTGATTGGGTTATCAAACACCCACAAACTTTAATTTTGTTAAATTTATATGGCTTTGAAATAGAAGTATAAGTTGCTACCATTTTTTGATAACATTGAAAGATAGTATTTTACCATCTTTAATCATCTTGGAAAATACAAGTCCTGTGAACAACCACTCTTTCACCTAGCAGCATGAGGCCAAAAGTAAAGGCTTTAAATTATAACATATGGGATTCTTAGTAGTATGTTTTTTTCTTGAAACTCAGTGGCTCTATCTAACCTTACTATCTCCTCACTCTTTCTCTAAGACTAAACTCTAGGCTCTTAAAAATCTGCCCACACCAATCTTAGAAGCTCTGAAAAGAATTTGTCTTTAAATATCTTTTAATAGTAACATGTATTTTATGGACCAAATTGACATTTTCGACTATTTTTTCCAAAAAAGTCAGGTGAATTTCAGCACACTGAGTTGGGAATTTCTTATCCCAGAAGACCAACCAATTTCATATTTATTTAAGATTGATTCCATACTCCGTTTTCAAGGAGAATCCCTGCAGTCTCCTTAAAGGTAGAACAAATACTTTCTATTTTTTTTTCACCATTGTGGGATTGGACTTTAAGAGGTGACTCTAAAAAAACAGAGAACAAATATGTCTCAGTTGTATTAAGCACGGACCCATATTATCATATTCACTTAAAAAAATGATTTCCTGTGCACCTTTTGGCAACTTCTCTTTTCAATGTAGGGAAAAACTTAGTCACCCTGAAAACCCACAAAATAAATAAAACTTGTAGATGTGGGCAGAAGGTTTGGGGGTGGACATTGTATGTGTTTAAATTAAACCCTGTATCACTGAGAAGCTGTTGTATGGGTCAGAGAAAATGAATGCTTAGAAGCTGTTCACATCTTCAAGAGCAGAAGCAAACCACATGTCTCAGCTATATTATTATTTATTTTTTATGCATAAAGTGAATCATTTCTTCTGTATTAATTTCCAAAGGGTTTTACCCTCTATTTAAATGCTTTGAAAAACAGTGCATTGACAATGGGTTGATATTTTTCTTTAAAAGAAAAATATAATTATGAAAGCCAAGATAATCTGAAGCCTGTTTTATTTTAAAACTTTTTATGTTCTGTGGTTGATGTTGTTTGTTTGTTTGTTTCTATTTTGTTGGTTTTTTACTTTGTTTTTTGTTTTGTTTTGTTTTGTTTTGCATACTACATGCAGTTCTTTAACCAATGTCTGTTTGGCTAATGTAATTAAAGTTGTTAATTTATATGAGTGCATTTCAACTATGTCAATGGTTTCTTAATATTTATTGTGTAGAAGTACTGGTAATTTTTTTATTTACAATATGTTTAAAGAGATAACAGTTTGATATGTTTTCATGTGTTTATAGCAGAAGTTATTTATTTCTATGGCATTCCAGCGGATATTTTGGTGTTTGCGAGGCATGCAGTCAATATTTTGTACAGTTAGTGGACAGTATTCAGCAACGCCTGATAGCTTCTTTGGCCTTATGTTAAATAAAAAGACCTGTTTGGGATGTATTTTTTATTTTTATTTTTATTTTATGTCTTATTTATTTTCCATGATCAACTTTGCACACATATTGACACATCCTTTGCTGGGTGATAATTTTGTTTTTACTGTAATTATCCAGAAGAGGATGAGAAACAGACTGAATGTGGGAGATAACAAAAGCTGGAGTGAGAGAGCTCAAGTAGAAAAAGAATAGATTTTGCCATGGCAGAGGCTGGTAATGGGCTGCAGATGCTTGGATCAGCAATATTTATATTTTATTCTTTTGTTGATTTCCCATTTCTTCAAGTGTAGTGGCAACTACTCACAGGAAATGAAGAGATATTCATTCCTTCCCTCCCTCTTTCCTTCTTCCTCCTTTCCTTTCTAGCTAGAAAACTGGAAATGCATGGAGCAACTAGAGCTAGAGATCTATATACATGGGGAAAAATGTACTTAGTCTTATTACCGGGACCAACAGAGTTGGAATTTGGAATTACAGAAGTAAGGTCAAACATTAATTGATAGGTCGACCTTTTCTTCTATAATTTTTCTCTATTATCTGTGCCCATCTCAGAGTTTATATGGAGAAAGTAACTTCCAAAACTGCTCATTTGGACCAGGAATATCCCATGTATGGCCTCATTTGATATTCACATATCATTGTTTTAACTACCCTGCACAATAGGTGTTATTGCTGCTTTTACAGATGAATCTGAGGCATGATTGAGTAACATTAATTGGAATTAAAATTCCAACCCAGGTCTATATTCAAATCTAAAGTTAATTTTCTTTTTGTTCTTCCATAATTGCATTTTTGTGTTAATTTTCTTATGTAGTAAAAAAAAAAGGGGGGTGAGTGGATTGAGTGTTGAAGTCACTTCTAACTTTTTAACGCAGAGACACTTCATACCCACCAGATAGTTCACTGGCACTTATCTTGAAGTGAAATGCCAAGTTCATGTAAGTTTATCCTAAACGCTTTTTACTTTAGTAGGAAAGTTTCTATTTTCAAATTAGAAAATGGGAATTGTTAGTTTTGCTTTATATTTATTACTTTGTCTTATCTTGCTATTCTCATATTTTGCTAGGGGTAATCCAAAGTACTTTATTTTACTTTGTGGACAGTGGGACATTTGTGTGTGCATGTATGTGTGTGTGTGCCTGCAGGTACATACATGAGCACTTGCATTAGCCTTTATTTCCTGCCAAGTTTAATAATGAATACATTTTAGGGATGAAGTAAAAACTTCACTGAATTATAAACGAGTAACCTTGTAATGAAATTTATATGGATATTATCATAATCAAGGTGAAAATTACTGAAAGAAAACAAAGTTAAAGTCAGGTATAGAAAAATACTTTGAATATGCATACATATGTATATATATATGCACACATATGTATACATGATATATATGATTATGTGTGTGTATATATGATATCTGTACACATATATATGGGACTGAGAAAGAGAATGTGTCATCATTTAAAATCAAAATCCATTTCATATAGGAGTTTAATCCTTTCTTAGAAAACAATTGTCTGAGGAGTTTTACAAACTGAAAAAGGGAATAGAACAGTGTAATAATTCTTTTTTTCTATCAAATCAAGCACCAGCTCCTTCAGTAGAATTCCAGTGTTTCTACATTAATCCAACTTCAAGTCTTCTTTCAGCCATGATAAGTCAGGATTCATTAGAAATTCTCCATTACACCCTTTTAGGCTTTTGTTAATTGTTCTGTAATTAGTGCCTACAGTAAGAAAAATAGGAAAGGCAAACTGTTTGTCCACAAGCAAAGAACCACAAAGCTGTTTCAGGCTGCTTAGAAATGAACAATTACCTCGTTTGATGATATCCAATTTCAAGAAGAGCCCATAATTCTGGGCGTTCTACCATGATTTCAAATGATCTCAGCAGATACCAGAGAAGCATCTTTCTTGCAGAAAACTTGTCAGTTGAAATCTGGAGATGGTTTTGGGAAATATTAGGCCAACTGAGTGAACAAAAATGATGAAGAATGTTTTTTGGTTTAGCTAACTTCTCTTCAGGAACACATCAGGGGAAGTGTTGAGAGAAGGTCCCATCATTGTCGGAAAACAGCAATGAAAAAGCCACCCAGGGCTAGAGTTAATGTCCTGCTGTAATTCCTGCTGTCATGGTGGTGGTGGTGCCTGCATCACTGTTATACAGGGGACCCAATGTTCTAACACGAATACTATAATATGGCAACAAAAGTTCCCATAGAAAATGCCTTTCATTAATGAAGTTTTATCAACATGGTTGAGTTCCACAGCCAAAAACCATTTAAAAAGTTTGGTACTTACATGGGACAAAAGCAATCATTAAAGGGAAACTCTTCCATTGTGAAAGGAAGAAAGGAAAAAAAGAAAGAAAGGGGAAAAAAAGACAAACAGTGCTAATCTATGCCAGAAACAGGCAGGCCTAAGGCAGGAGAATGACAAAGCATTGTGCTTCAAAGTGTTTATTGTGTTAAAGCTTCCAACCACTTTGAAGACAACCATCAAACCCTCCTAAATGAAACCAGGAAGTCTTCTTGCCATTGATGTGACAACAAATGTTTGTGTTTCATGGCTGATCTACTTATCCCTCAAAGACTCTAAGTTGTCAGTACATAGGATATTTTTTAAAGATAAAGCTAATTTTCCATCTGAGTAATCATATCCTAAATGTGATCTAATTGCCAACCAGATGAAATGCTTAGGTTCTCTCAGTGGCATACATTTAGTAGCTATTAATATACCAAATATTATGGGGTTCGCACTTCTGAAATCAACTAACTTCTATGTTCTCAAAAGAGTGAATTTAAACCAGTCTCCATCAGATCATGGACTAGCCCATACTGCCATGAAGTTACTAATGGCCTCGAATTGAAAACCCGGAGTAGGCAAATAGAGTCCTTTCCTTTTGGGCTTTGGATAAGATATGTATTACAATTTAAAATCTAGCTAATTGGGCTGATTGAATCATTAATTTAACCGCTGTATGAAAACATTCTGGGGACTTAAGAGTGATCTACAAGCTAAATACTGCCAAGGTTAACAGATGGGGTGGCTTTTTGATTGCCTTAAAGCGGGATGGACAGCAAATGTTAGCTGGTCCAACCAATGTCCCCAGCAAGCCAAGTGTCAGCAGCTTCAAAGAAACAAGACAAGCTTGCCTTCCTTTTCCCAAGACAGCAAGTTCCCAGTCCACCACCTGACCACCCCAGCTTACTCCTGCTATTAGGCATCACTGGTGAGTGAGAAAAGGTGATAGGTGAACAGCTTTTATCTTTGGGCTTTAAACATTTTACAAAACAGGGTATGTAACCTTAACCCATTATTGTATTGAACAAGCACACATTTATGATTCTGACTCAATTCATCCATCACCCAGAACTGATTTTTAAAGTAATAAGCCCAGAATTGATAGTAGATGGATTAAGCACTGGAAGTAAATTTTATGGAAAAAAAAATCCCTGTAATAAACACCATTCAGATGATCATATATGGGAAAAAAGTAGATGCAATCTAGGAGCAATGAGGTCAAGATCAAATGCCTTTCTCTATCCTCTACTGTGACTTAGATGTGTCAGGGAATAGTCTGATGAAGGCATGGGCTGGCCCTTGGGAATCAAATTGCTTGAGATTTCGGCCAGGTGTGGTGACTCACGCCTGTAATCCTAGCAATTCAGGAGGCCGAGGCGGGTGGATCGCTTGAGGTCAGGAGTTTGAGACCAGCCTGGCCAACATGGTGAAACCCCTTCTCTACTAAAAATACAAAAATTTGCCGGGCATAGTGGCAGGCATCTGTAATCCCAGCTACTCAGGAGGCTGAGGCAGGAGAATGGCTTGAACCCAGGAGGTGGAGGTTGCAGTGAGCCCATTGCACCACTGCACTCCAGCCTGGAGACAGAGCAAGACTCCATCTGAAAAAAAACAAAAACAAAAACAAAAACCAAACAAAAAACCCAGATTGCTTGAGGTTTTGTGTTGTTGTTTTCCTGAAGAAGTAGGTGCCAGGAGAAAATAGGGTAGGGAAAGTCTCATCCTCCACCAGTCAGGCTTCAAGGACTTATGCCCAGACCAGCAGAGAGAAGGGCTGCAGGCAGCAATGGAAGAATCCTTTTACATCAAGAACTCAATGTAAAGGGGGCACTCTTGGTCCCCAGGTAACAAATTGTGATACTCTATGGAAGAGAGGAACATTTTCTCTGATTTTGCTTCAAAGACAGCATCATGGATGCTGCATGAAAAATAGGCCAACAGCTTTGGGGGATCTGGGAGAATGGATCTTCCCCAGTTTTTGGCATTCACAAGGTATTCCCTGGAAGTAGTGGTGGTGTGATGGATCTCCGTGAGAGCGGGGCCCACATGAGATGCCCGAGGGTTCCCAGACATAAGCTTAGGGATGGGGTATGGAGCTGACTAAGGTCTGTCTTTGAGGCAGTGAGGCAAGAGCTAATGAAATTGGGTCCATTTCACTTAGTATAACCTTGTCTGCTTTTACAGACTTGTAAGAGTGGAAGGAACTCCATTTACAGTAGACTCGCACACAGTGACACAGAAAAGTGTGGTAGATCCTTAAGGAATGTTAGTTGAACCCAAATTCAAAAACAAAAGTTACAAAAGAATTTGTCTTACTAAAGGAGATCTTTACAAGCAACTGATTTTTTGACAATTTGAGAGACGAATCTTAGTCAATTTGAGGGAGATTTTGTGTAAAAAATGAAGCTCAGGAAATAATATCTGAATTACTGAAGGAAGGAGTTAGACAAAGTTAGGAGCCAGACTTGAAAACAGTGCCTCCCGGACTAAGGTAGCTGAGAGACACTATTTACAATGTGTATGAGTATACCACATATTTATTTTAAAAACTCCTATGATGGTGTTATGTGCTGGGCATTGTTCTGAATGTTTTAAGCCTTATAAAAACTCTATGAGGTAGAGCTTCTGCCCTTGGCTTTTTCAAAGGTGGATCTTAGCCACCATTCCATAGGTTAGAAAAACAAACTATTTTGGCAAAGAGTAGTGCAATAACTTGTCCAAGGTCAAACACCTATGATGCGACAGAGCGGGGGTTCAAACCCGGGGAAGCCCTTTACCAGCCATTGAACTTCCGCCATGTGTCCTACTACAGTCCACCATGAGCATGATTCCTGCTCCTCCATAAGTCTGCTGATATCACAACTGTGTCCTTCCACTTTACTATATGATTTGCATATTTATAGCTGATACAACCAACTACTTATCCGGCTGGTGATCTACAGAGAGGAGACACTAGCGAGGAGGAAAGAATGCTGTATCATGAGTCAGGAAATCCAAGCTTTATCCTTTCTCAGTCACTAAATAACTCTGTCATTAAGTTATATTTACATTTTTGGTTTCAATGTCCACATCTATAAAAAAGGCCAAGTGAGAATCTCTCAAGTGTGATTCAGCCTTAAGACACTAAAATGCAAAGTAGCTAGACATGGATAAGACATGGATCTCTTGGACACAGCTTCTGCATCTTCCTTTGTAATAGATCTTATCACAAGGACCTACCTAATCATCAGATATATTTTTAAATGGACTGTTACTGTGTGTTTGACGTCCCAATAAGTACTTTTTGTCGTAACAGCAACAACAGTAAAATATTTGACTTCAATACTTCCTGTAGGACAAAAACAATTGTCAAGACCATTCATCCAAGTTGACTAGAAAAATTACTGCCGAATAACCCATGTTGCTTTTAAAGAAGAGACTAAAGCAAAGAGATGAGGTTTGGATACATGTGTTTCACACTTAGTTATGATTAGACAGATATGTTCAGATACAGCTTTCTATTTTGTTTTGGGCATGTTGTCCAGCTATCTTTTGCTTGCATTTCTATATTTCTGGGTCTGTGTTTCACTTTGCACATGACTGGATTTTAATCTCTTTTCTCTTTCACTCTCTTGATAGAGTTTCTGCTTCTATGTTTTTCTTTTCTATCATTTTTCGTATTTCTAGAGAGCATTCTTTCTTTGGCTCCTAAAAGCCAGAAAGGAAGGTCATTAAGAGTAAAACTACTTGGGCAGGGAAAGTTTCAGATGGGACTTCATTCTTTAGTGCAGAAATTCTCCAACTTTAGTGTGCACAGTCATCTGGGAACCTTATTAAAAATATTAAAAATAAATATTCCATGCTTCACCCACCAGAAATTTTGAGACAGTAGATCAGGAATAGGACTAGAGAATCTACATTTTTAGAGAAGTTCTGGAGTACAGACTTAGCGCTTTTCATTTTAAAAATCATTCAACAAGTAAATAGAGGAGTAGGCCTCTGTGAAGATGAGGTTTTTGTTTTTTGTTTTTGCCAAAAGGTAAAGACAGACCAACTAGAAAAACTGAAAAGTGCCATACCGTATTGGTGACCCTGAATTCTTCTTTGGAAGCAAATAAATGGAATGTTAGTATGAACTGGCCAAAAGCCACCTTTGCTCACATCTGGGTATTTCCTCTGCTCAGATAGTCTTTTCCAGGTTCATGGATAAGAAGTATGAGCACATAGTATAATAACTGCAGAAGTAGAAGTAAAAGATTATTTACTTTGATCTAATTAAAGATGCATAGGGTTTTAAATGGTATGTTTAGGGCTTAGTGATATATTTCCACCTCTGTTTTTTCTTTAGATATAAGATAAAGACAATTTTATTAATTGTATAACTTTATCTTTGAGAAATGTGAACTTAGTTTTATATGCCTGGTTAATATGAAGCATTAACATTACTAGAAATTGTGTACACATGAAGAAGTAGGAGATGTGTTGCGTCCTGGATTGAGTACTAAATGTATTTCTTCCAGGCTGTCTTTTTACTCAATAATGTGACCTTGAACTAGATGCTTTGATTCTAGATTTTTTCTTCTGTAGGGCAGAGCCAATTATACGTATTTTTCTTATGTCCCTGTGGTGCTTAGAGTGAGCTCATGTCAAACCGCTTTAGTAATTTAAGAATCAGAATAGTGATGAGTATACTCCTTTTATTTCTTTAATCCATAAACACAATTTTCCAGGCCATTGATTTGTTTCTAATCTTTACTTTTCTAATTCAATGGCTGAATGTTGTACCCAAACCACCTCAATGAACCACTGAGCAATGAATTTATGATAAAGAAGCATAATCTGTTTGATACATAGTTTTTTTTGTTTGTTTTTGTTTTTGTTTTGAGACAGGGTCTCACTCTGTCACCCAGACTGGAGTGCAGTGGTGCAGTCTCAGCTCACGGCAACCTCTGCCTCCCAGGCTCTAGTGATTCTCCTGCCTCAGCCTCCCGAGTAGCTGAGATTACAGGCACATGCCACTACCACTAAGCTAATTTTTTTTTTTTTTTGAGACAGAGTCTCGCTCTGTTGCCCAGGCTGGAGTGCAGTGGTGCGATCTTGGCTCACTGCCACCTCCACCTGCTGGGTTCACGCCATTCTCCTGCCTCAGCCTCCCAAGTAGCTGGGACTACAGGCACGTGCCACCATGCCTGGATTTTTTTTGTTTTTTTAGTAGAGATGGGATTTCACTGTGTTAGCCAGGATGGTCTTGATCTCCTGACCTCATGATCTGCCCGCCTCGCCCTCCCAAAGTGCTGGGATTACAGGCATGAGCCACCATGCCTGGCCCCCACCGGGCTCGTTTTTGTATTTTTAGTAGAGATGGGGTTTTATCATGTTGTCCAGGTTGGTCTTGAACTCCTGACCTCAAATGATCCACCCACCTCGGCCTCCCAAAGTGCTGGGATTACAGTTGTGAGCCACCATGCCTGGCCTGATATATAGTTTTCAAAGTATGATAAATACACTATTTTCAATGTAGTTCTTAAAGAATGATAGTGACCATGTGACACAACCTTGGTTAAGCTGTATTTCTGATCGCACATTTTTAAACCTTGAAGGATGTATTTTCCATAGTGTTTTCAAGTAGAGCCAATCTCAAAGTCTCTTTGGATTGTTATGCTACACATTTACCATGTCACTCTAATGTAAAGTCATTGGAAATGCACTTATTGTAGACCTGTCACTTCCCGGAGACCTACAACAAAAAACTTTTCTCTTTGAAAAGGTAGAAGCGCCCCTTTGGCCCATTGAGAGGGTACATGCTATTAGAACAAGTGAAGCTGAGTTAACTGTCAGGAGAGGAAAGCACTGGTAGATGT
The DNA here is from genome assembly GCF_000001405.40 of Homo sapiens. Taxonomy (NCBI): domain Eukaryota; kingdom Metazoa; phylum Chordata; class Mammalia; order Primates; family Hominidae; genus Homo; species Homo sapiens. Next base: position 41,676,971 of record NC_000007.14, on the reverse strand, counting down.
TTCTAATCATTATAGTTATACATGCTGTAATGTTTGGCTTCCACGTAGTTTTTTTTTTCTTAGTGAGTGAATTTAAAAATAAGTAAATAAAATTAAAACATAATGAAGAGAATAGCTTCCTAGTTAAATAATAACAAATTTCAGGTTAGCCAGTTAGCAGCTCTGTGGCATTAGACAAGTTATTTAAATTCAATAACCATTTTTCCTTCTCTTTACATTTGGAATAGAAATGTATATTCTTGATAGAGCTATTCGAAAAATTTCAAGTGGAAAGACATCTAAATAGTGGAGCTTAGTGTTTGACATGGTGAGTTCGCCATCAATTCCTGCTAGAAATATTTAATTATATTGATAAGGCTCCAATCTCTAAGAATGTTCAGAAATACCTCCCTCGATCATACCCTGGGCCCAAGCATTCCAAGACACTAGTTTTGACAGTGGCCCCTTGGGATGTTTTAGGAATAGATGTGGCTGTTGTTTACTCTCCCAAATGTGGTTGTTAATAAATCATAGAGTTGTTTTTGACCCAAACATCTTTCTTTAATAATCCTACTATAAATATTCATTTGAGCTTAGGTTACCTCTTGAGGTAACAAATTCTATTAGTTTAACATATAAATTAAAGTAGCAGCTAATTTATTTGAATTGATAGAAACTGAACTGTCTCTTGTAAAGAATGCTTATTTTGTATATAATTGAAGAAGGGTCTTTTAAATACTGAAAAAAATAGTGGGCTAGGCACGGTGTCTCACACTTGTAATCCCAGCACTTTGGGAGGCCGAGGTGGGTGGATCACTTGAGGTCAGGAGTTAGAGACCAGCTGGGCCAACATGGTGAAACCCTGTCCCTACTAAAAATACAAAAATTTGCCGGGCATGGTGGCACGCCTGTAATCCCAGCTACTCGGGGAGCTGAGGCAGGAGAATTGCTTGAACCTGGGAGGCAGAGGTTGCAGTGAGCCAAGATTGCGCCACTGCACTCCAGCCTGGGTGACAAGAATGAAACTCTGTCTCAAAAAAAAAAAAAAAAATAGTGTATGTGTGGCTCTAAGAAGTAGAAATCTGACCAAGCAGGTTTAAATAATAAGGGCATTTGTTGTTCATATAGTTGAAGAACAAATTTTCAGGAACATTGTAATCACGGCACCAGCTCTATGATCTTATAGTCTTCTGATAGCTCCATTCATCAGTATTTAGACTTTTCATCAGGCATATGATCACAAAAGGACCCTTAGGAAAAACCTGGGCATTATTCATCTTCACTTGTATTCAGGATAGATTGCTTCTGTTAAATCAAATTTAGCCTAAAGCTGCCTCCTTACATATTTTAAGTTCAGCCTGAGGGTTTCTCTGTACATCATGAAGTATTATTGTAAGTGGAGGGGTAAACAGGTGGTAGCCTACACTTGTGCCAATCGCCGAGTTTTGGCCAATCGAATGTGGACAATTGTTTGAACTGTGTTCAAACAAGGTAAACGCCAAACCATAACCAATCCAGTTGTTTCTGTACCTCACTTCTGTTTTCTGTACATCACTTTCCTTTTTCTGTCCATAAATCTTTGTCCATCATGTGGCTGCACTGGAGTCCCAGAGCCTACTCTGGCTCAGGAGGCTGTCAGATTTACGAATAGTTCATTGCTCAATTAAACTCCTTTAAATTTATTTTGGCTGAAGTTTTTCTTTAAACACTTCCCATGGCATTCTTTTAAAAGCAAGGAAAACATTTCACAAAAGTTACTGGTAAGTCTTCCCTAGTCACTTTCTGCACCAAGTTGGCACAGACCAATCACAAGGACAGGAATCCATGATTGACTAAGACAAATCAGAACCAACTTCCAGAGATAGGGTCAATTCCCTAAATTGCTTTGCTACTAGATAATGTGGGACTGGATAGGGTGAATGATAGAGAGTCAAACATCACAAGTGCCAGAATTTTATTTTAATATACTTGAGGGAACTCTTTGTACAGTTTTCCTATGTTCTATATCCTTAAATTGACAACACCGAACATAATTTTGCCTTAGTTTTTGGATGATGATTCAGAAATTGTTCAGGTATAATCTCAGTCACTTCTATTTAATAAGGCAGGTCTATTTTTTCTTAAACTAAATAGTTTCTGGATCTTTTTGAATTCCAGGACTGCTCTTCTAAATACTTTGTCTCTTCAGTCATTGTGATGCTAACAACTTAAGTTCCTGTGATAGATAGCAATCTCCTTCCCAATTTTACTTTGCTATGGGAGAAAATATTATAGGAAACCTCTTAATGGATCCCACTTAATTTACTTTGTGATTGATGGACGATTCTGATTTCCATATAAAACACATTGCCTGATGCTCTCAGAAGATTGAATACGTGCAACTAGTGAGTCATTCTGTGAATTTTTGCTCTCACTAGTTGAACTGTATGCTTATTGAGGGTCAGGCATGTTTGTTCCCAAACGTGTTTCTGCCAGTTGTATTTGGGAGTGTATCTCATAAAAATTTAAGAAATCAAAGAAAAGCAAAACAAAAGTTAACAAAAAAGTACATTGTATCTATAAGAGTTAAAGGAAGGTCACTAAAACAAAACCAAACAAAAAAAAAATGGCCATAGAAGAGACAGCTATAAAATAAAAAACACTAAATATAGAAAGGTTCTAAATACACAGGTTTTTGCAGGGATCTTTAAGTTTGTGTTCTACTTAAAGAATCCCAAACTGGACATTGTAGAATATGCATTATAAATGTGATTCATACAAGAAAGATAATGGCAACCTCTGATCAATAGATCTACTCTCGAAGAAAAAGCCTTGGCCATGAATCAAAAGCTTAATGAATGAACATGCAATGACATATTTTAAGTTAAAACCTAATGTTAAGTGTATATATTATTTTGTATAATTATCCTCTTTAACTAACTTTTATTAACTAACCAACTTCACCTCAGCCAAGAAGACTCATGGTATACTGGAAGGGTGAAGTAGAAAGTGTGTGTGTGTGTGTGTGTGTGTGTGTGTTTACATGTGTGTTTGTTGGTAAGAGATGGTTGTTGGGATTTAAGAGTCAGAATGCTAAGTCTTTATCCAATGTCTAAGTCATTTAGACTTTAGACAATGTCTAAAGTTAATGAATCAAAAATCGTATAAATATACATTCTTTAGCACTTAAAAATAACTACTCAAAAAAAGCTAAAAGTGTTGAAAAATATTCGTCTTTGGAAAGTGGAGTTATGATAGTGGAGGGTGGGCTACATATAAAGGCTATTGTTTTCACTATGTGCTTATTGTTTCTGAGTTTTTTAATGATGTATAAATTTTACTCTTATAAATATCAACATATTAAACAGGAGCATCTACCAGTCCTGATTTTGCTGTGGCAGCCAGTCTCTATCTAACACAGCCTCCACAGATATTGGCTTCCTGTATCACACCCATGTGTCCTCCCCTCCCACATCTCATGTCATATCAGGTTGGTATATGTGGCCAATAAGATGCTGCAGAGGATGGCAAGTCAGTTCTGAGATTAGATTAGAAAAGACCCTGTGGCTTTGTCAGAGGCATTGGAACCAGAGCAACTCCATTTTGAGTGAGGGCTAGGGCAATGAGGATGAGACGTGCTGGGCTGCATTCTCAGAAAGTTAGGCATTCCTGGACTCTAGATGTTTACAGTTAAGGGAACAAATTAATGATGTTTACTTAATAGACCCAGACTTGGGAGTGTCCAGATATCCGGATACCCGGATGACAAAGGCATTCCTAATTTTGCTTTAAAGATAATAGTATTGAATCTTGCAAAGTATAGTAATTAAGACAAGTAATCCTTTATCACAAACTCTTGTAGCAGAGCATATCTCCCCATTTAAATAAGCATTGTACCTAGGGTAGATGCGTTCCTCCTGTTACTTTCAGGAACACTCTACTCTGTCTATGGAGTAGCTGTTCTTTCACCACTTTACATTCTTAATAAACTTGTTTTTAATTTGCATTGCAGACTCGCCCTGAATTCTTTCTTGCGTGAGATCCAAGAACACTCTCTTGGGGTCTGGATCGGGACCCCTTTCCTGTAACAGCTTCTGTCTCCCTCTTTCTCTCTCCCTCCCCAAGTGCTCCTTCAGGGGGAAGCCAGATGCTGTCTTATGAGAGGCCTTGTGGAGAGGCACCTGAAGCGAGGAACTGAACCCTCCTCCCAAATCCTTTAAATCTCATTTCTTATTTGTAAATTTTAAATAATAATACCTTCCTTGTGACTTATTGTAAAGTTTAGATATAAAGTATTTAAAGTTCAAGATACAGACCCACAATCACAGTTGACCTTATCATTCTAAAGATTTTAATTATCGATATATTTCTTAAACTTGCCCAAGTCATTCAGCTTGCATGTGGCGGACATACGAATCTAGAACAGAAGTCCATTATCTGGGGTGAGTACTGTGGAATTGCATGCTTCCAGAAAAGGCAAGATAGAGAAGAAAATAAATATTGTGTATATCAACTCAGACTGATGAGAATGGAGGAAATAACCTACTAGAAGGCTTTTGAACAACAGAGGAGCTTGGTGGCACGATGGGGGCAAGAGGAGAGGAGTCAAATGTGTGAGCATGGATTAGCTTTTTATTGGAAATATGGAGAAAGGTCTTCATGTCTATCATCAGAAGAAAGATCAACCAGAAACTTCCTAGAAATTTGAACCAGAGTCTCAGAGTCTTCCAGGTTTGTAGTAAGGCAAGTCAGGGCTGGTGAAGTTGTTAAAATTGAGCCAAAAACAGATGACAGGTTTTGGTAGGAAGTTAGAAGCGCTCATTTTGACTGGAAGGCAGAAATGAAGTAAGTTTAGAAAACAGATAGTGACTCCAGCAGTGAGAGATTAAAGGCTAAATGAAGAGAACAGAGGACAGGACATGGAAGGCCCAAAATGAAATGCTTGTTCTGGGTCTTGTGACCTGAGAATCAAGAGACTGGTCATTTTAAGGAATACAATTTCTAAAATGTGGCAAAAAAATTAGTTGTGCATTTGAACAATTGGGTGAGCTGGATAGGATGAATGCTGCTCAAGACTTGGGCAGAGGAATCTGATGTCGGTGGTACAGGATTTGGGGGAGACCATTTTCCTTTCCCTGCACTTGGTCAATAACCATGGTTCACCCTGGTATCCTGAGATACCAAAGCCTGATTAGAAAAAACAGGCTTTGTTGGGCTTTTTTGTCTGTGTATGTTGTTGTTTCCAGATTGCCAACTTCTTCAGTTTCAGGTCTCAGATCTAGGAAAAAAACAAACAAACCCAGAGAACTCACCATTATGCTGTTCCTCTCGTTGTAAGGTTCCAATAGTTCTGCATCCTTTTTTTCCATCCTTCAAAGTCTTCTCGAGTTTATTTTATACATAACATCCAGGGTTTTTAGTTCTACTTAGTGGGAGGAAGAGGAAAAAGTAAGTCTACTCCATCTACCCAGAAGTAGAATTCTGCTCCTCTGAACAGTATTTTAAATTTCTTGTTACCATTCTCAAATCCATATTGCTCAAATAGATCTGTTCCAAAGAGCTCTGGCAAGTGAGTTTGCCTTATTGAATGTTTTCACCTGGACAGACCGTGAAAAGCTCAAATTAAACATAAATGTATGGGCTCACTCCTTGCTCCTTAGCACCTTAGCACTCCTCCTCTTTTTACTCTATTCTGGTTATTATTACCACATGGCCATCCAAGCTGGAAATCAGGAGCTATTCCTGTCTGCCTTTCTTTCCCTCACCTGCCATGTCTTAGACAGCTAAGTACTAAGCTGTGCCCACCTTTCCTTTCTTACCCATTACCTCTGTGGGTTTCAGCATATTCCATCTCCAGTAATTTGTATGATCTTTTGTTCTAAACATTCTCCTCTTGCATGTTTGAAACTTAATGTGACCCCCACTTTTCTTTCTTTCTTTTTTTTTTTTTTTTTTTTTTTTTTTGAGACAAAGTCTCACTCTGTCACCCGGACTGGAGTACAATGGTGCGATCTTGGCTCACTGCAACCTTCACCTTTCAGGTTCAAGCGATTCTTCTGCCTCAGTCTCCCCAGTGAGTAGCTAGGATTACAGGCACTCGCCACCATGTCCAGACAATTTTTGTGTTTTTATTAGAGGCGAGGTTTCACCATGTTGGCCAGGCTGGCCTTGAATTCCTGACCTCAGGTGATCCACCCACCTCAGCCTCCCAAAGTGCAGGGATTACAGACGTGAGCCACCACACCCGGCCCATTTTTCTATCAATTATTGTTCCACATTTTTTCTGTCCTGTATGGTTACTCACCTTTGCCTATACCCAAAAGTTCCAAATGTCATCAACTCTATGATTGACATCTCTCCCATCAGCACCTTCCTATCTATTTCCACTCTCATCATCTGGGTCTTAAATACTAACAGAGCTGTACTCATATCCACGTCTGCATCCCCTCTCATCTGTGTTATTGCAGTTGCCTCCTAATTGATCCTTCCTCCTCCAGTCTGCAGCAGTCTTTCTTGTACACTGTCTGATTCATTTTCTTAAAGCAATGTTTCTCAGTGAGGTTCTCCTGCTTCAAAACTTCCAGTGGCTCTTGATTACCAGTAGAATTATGTCCAGGGGTTTCAGTTTGATGCTGGAGATTCTCCATGATCACATCTTTTATGTTGAGTTTCTCTTCTGAGTTTTGTTCATTTCTCTCCCCCAGACCCTGTCGGCCCTTTGCAGCAACCCCAGGCAGGTTATGAATGATCAGCTAGCTCATCCTGAACCAATGCTTTAATTCAAGGGCAACACAGATTAGGTTGTTTGGTTTAGTACTTCTGGCCTTCACTGCATGAGATGTAAGGTGAAGGAGGGAAAAAATATAACAGAGCAAAGATGAGTGATGTGAAAAGATGTAGATTTTTTAAAAAATCACTCCACGTTGAAGCTATCCTGATGTAAACAAGAGTGCTGGGGAAGTCATCCTCCACAGGCCAGAGGAGGGAGGTGTGGGCTCCCAGTGGGCCATGCCTGTGACTTCAAAGATACGAATGTACCAGTTGGCAATAAATATTTATAAAATGAGACATAGGTATTTAGACCATTAGCCTGCCACATAGTCCTTCTGCACAATAAAACACAAAGCTTAAATCATGATAAAAACAGGCAGAACAAATAGTAGTGGACCTAAATTGAGGCTCGGGTAAATGTTCAGATTTATTTTAAAACACGGATCTGTGCACATGGGCATTATATACAAAACAAGATTTTCAAATGGCCACAACTGTTTTGCATTCATCTCCCTTTGTTTCTTTTTTATTTTTTACAAAAGGAAAAGGTTTTCTCTAAACTCATGGTCTCTTTTCTTTTGTCTTATAACACTTCATCATATCCAATATGACTTGGGATATCTTTGCCTTGTCAAGTCATGTGATTCATTTGGTTAAATGAAAGAAAGAGGCACTTGACTCTCAGGAGGCACATTTGTTTCATCAAACCAAATTTTTAAACTTTCTTCAAAGTGTAAGCTAAGCAATTTCCAGCTATCTGTCTAATGTAGAGCCTTTCTTCTCCACAGATCTTCCTTTAAATTTACCTACCACAATCACAAACCAATAAGCTTCAGGAATGAACATACGCTGTTAAGTTCATAGAAAGGTTTAGGTGAAATGTAGGATTTATTCCAAATTCTGGCCTTTCTGAAGTCCTTGCTGATTATAAACTAATGGTTGCATTATCTTTACTTTGAGACCGTGGGAAACAACTAGATAATGAGACAAACTCACTTAAGTGAAGCAGCTAGTGCCTGACAGAGGTTTAATGTGCTATACCTTCCAAATGAAAGAGACTGCCTTCCCAGGCACCCTCAGCATCTCTACCTCTGAGGCATGGCTGCAGATTGGGGGGTCTCCCAGTCTGTGGCACTGTCCAAACCCTGTCACTGAGACCACCTTTGTAAAAATTATGACAGTGAGAAAATTTTGACCGTGAAAGAGATCTGCCATAACTAACTCTATCTTACCTTTAACCTCCAAATTTCCCTTGGTCATTTCTGAGTGTGGGACAAACTAATTTTGGGAGAAATTTAGTTTATACTTTAAATGACAATTGTTCTTCCCCAAACTAAACTTCCTTTATAAAACTAATAAAAGACCAAAAGTTTAGGAGGATGAGAGGGGCCTGAATTCTGCTAAGATGTTGGTGGATTACCAGCCATTGTTATGGAGGTCATGAGATTTTTTAACTTCTCCAAGTACTCCTATAAATAACATCACTATTGTATTAGGTTGGTGCAAAAATAGTTGTGATTTTTGCCATAATGGCTAAAACCACAATTACTTTTGCACTTATCTAATAGAGCCTAAGACTGGCCTTTTGAGATGTCTTTTCAGACTGTGGATTTCTGATGACTGGATGGCTCCACTCAGACCCATGACTCATGACAACCATTTTTCACACCCCTACCAATCAGCAGCACCCATTCTCTAGCCCCTGCCCACCAAACTATCTTTAAAAACCTCTAGCCTTCACATTTCTAGAGAGGCTGATCTGAGTAATAATACAACGGCAGTCTCCTGTTTAACCATCTCTACATGTATTAAACTCTTTCTCTATTGCAATTCTCTTGTCTTAATAAATCAGCTGTATCTGGGAAGTGGCAGAGAAGAACCCATCAGGCAGTTACATCATTTCAGCAAGGACTTTAATGGATAGATGTGGGGATTCTGGAGTATAAGCTCCAGAATCACAGGATATGGCATGGGAAAATGAACATACAGCTTAGAGTTTAGTGGTAAAAGATTGAGTTTCACTTAAATGAACTTGAACCAGTGATTTGGAATTTCTGGCCTTTAGTTCTCTCACTTATAAAATGGGAACAATAATGAGTTCTCAGTGTTTTTGTGAGGATTCACTGTGGAAGGTCTATGCCCTCTTCTCCCTGCTGCTCTCATTGCAGGAAGGAACAGCTTCAGCCATAGGTGACAGTGGCACACATCTCACTGAAGACAGAGAAGGACAAGTTGAAAACATGGATTTTTGTGTTGTACCATGTCTTATGATGGTATCATTCAACAATTTTTAAAATTAGATTTTGGAAAACATTTTTTTATCTTCTACCTCATTGTATTCTTTCAACCGCCAAGTGAAGCCAGGTAAAAGAATTATGCTCGCCAGCAAAAAATGAGATACACATGCAAGAATTGTCCACAGCCACATTGCTATTTTGTTTAGAAGCCTGTCAAGAAACTTCTTCATGTACTCCTTTATGTAATTCAATAGAATTACAAATTCTACTGGCAAAGCCCCTTTCAATTGAATAAGAGGAATTAAGAAATTTCCAGGCAAGAAACCTTTGATGGTGGCATCCATTAAAAGTTTTAGGGATGCAAGAAGTTTTCCATAAATAAACTTATTATTTTTAATTTTCAGTTGAGCCTAGCTTAAAAAATCTTTGTAAGAGAACATGAAAGAAGAATAAGTCTAGTTTCGATACATTTTATGTTTGACCAGAAGGGCTCCTCAGTTCAATTACTTTGTTTCCAGGTCAGAATTTCCAGGTCAGGCTGATTGTGGCACCCATCAATCAATATTTGTAGCCCTAATCTGAAGCTCACTGGATACCATTTTCATACATTGACAATGGGTAATTGTAACATCTTGAAAATGTATATTTTAAAGATGAGTATGATTGAAATCTCTTCCATTTCTATTTCTCCTTCCTGCAGTACTTTAAGCCTCACTGCCAATTTACAGAGCACAGAATAAAACAGAAGAGAATAAAATGATATGGGTTGCAGCTTCCCAGTTGTAACGAGCAAAAGGATAGGAGCCTCAGACTCTTAGTTCTGAACCCTGCCTGGGTTCCTCCCCAGCTCTGTGACTTTGACCAAGTTATTTGATGTCATGAGCTTCAATTTCCTCATATACAGTAAGTCCTCACTTAACATCATTGATAATTTCTTGGAAACGGTGACTTTAAGAGAATCAACTATGAGAAAACCAATTTTCCCATAGGCGAATTGATGTTAAAAATACTTAGCTTCTTACGGCATATTTCTGGTCACACAAACATCACCAAACTTCTAGATAAAGACCAAAACATTAAACATTGAAATAAATGCGAGCAATACATACATTTAGGAAGATTAATTAAAACAAGTAAAATAATTGTTATATTTACTGAGTTATTTTAGTTCAGGGCCTTGGGTGGCCGGAGTATACCCCAGCAGCTCAGGGCACAATGTGGAACCAGCCCTGGACAAGACGCCCTCCAATCTCAGGGTACACTCACACCAGGACACTTTAGACATACCAGTTAGCCCAACATGCACATCTTTGGGATATGGGAAAAAACTGGAGGGCCTGGAGAAAACCTACAACAGACATGGGGAGAATGTGGGAACTCCACACGGTCAGTGTTAGAACAAAAAAATGTGTAATGACCTTATAACAAGACCACGTTGAAAGAAGAGAGCTTATTTGAGGACCGGCTGTACAAGGATGGTGATGAGGTTGAGGAGGATGATAACTATCTCCTAGGATTATTGTGAAAATTACATAAAAAGTGTTTGAAAATTGCTAGCACGCCATCAGGAACATGATAAACACTCAATAAATGTATGCATTTGTTTTCTTTCCTCCTACATATTGTCTTCAGAGTATCTTTTTGGGGGCTCAATATGCCAAATTCCAGTTTGGATAGAAGCTTAGAAAGTTTCAACTTCCTTATAGAGTAGGATTTTAACTAGCTAGATCTTTAATTCTTGCATTCAATGAATGCACAAGCAATTTAGCTAAGTAAAGAGTTTCATGTAACCATTTCCTATAAAAATGTGTTTAAATTTGTTTTTGAGGTTGCAAGAGCATTGATGAACTTTTGGAGGGGGGATTTTGTTTATTTGCTTTTTGCCTTCTTTTTAAAAATACTTACTAATGAGATTGGTAAAGATAGCTGGTCTACCCTTGAGAAAAACCCAAGAACAGGAAAAAGAGATCCACTGAAATTCTTACCTGGAAACTAAGCAATTGAACTGCGGAGCCCTTCTGGTCAAACATAAAATGTATCAAAATGAGACTTGTTCTTCTTTCATGTTCTCTTACAAAGATTTTGTAAGCTGGACTCAGCTAAAAATTAAAAAAATAAGTTTCTTTATGGAAAACTTCCTGTGTCCCTTAATGTCCAATGAAGTATATAAAAAGCTCATTTGTAATTAGGCCCCCAGGCCTTCTAGATTCCAAGATTTTTGAAAACGTGGGGAGGAAAACAAGCCAGCTGTTTTCCCCCCTTCCCCCCCCCCCACCCCCCACCCCCCCTCTGCCGGTCCCGTACCAATAGGTAGAAACTTGAATTTACCTTGGGGGCTTTCAAAAAAACAAAACACTATAGGTATGCTTATTATGTAAATATAATGTAAGAATCCATTTATTGTTTTGGTGATTGATTGGAGCCTTGAAGAAAGGTGAAGATATGCAGTTAAGCATTCTACTTAAAACAAAATGTGATGGCAAATTTCATATGAAGTCTCAAAGACTATGCTATATTTTGGGATAATCACGTTTTTCTCTATGTAGATTTAGATGCCTTTATTTCCATGCATCTATTGCATATACTGGTGAAGTTTTTAACTCATTTATTCAACAAGAATTTACTAAATGCTTACCATGTCCTAGCCAGTGTTCGAGACATGAGAGATATAGCAACTAAAGGAAGTGTAGAAATGTTTGCCTTTAAGGAACTTACATTCTAATATAGAAAGTTAGCCATATTTTAATACTAGTTAGTATATTAATATAGAATATGAGTATATAGTTATTGGCAAAACTTAATGTGTCCAAGACGAGCCTGGGTAAAAGGAATCACTGGCTGTCCTCTCAGTGGAATGCCTTGTCTACTCCAGAGTTTATCGGAATCTATAAGGTGTTCACCTTGAACTGTTTTTGATTGACTAGGCTATTTTACAACTCTGTAGGGACAGAATTGAAGTGTAGAAACTGATAAGAACGCATAATTTCCTATCCATAGCAAAGCAAATGCTTCCTGGGCATAGCAATGAATATTAATTTTCTCAAGTAAAGAATATAAATCTCAATGAACCAGCTTTAACATCTTACTGTTCACTCATTAGTTAATAAACAAAATAAAATCTTTGACTTGTTTTTATTTTATATTTGTATGAGATACACATTAGCATTATGCTGTTTATATATTTATGTACAATATTATATTACTATATAATATGGCATATTATAAGATGATAATGTGCTAGGAAGCAAAACAATATAAGGAAAAGAGATGGAGGGAGAATTCCAGGCAGAGGGAATTGCTAGTGTAAAAGCCCAGAGATGTAAATCTGTCTATGTATTCCCGGAACAGCAAGGAGGCTCAGAAGTTTGGAGCAGATGAGATTGGAGAGATACGGGGGCGGGACAAATCTGATATAGCCTTGGGGGACTTTAAAGTTATGACTTTTCTCTGGGGACCTGGGAAGCACAGATCAGTCTCTAACAGCTCTGGGGCCAGGGCAAGAGGGAAAATAGAGATCCACAGCCACACCCTTGACCTTGCCCCTTCGCCATCTTTTAAGCTTAGAGGTATAGACAGATCTTACTCAGGTTATCCCAGAGAGGACAGACAGAGAAGAGGCTCTAGCAGAAGTGATCTGCTAGAAGTGCTAGAAGTGATCATTTGGTCAGAGAATGCCTGTCCAAGCTACTCATATTGCAGCAGCAGGGCGAGAGAGAAAAGAGAGGGGCTCTGTATGATCACCGTCTCTTGGCTCTTGAAGACAACTGTCAGTGACAGGAGGGGCTGAGTGAGGCTTAAAAATGTGGGGCTCGAGCCAGGGCTGGTAATAGGAAGGAGTGGAGGGTCCCAAGTAGCGTTGTAAAATAAGTGGACCTAAATAGTAAAAGTGTCTTTTTAACTCGGGTGGAGAACATAGCATTAGGGGTAGGGAAAGCAAGGTCTAGACAAGGCGGCAAATTAGGAGGCTACTTCATTAAGTCAGACAAAAAGTGATGGGTGCTTGGAATAAATGGTAGTGGGAGAGTCTGAGAAGAGTTCAGTTTCTGGATATATATTGAAATTAGAAGTAACAAGATTTGACAGAGCCCACATCCAATGTGAGAGAAAGGGAGAATTCAGAGATGACTCTAGAAGTATTGGCTTGGTTATCTGGAAAGAAGGAGGAGTTGCCACAGGATGAGATGAACTTTAGCTAAACATTTTGCTTTCAACATGTTTTTTCTTTTGTTCAAAGGTTAGGCTGAGATAGAGAGGAGTGTGATGATTGATTAGGGTAGTCCTCTTTCTATTTTGAAGCCTGGTTTTTGAGGCTGAGGAGAAATTCTTTTTTGTTGTTTTGGAGATGGAATCTCACTCTGTCACCCAGGCTGGAGTCAGTGGTGTGACCCTGGCTCATTGCAACCTCTGCCTCCCGGTTCAAGCAATTCTTCTGCCTCAGCCTCCTGAGTAGCTGGGATTACAGGCACCCACCACCACGCCCAGCTAATTTTTGTATTTTTAATAGAGACAGGGTTTCACCATGCTGGTCTTGAATCCCTGACCTCAGGTGATCCACTTGCCTCGGCTTCCCAAAGTGCTGGGATTACAGGTGTGAGCCACCGGGCCCACCAGGAGAAATTTTTATTTGGAGGAGGAGCCTATCAAAATGATAGAAATCTGGGAGTGAAGCTGTGGTGTCACCCTTCTTGGCTTGGGAGACTGGGAGCACAACTAGTCATAGTCAAAGTTGTTTCTCTCTTTCAATTTTTCCCCAAATTCAAGTAAAATCTCTTAAAGGTGGAAATCAGTCTTCACTATCACTCTGGGGAATTGGGACAAGGGCCTGTGTTCAAATTTGAGGCAAAGCAATGTAGAAGAAAATAAATAAATAAATAACATCTTGAAAGACTCCATGCCTAAGATGGCAAGGGGTAACCTGCCGTGACCTTCTGATAAGACCACAGAATCCATTCAAGGCAAGATGTCTCCTCAGATGAAAATGGCAACAGAGTGAAACCGCAGCTCATTCTTGGGGAGGGAAGCCCCAGCTCAATCCTGGATTTCCCACAGTCAATCAGCATGGATGCTGACACTCTTGTACCATGGGCAGTGAATCCTCATAGACTGATACCATCAAGAAGACACTTGCGGCCAGGTGCAGTGGCTCATGCCTGTAATCCCAGCACTTTGTGAGGCTGAGGCGGGTGGATCACCCAATGCCAGGAGTTTGAGACCATCCTGGCCAACATGGTGAAACCCCATCTCTACTAAAAATACAAAAAATTAGCCAGGAATGGTGGCGGGTGCGTGTAATCCCAGCTATTTGGGAGGCTGAGGCGGGAGAATCACTTGATCCCGGGAGGCGTAGGTTGCAGTGAGCCGAGATTGTGCCACTCCACTCCAGCCTGGGCAATAAGAGCAAAACATCTTCTCAAAAAAAAAAAAAAAAAAAAAAGACACTTGCCTTAGTTCACAATTAATGAGAAATCATGGTGCAGAACCAAAAATAGAACTGTTTGAACTAAAAAATATTATTTAAAAAAAAATGAACTGGAACAATACAAACAATAAAATGCAAGGTGAGTTTTGGAGTTTTGTGCCTGTATCTGTAGATCGCCCAGAATACAGTCTGTGAGCAGACACACACATTGGATCGACCCATGAGGAGCCTGTGTATTTATTTCAGGAAACCTTATCAGAAGACAAAATCAAGACACACTGGGAACCCCCTCACTCCTTTTCACACATTCTTGGAAATGTGCTAATTATTCAATCTTGTATATGAAGGTTTTATAAGATTTTTCTCTATGCAGTGTTTTTAGTTATAGCTCAATCGATCTATAAAAATATTTTGTCCTAATGATTCAGTATGTCTGACTTATGACGTTAAACTTTCTTCTGGGTCAGTTAATCTGCCTTTTGCTTTCTTCTTTGGTTGTCTATATGTCATTCCTCCTAGCTTGAAATGGAACAGCCTGCACCACTGTCAATTCTGTACCATTCATAAAACATTTTCCATTTTCCAGGCTTATACTTATAGCTCAGGCTTGCTTTTCCTCTCTAAACTGAAAGGTAACATTTATTGACATGCAATGATTCTATATTTTTATCTGCTGTTTCAGAAGGGCTTGCAAGTCATGGTGCATTAATTTCCTGCAGCTGCCAAAACAATTTATCATGAATTTGGTAGCTTAAAACAAAACAAAACAAAATTCTCTCACAGTTCTAGAGGCCAGAAGTCCAAAAACAGGGTATCCACAGGGTTATGCTGACTCCAAAGTCTCTAGGAGAGAATCTTTTCTTATCCCCTGCAGCTCTGGTGGCTCCAGGCATTCCCTGATTTGTGGCCCATCACTCCAGTCTGCCTTAGTCTTCACAGGGACTTCTACTGTAGTCCACATCCTCTCTCTTCTGTCTGCCTTCAATCTCCCTCTGTCTTTTCCTGATATTTGTCATTAGATTAGGGTTCAATTACATAATCCAAGATGAACCCATCTCAAGATTTTTAACTTACTTAGATTTGTTTAGATTCTTTTTCCAAATAAGGTCACATTTATGGGTTATAAGGTTTAGGACATGGACATATCTTTTTAGAAGCCACAATTCAACTCACAGCACTTACTGGGTGAATGATCTCTGCTCCCAGGTCTTTGTTACTACAGCGGCTATTGGTTATCAAAAGTGATGTTGCCAATGTGAATTTCAGGAAGTAACAGGCATCACTGGGTTCCAGGATGAGCAGCTATTGGTATAAGTCTGCTCTTCATTAAGTACCTGCATTTAAACCATCCTTGGCTAAACATAAATGTCCCCTTTTTTTTTTTGTAAACTTATAAACCAGGGGCATATAGTATGTTAAATAGAAATTGTTCACTTAAGAATCATACCCAGTATTGATTAGATTTATATAGTCTTTCTGTATTTCCTATTTTTTTCAGAGTAGAAAACACTTGAAATTTCAACAATGTACAGCAGGTTGTCAGATTTAGCAGGTATCCAAAGGAATTGTGAAACTTCACTGAAGGTAAGTATTTTCTGGTATGATGTCTCTAATACTTCAAAGAAAGATTTCAGCTGGGCACATTATTACTACAGCAGACAAGGGCATAGTGACCACAAGCTGTAATTGATTTGGACTGAAACCTTCCAAGAGATAGAAAGCCATAACTTGAATTCAGGAATAGTAAATGAGTCTATTAGTTAAGATGGCAACACTGTAAATAAATATAGCAATATGAGCCTTCCATTTTAAACAAGCTTTATTAATTATGTGAATTAGAAGAGTCAGTCCTCAAATGCTCATCTATAACTTTCATTGGCCAGATGGGTTATAGTCCCAATAGCACACTTTGACTCAGAGTATGTTCATGTGTATGTCTGTGTGCTAACATATGCTCATCATTTAGACATGTGCAATGCACTCCGTCTTCTGTAAGAAATGACTTGTGAGTGGCTGAAATTTGAAACACATGTTGTTGCCATAATAAGATAGGGTACCAAGGAAGAATTTACTAATGTGATTAGCAAAGATCTAGGGGTCTCTAAGCAATTCTATTACATGTAGACGTTCTGGTGCAAGGACATGAAAATTGATGAATGGTTTTGATTTAGAAGTATAAAACTCTAATTATAGCACAGAAATGAGTTATAAATCTATTAAGAAATATAAATGTCAGAATGCATAGGATTTTGAGACATCTCAACCACACTTAAATATAGTGGATTAGGAATGCTCTACAAGGGATAGTAAACTATCTAGTTCAAAAAAACAAGGAAATTTGGAGTATTCCCCTCTCCATCACATGAATTAATTATGGCCAATATTACAAGTTCTCTAAGTCTTAAGGATCTAAGTTTCATTTACAATGAAAAATGTTTCCATTTAAACTAGGTTTAGTAACTGAATCCCTGAGGCAATGCCTGAAATCCACCATGAAAGTATAAAAGAAAGATACCTATGAGATTTCCTTATAGTTGTAATTTAGACAAGAAGTAGCTGTTCTGCGGGGTTGGGCAAAGGAACTGCAAAGATGGGAAATTAGTGGTGGTGGTGGGGTTTCTTTAGGAACCTGGCATATGAAAAGAATCCACATATTATCTCTTGAGGAAGCAAGTTGAAGACTGAGACAAACGTAGAACTCCAAGGACTTAGACTCCCTTGTTTTTGTACTTTCCTCTGCAGAGCTGACATAACTAAAATAATTTCCACTGACAGTTATGGCCCTCCAAGAGAAGCAAAGAAATTGACACTATGCCGGTTGCCTAGGTTAATGTACTCTTGCAATGGGATATTACGGGGGATGAAAGAGACAGGTTGATTGAGGCATTAAGCCTTCTGATTTTTTTCACTTGGCTTGAAGGAATGCCAAGGAGGCCCCATCATGAATATCATCTGAAAAATCATGCTAAATAGTACCATAAGGTATGATAACTTAGAAGGTGGTTTTCAAACTGTCTTATGCCCCAGACTCCAAATAATTTTCTGGGAACAAGTTACATCTATAGTAGAAATCATTATTTGAGAAGCAGTAGAGCCTGGACCTGGAAACTCATTTCACTTCTCCCTCACCTCAGCTCCACCTCCCCTGGGGTCCCCAGAGGCAGAATTGTAACTCCCCATGAAACATTGTTTGGGTTTGAAAAATCGCTCATCTACCAGGAAGATCAAGGGAAATGCTGCCTTAGGCTTAGGAAATGATTTTATCTCCTCTTTTTCTCTTTTGTTCTCCTGTCACGTCGTCCTCCTTTTTCTTTTTGTCTCTCTTTTTCTTGACACTTTTGTTTTAAAAGTTTGGTGTGTCATTTTTCCCGAAATTACATAATCGTAATAACTTGACTTTTAAGGTTAGCTCAGTCTAACCCTTGGGAGAAGGAGTTTCGTATTTTGTTGTATACCACAATCATGTCATCAGAGCTTGGCCTGTAGTCCATTATCACCTCTTCAGCCTCGTTTTTCCTCTGGAAAACCAGATTTCTGTGGTCTTGACTGTGAAGACTTCCTAATCCCCTTCAGTAAGGTAGTTTTTCCTCTCCCTCTTACTAGAGTTCAAATTCATTGTTTTCCTGCTCATGTCCTTGGTCATTCTCTCTCTCTCTTCTTAATAGTTGGTATAGAATCTGATGCAGAAAACCCAGTAGGTATTATTATTTTGTAAGTAATACCCAATCTTTTCAAAATCAAAATTCTTATAAAATAAAATAAAGTAAGTAATAGTGAGAACTCTAATCCCAAGTAAGTTCAAGTCATAATCGGTATATGCACGTTCAGTAACTCTAACTCTTTTACTTCATCTAACTCTTTTGCTCCCAGTCACTATTTACAACAGCAAAACAAATTAAAAATAGTAAATCATAGAAGAGAAGTGTGCCCACTATGACTCTACAGAAAGCGTGTTTCTCGAGGGCAACAAGCCTAGGAATGTTTCATTAGTATACTCTGCTGTGTGCACCTAAGCTCTTAATGCTCAGCACAATTGAATGCTGATGTGCGTTGAGCCAGATCACTTTCAAAGTCTTATTGGGAACTGAGCCCTGGCTTATTAAGGTGCTGTCTCTCATTATTGCTGCAGCCTCTGCAGATGGAGAAAACACACCCTTTACACTTGTAGACAATCCCTGTATTATTTTCCTTCTGGGTAGTCTTGCCTTCATTATACATGGACATACTCATGGAATTTATACTACCATAGTGCTTCTTTTTCCTCATCATACAACATGGTCTGGTGATCTGCTGAGTAAGTACCAGGAGTAGGGAAGTTAGTCACCCCTAGGATTTTAGCAGGAAAGGCAGAGTGCTTTGCCAAGCCTCCCTTGGGCAGGACTGTCTCTGCATTCACGGCTGTGTCTTCCCAACCTGTGTTCTCCAGTAGGAAAGAATGTTTAACACTGATGCTCTACTGTGGCCTGACATGCATTCTTCTGACTGAATGAGGAACCATCTTGTCTATCCACATTTAAGTGTGGAAGAAAAAATACTAAAATAGATCCAAGAAAAATTCTTCTCCAAACTCCTTAGATTTGTGGCTAGTGCTCTCCTGAAAGAATAATGAAGTTGTTCATTAAGTGCCTGGTATGCTCCTAGGAGCTGGCTTTGGTTCCATGGAATGGGGATGAGGGTAGAGAAAAAGCCACAGTCCTCTCTGCCAGAGAACAGACACGGCTGACCTTTCCAGTGGACAGATGTGCCTGTTCTCTGGCAGAAAAGACTGTGGCTTTTTCTCTACACCCATCTCCGCCCAACTGCCTGCCCCAGTTTCAGGAATGGCACCATTAGAGTTTAATTCCTTTGGGTCTGGAAGGCTTTTTAGTCTAAAAACAGTCCATATTAACCCCTCCCCACAATAAAATGTAGATATATGTACCCTTGGGATTGTTCAGTTCAGTAAGATCAAAGAACAGTGGAAATATTTAGGTGTCCTAAATTATAAATGGGGCGAATGTTTATTATCTTTTTCTAGCAAGACTTCTGAGTTTATCTTCATCAATTTGAGCAAAAAATTTAAAATACAATCTCCTACAAGGTAGGGCGTTAGTTCATTTCTTTTCTTTGTACAGAGGCCGTCATAAGAATGTTCATGAGATTCTATGTAAGTGGCTCTTAGAAATCTGGGGTTGGAAAGCAAAGCCCTTAAATGCCTTCTAATAATTATCCACAAGTGGAATACACTGGCATCCATTAAAAATTACAGAGGTTATTCCAATATGAAAAACTAGTTTTGCAATTTTGTTTACTATGATGAGTTTCATTTTAAATTGAAATTAAAATGTGTTAGTTCCTATTGATACAGTCTCAAGTATTGTCAAAACCAACAAACACATTAGAAAGCTATCTAAGACAAAGCTGAAATAGAAAGAGACAAACACAAATACTGAATGGTTGAAGCATAATGGAGCTCTCTTTTTGTTGAATCTATGATACAGCGGTAAAAACTAGCTTTGCAAAATTACGACATGAGAGTGTATTTCCTATTCTTTGGTTTGATTTCTGTTAGGTGTTTGAAGCATATTACATTCTTTCTGGGTGTTCACACTATCAATATTTGCAGTGGGAAGATCAATGTTAGACATTGGGTGAAGGACTCTGTATATAGGTAATGAAGAAACACCTATAAATTGTCTTCCCTCCCGACTTTTCTCCCTTCAGCGAATGCTCTGTTCTTTTATCCATGAGGGGCCATTTCTGGTGACCTACTTATACATTTGGGATGTGTTATAGAATGAATGCCAACTGGCCTGCCGACCAAGCTGGAAGATACACACACCCAGAGGACTCTATGGTAGCACTGGGCATAAAAAACATGCCTCCTGGAAGTGTGCCTGCCAGCATTCTCCGGTTATTTTATAAGACATGGCCTTTCTTGAATGTATCTACAGTTCAGAGAAAATTCAGCCTGCAACTGGAACCCTGAATTCACTCAGGAAATGTGGCAGTAATATGTGAGACATATTTCTGGTTCTGAGCCAGCCTCGTAGGCACAGTAACACCAGGGACTTAAGGTTGAAAATGTGGTTTCAATAAGAATGTTCTCAAGGAAATGTGTGTATTGGAGATAATTTAGATCTACGTGGAGACTTGCACAGACCTCTACAAAGCCCTAGGAAGAATATCCGAGATCTGTATAACATAAAAACTGTGAGTCTAGTAAAAAGCTCAGATTCCTTATTAGAGCCTTTCCTTCTTTGCTCAGTATTACAGGCTGCCAGATAGTGTAGTTTCTCTGGAAAATCTTGATTTTTATTAAGGGCTTATCTAGAACAAATTATATGACAGATAAAAAAATTGAATCATGAAATTTTTAACTACTAAGTAGCTTTAGAGTATATGTAAATCATAAATTATTTTATATACACATACACACACACTCTTCACTTATAAAACACAAATCAGTAAATAATCTTCTCCCTTATAAAGAACACTAAAAATTAGTCTATAACTTCCTGGGGCAAAGCAGAAATTTTCACATTTAAAAGGTTTGTGTTAGCTCTCATAGCTTTAAAAACACAAAACAGACAAACAAAACACTCCAGATGGTTTTGAGGGGTGTACACTACAAAGCTGAGACAGTAATAAGAATCTTTATCCAGGTGAGGTACAGCACATATTCTATCAACGTTTTTGCCATTTTCTGTGAGTTTAGGTTTGGCACATGCGATCAGAACTCAATGCCTTTTCGTGTTGCTGTTTTTGGGAAAGAGAAGGATCTGATTGTAGTTAGAAGTTTGGCTCCAGAGCAATGAGATGTGTTGAACCTCAGAAAATCTCAGACAGGAAGATTAGTTCCTCTATAAGTATTCAAAGGTTTATGGACACAAAGCTCATCTGAACTCTCTAAACCTATGGAGTCTGCCAAGTTGGCTAGAATAACTGACAGGATTGGGCTTTTTCCCAAGCCTTCCATCACTTTCACTCTGATCCCTGCCAGAAATCAAACAAGAAAAAGCCTTTCTTGTCGTGTTTTGACACCCCCTGCTTTAGTCCCTGCTATAAACTCGGCATCCAAATATTTCAGCATATCAACTGAAGGTTGATAATATACATGGGCAAAGGTTCAAAGGGTGGCTAAGAGCCTGAAAAAGGGTCACTCAACCTTACATAAATAACATACTCCGAGCATACATTACAAAGTGACTGATTCCAGGTCCAGCCATGTTACCGGAGTGTTTTCCTATAGCCTGGATGTCTCCAGTAGCACTATGCTGGGTGTAATGTCCAGTTTAATAGGCATACTCTATGGCTGCAAAAAAATACTATCTGTAATGGAAAATTTTCCTTCTATGTGAAAGAAAAAGTTTTAGAAAACAAAAACCAGCATTCAGTAAATCGGTTAGGTATGAATATTTCCCTAGTCATGGTATATATTGGTCATAGAAAAAGCTAACATTTTTTTCTTTCTTTTTTATTGAGATGGGATCTGCTAAGTTGCCTAGGCTGGTCTTAAGCCCCTGGGGCTCAAATGATATTCCTGTGTAGCTGAGATTACAGGTGCACAGCACTGCACCCTGCTTTAACATTTCATTCTTTAATTAAACTTTTAACACATTTTATACACACTGATTTCTCATGTGCACTGCAGCTATATTTTATTTCCTTCCCACTTAATATTTGACCTTAGTTTATCTAATCTGACAGCTTAATCCATAGTTTAAGGAGCTATATCTCTGATTTACCTAAAGGTAAATATTGTCATCAGTTGCTTCTACCACAAGAATATATTGGACTTAATATTATTTCCATTATGTTACAAACTAATGGATCTCTGCCTTATCTAGGGTATTCAGCACCAAGACAGCTATGGACCACCATATATACACAATGCAACATTATGACCAAAGATCCCTTTTCAAGTGTTTTCAAAACTGCAGATTATAACTGATATACTCATAAAGTCAGTTTATTGGGTGACAAACAGACATTTTGAAAGTGAAATAGAGTAACCTAAACTAGGATAGAAAACATCAGAGTTCATCCTATGTAGCATGAGTAACCAAGCAACTGGTGTCATTATAGAATTCTGCAGTAGTTACGTATGTGTGTGCATATATCCTAGTCATCATGTAGAATGTGTTCTTTCCCAAGAATCACAGTCCAAAAGTTTGAGAGCCATTGATCTAGTGAGGCATCTAGCTACTCTTGGTTTAAATTTTTATTTATGTCTATTCTCACCACAGAGGACAGAGTGGGGGACCTTTTCAAATCTAAGTCAGTCCAGGTTTGCTCATTTGCTCAGAACCCACCAATGACTTCCCCCTTTAACTCCCAGGCACTTCTGAGCCAGAAGCTCTCCACTGTCCCCTTCATGTGCTCAGTCCCAGTCATGAATGACTCCACTCTGGTCCTCAAATGCATCGGGTGTGAGCCTGCCTCAGCCCTAGCCCAGGTTGTTCTCTTGGCTGGGATTATCTTTTCCAAGATCTGGTTCTTTCTCTCACATCTTTAAATCTTGCTTTAATATCTCTTTGTGTGTGAGGCCTCCCCTGACTATCCTATTTGAAATTGTGACCAATGCCCCTGGCTAGCCCTATGCACCCCCTTCCTCTGCCCTATTTTTTCAGTGACACTTACCACCATCCTGTATGATTGACTTGTTGTGACATTTAGTCTCTGTGTCTCTCAACTAAGAAGTGAACTCCAGAAAGACAAGAATTTCTTCTGTTCATGCCTATAGACCTTTGATACTTAAACCTGTGCATTCTACAAAGTAAGCACTTAATTTCTATTTGTGGAATTCACTGCATTTAGGGAAGAACTGCATTAAAATCCATGAACTGGAGCACTTTTCTTTGCCTGCAGGCAATTGGAGGTGTTAGAGATCTTCAAACTGTGCCTAATTCCCATTAATTCCAGCTCATCCCTCTATTCTGCTATGGAGTGGAATTCATGAGTGTCCGCCGATGGCTCATGCTAAGCCGAGAGACTGACTAGATGAAAGGCACATATCATAGCAAATAAATTCACACTTTCTGATCACCGACAGTGTCCTTTTGTGCTTTAGTCCCCACTGACTTTTGTAGTCTCATTCCTCATTTCCCCTGGCTCTTCACAGACTCCACCTGCGTACCCAGAACCTATTTTCTAGACCCAGTGCAGCAACTGTAGTTGTCTGTCTACACTGTCTTCATGATTTCATACTTTTAAACATACTATTCCCATTGCCTGGTGGGAATGAGATTTTCTTGCCCTTTGCCATTTGCAGAACTTTTATTTATTTATCTAGAATAGAAACTTTCCCTAATTTGTGGACCATTTTCTGGCCTGCCATCCAGGTGTTCTTGGTGCTCAGGAGACAGCCTGGTTGAGTAGAGAGAGGACAAGGCAAGACGAACCAAACTTTGCTGTATACTAGCTTTGTGAACTTAGCAAAGTACTTTTGCCTCAGTTTTCTCACCTGTTGAGTGGGAGAATAGGGCTATTTTATGGGGCTGTCTTAAACTTATTGAAATGGCATTGCCAAGCCTGATGCCAGTGTGTGGCAATGGTGGGGGGATGTGTCACTCTCCTCTCCCCTCTTCTGAAACACTGTGTGCACATCCCTGTCACCACTCATCCACTCTGGGCAGTTAGTGGTTTATTTCTCAGTCTCCTATAATTGACTGAAGTTCCTGAAAACCATGACCAGGTTCTACTCATGTTTGCATTGCAGGACGCAGCAAAGCTCCAGGCATAGCACAGGTGCTCAGTCGATGTTTGTGTAATAGAAAGGTGATGACAATGAAATTAATAATTATAAATGGCTAGCATTTATTAAGGGCTATTGAGTCAGTATGTCACATGGATCACCTCTTGTATTCCTCACAACAATTCTGCAAGCCTGTGTTCCTTCTTATTCTCCCCATCTTACAGATGAAGTAACTAATTCTCAGAGAGTTTAAATAACTTGCCCAAAGGCACAGAGCTCTGATGGAATGGAGCTGGAGTTTAAAGCCAGTCAGTGCACTGAATGAGCTTCAAACTATAGACCACACCTCTGACTGGAATTTTCTTATTTCAGGGGTAAGCCCTTGGTCAATCCTGATGCTATTTCCATGGTTCCCCACTCTACATACAAAACAATCCTGCTGGACAGGCCCAGACATCTGGCCAATGGGAACTGGACAAAGCTCCATCTGGAAGCCATCAGCACCTCTCACGGGTCAGCTGTGAGAGATTTTATTTCAAATGACCCAATACATTTCCTCTGCTTCCCCCTCACAGACAAATTTGTTGGCTGCACTGTTCTGATAGTTTAGGGGTAAAGGCCCCACTTAAATGTCAACTTAATCTCAAATCAGTGAGTCCCCAAATGCTATTTGCTATTGTTGGGGCGTATGTTTCCATTTTCCAACCAAATCTACTTCAGAGGCACTCAGATGGCTTCCATGGTTTCCAGGTACTATAGATCTGAGAGCTGAGAGCTCAGACTGGTCCTAATTATGCATTTTTTTTTCTATTCATCTAAACAGCTTAAGGTGGATTGCCTTATTGCACACCACTTTTCTGCTTTCAAGATTAAGAATTTGATGGCACATATTCCCTCTGCTTCCTAAAACTGACCATGGGCCTGAAAGTCAGAGAGTCAGAGATGACCATGAATCCCTTGTAGACAATATTAATCACATCCTTATACTTCACACTTCACTGGAGAGCAAAATGAAGGTGGTGGGGCAAGTGGAGCCATAATGAAGTATTTGATTCCTATTCCACTGTCATAACTCATAGTTATCAACCCAGCCAGAAAATCACAACTGAATACTTAATAAAACGCATTCAGATTCTTTACCCTCAAGATTCAGAGACTTAAAAATCATCAAAGTACACAAACTCCTTATTCTACTCTTAACAGTAACACTTGTCTTGATTCTTATATTTTAATATTCAAAAATACTTTTTTCAGGAAACAAAACATCAGAATCAAAGATGAATTTCCTAAGCACCCAGGGAAGCATCCCTCAAAATTTCAAAAATCTTTCTGATATAATCAGGAAGGAAAGCTTTGAGACCAAACACTCTGTCTATGCAACAACATACAGTTACAATAGAAAATTCATGTTTATTTTTCACATGACTTCTTTTGCTAATGAAAGCACACATTTTCCTAAAGCCCTCTTACCCAAAGAATGTTGTGGCTGCAGTTTTCTTGTAAAATATAATATGATTTTTTAATTAAAAAGTTTTAAATTTTGCATACACATATACACACACACACCTTGGTTTATCTCTCCAAAATCACATCCTAGAAGTGGATTTGTGAATCAAGACATATGCACACTTAAGAAAGCACATCTTTAATCAAATGGCCCTCCAGGAAAATTGTACCAATCTATGCAAACAATAGGAAATGAACTCCAATATTTGAAATGAGAGAAATAGTTACATGGATAAATTATATTCAAAACAAACAATATTTAACACATATCTACCATGTACAACTCCAACTTGTAAGACAATAGGGTCTAGTTATCTTGGTTTAACTTTAGAGCTTAATGGCATGGGGTGGTTTGTATTCTCTTGCTTCCCAGAAAAAAGCACTAAGTGTGATAGGATCAATGGTTGCGATTGCAGGTGTAAGCTGGGACTAAAACTTTCATCCTCTGTGATACCCTCCTTATGCATCCTGATTTTCTAGGCCAGTA
This sequence comes from Homo sapiens, assembly GCF_000001405.40. Lineage (NCBI taxonomy): Eukaryota > Metazoa > Chordata > Mammalia > Primates > Hominidae > Homo > Homo sapiens. The sequence continues at coordinate 41,650,917 of NC_000007.14, read as the reverse complement.
TATTTGATGATTTCTGGATAATCAAAAATTATTGAGCAAATTTAATGGAAAAATATCATGACTGGTGAATTTCAGGCTAAAAAAATAAAGATATGTGATTCCTATATAAAATACCTTGGTATGTCAGCTTTGTAGGCTTATAGAAAATAGTGACTCTCATTTTATTCATTCAGTAGATATTTATTGAGTGCCTACTAGGTATCAAACACTGTGCTACAGGCTTGAGATCCAGTGATGAGCTACATAACTATTGTTCATAGAGTCCGCATCCAGGTAGCTATGGAATCACAAATGTACCAATTGCTATGAAGTACTGTGTGTTATGACAGGGAAAAATAGGGGAATTAGAGCAGATAAAGAGTAGGGACATTTCTGGATAAGTGTCTTTTGAAGGAAGACGAATTAACCAGATCAAAGATGGGAGTTCTGGCAGTTCCTTAAAAGTTTAATTTTGAGTTACAATATGACCTGGCAATTCCACTCCTATGTATGTACCCAAGAAAAATAAAAACACACCTGCACAAAATCTTGTACCTGAAAGTTCATAGCAGTATTATTCATAACAGCTAAAAAGTAAACACAGTTAATGAAGTGATAAATACCATGTGTTATTTCTATACAATGGAATATTATTTGGTAATAAAAAGACATATACTATTGATACATGATACAATGTGGATAAACCTCAAAAACACTATGCTAAATGAAAGAAGCCAGACACAAAGGCCATGTATTATACAGTCCCTTTTATATTAATTGTCTATGATAGACAAATCTGTAAAGACAAAGTATAATAGTAGTTGCCTGAGCTTGAGATGAGGAGGTTGGGGGAAAATGGAGAGTGACTGCCAATGGATACAGAATTTCTTTTGGGGATGATGAAAATGTTTCAGCATGGACTCTAATGATGGCTTGCACAGCTCTGTGAATACACTAAAAACCGCTGAATTTTACATTTTGAGTGGATATATTGTATGAGATGTGAATTATATCTCAATAAAGCTGTAATATTATAAAAAAAGGAAAGGAAAAAAAGGAGCTACTTCGAGAGATTCATTAATCACATGTAAGTCCATTAGTGGAAGCCCGTGAAGAAAGGAGTGGGGGTTGGTTTCCTCTGCCTTGGGCTCCCTGGAAACTCATTTTCCCATGGAAAAAATGAGAATAAAACTCATCAAATTTTACATCAGTCAAGTCACTTTATTATGTGTCATTTTAGCTGCCAAAAAACACAGGTCGGGCTAACATGTAATCATTGATCAGCGGACCTTGTTTCTTATATGCCTCTCCCTCATTTTCTGTTTATATTAGATCATAGCCACAGTGGAGGTTAAGGCGGAGTTACAGGACTTTAAAATGTACTAAAGTTGTCAGTGAACCTTCTAGCATACAGTAAAGGCCTGAGTTTTCCTTTGAGTTTTTGTTAAGTTAGTTACTGCCATGTACGTCATGGTCAGCAAGCAATAGTGGCTGAATATTGAACCGGGTTTTTTCTAAAGTGATGAAAGATCCTCAAGCCATTGTTGAGTTTTTAATTTTTTTCGGATAGTTTATCCATTTAACAACCAAGTATAATGCTGGGAGGTACAATTGTACTAAGAAATTTGGTCCCAGGAGGGGAGATCCTGGGAAAGATCCTGGGGAGATCCTCCAAAATACAAAGCAATGGACTATGGATATGAAATTGCTACAGTCCAAGCATTTTGGAGGAAAACAGAAGGTCCTTCTAACAGTAGCAAAACTTTTTTGGATTCTTTTAAATTTATATGCACTGACATAGGTCATGGATTTTGAATGACTTGTTCAATCACTGGCATGAGATAGGACTGTTCTAAGGAGCTGGAGGTTATCCTTGCCAAGATCTCAGTGGGATATGGCTCTGTATTTGAGGTTGAAGTAGATTCCCTTTGAACTGTCCTAGGATTTTTCTTTTTTCTTTATGCAGTTTTTTTTAAAGAAGAGAAATGTAAATTGCTTTTCCTTATGCCTTGAAAAACTTATTCAAATAAACTGGAAGGAAATATACCATAATTTAAATAGTGGTTATTTATAGTTTACAATAACTTGTTTTGAAATTTTCTGCAATGAAGTTTTATTACATCTGGGTCAGAGAAAAAAAATATGTGCCCTTGAATTTCTCTAGGAAAGTCAATTGTTTATTTGCTTCTTAATTCAAGATAGCATCTGGAATTCTAGTTGCTCTAATGCCCTCAGTTTTCTCTTTATTTATTACATCATACAGCATGGGTTTTGGAGTCAAACAAACTAAGGTTTAAATCTCTCCTTTGGCTGACAGAAGAGAACTAATGTAAGATGCTGCCTCTTGATGCCAAAACCAACTCTGGAGATGAAACAAAAGCAGGACAGGAGTTGATTGTTCTCAGATCTTTAAAACTGAAAAATTCAGGGAGAGACGAATATGGAAAGGAAAAGAAACAGCAGGCAGTAGAAGTGGATCAAGTACCCGAGGGAAGGAAAATTAGTGGGAATTCTGCCTCAAGGGGTGCAAAACAGCAGCTGTGGCAGCTGGGGTGAACAGAGAACATTAAGGTCAGTCTTGCCTTCCTTCCACCCCAGGTCCTTACGGCAGAGAAAAGGTTGATCTTTCTCAGGCAAATGTAAGGGCAAGTTCCCTTAGGGATAAGGGAAATGGAAGGAGGTGGGCCTAGGTTGTAACTTTCTAGGTTTCTCACTTGAACTATACCCCCACAGTGAAACTACTCTGTATGGCATTATAGTAATGAACGCATGTCGTTATGCACTTGTCCAAACCCACAGAGTACACAGCACCAATGGTGAACCCTAATATAAACTCTGAAGGGTGGGTGATAATGACGTGTCAGTGTAGGTCCATCAGCTGCAAATGGACCACTGTGTGCCTGATAGCAGGGAAGGCTGTGTATGTGTGGGAACAGGCAGGATACGGAAACTCTCTATACTTTCTGCTCCACTTTGTTTGAACCTCAAACTGCTCTAAAAAGTAACGTTTACTAGTTTTAAAAGACATAAGGGTTTATTCAATAATTTGAATATTGTTTAATATAAAATTTATCAATTTACCCTCCAGGGTAGAAAACTAGGCTAATGGAAAAATATCTTATTATTATCTCAATCATTATTAAAAATACTTACAATTCAATGTCTATGAATGACATAATTTTTTTAGAAGGACTAGAAGGATATTTTCCTAATTTATTCAATTATTACTTTTAATAGCAAAAGCTGCAATTACTTTCGCACCAACCTAATATTTATTTTAAAAAGCTACGATGAACACCAGTTTTAATAATGAATATTACATACATTCTTTTTAGATAAGGAGTAAGACAAGGATGGCTGCCCTGGTGTTCTTACCATAAACCCTGAAGGTCCTGGCTAAAATGATAACCCATGAAAAAGAAGAACTTTAAGAATTGAGAAGCAAAAGACAGAAGTATTTTATTTGCAGCTAACGTAATCATCTGTACGGAAACCCCAGCAGAACTAACAAATTTATTGGCTATTAGTAAAAAGTAAATTAAGTTGCCAAATAAGATCAACTTATAAGAATCAATAACCTCTTTTCACACTAAGAATAATTGAGCAGAAAATTTACTAGAAAGTAAGACCTAGCCAGGTGCGGTGACTCAAGCCTGTAATCCCAGCACTTTGGGAAGCCGAGGCGGGTGGATTACCTGAGGTAAGGAGTTTGAGACCAGCCTGGCCAACATGGTGAAACCCCATTTCTACTAAAAATACAAAAAAATTAGCAGGGCTTGGTGGCGGGTCTTGTAATCCCAGCTACTCAGGAGACCGAGGCAGGAGAATAGTTTGAGCCCGAGGGGCGGAGGTTTCAGTGAGCTGAGATCTCGCCACTGCACTCCAGCCTGGGCGACAGAGCCAGACTCTGTCTCAAAAAAAGAAAGAAAGTAAGATCCACTTCTCAAAACAGCAGCAACTGTAAAGTAGGTAGGAATTAACCTATTTAAAAAGCACAGAAGAACTTTTTAAAAATAGAGGAAAATATGAAGCACTATTAAAAGAACCAAAACAAGACTGGAATAAATAGAAAGTATAGACCATGTACATGGATGAGGCAACTTAACATTATTTTTCTATCAATTCTTACCAAATTAATCTATACATTCAATGCAATTTCAGGCAAAACTCAAGGAGAGTTTTTTCCAAAAGTGATTCCAAGTGGATATGAAAAGATAAATGTGCCCCTTATGTTAACCAAAGTTTGAAAAGGAAAATGAAAAAAAAATGACCCCAGGATTTGAAGATGGGGTGAGCAGTACACTTGTTCTACAAGTTATTTAGAAAAACTACAAAATTCTTTTAAAAGTAATGTGCTATTGGTATAATAATAAACAGAACCCATGCAATAGACTAGAGATTCTGGTATGTATGGGAACTGGTATAAAAGTGATACCACAAATTGGCGAATAAAAAATGGTTTGCTTAGTAGAAACTCAGGAAAATTGGCTCACTATGTGGAGAAAAATAAAACTCATCATATATAGAAGTGAATTAAATCCTAAATGTGAAAGGCAAAACATAAAATTTAGTAGAAAAAAATGCAAAAGAATATCTTTGTGACTTTTGGATAAAAATTTGTAACTCAGATTCAAAAATCATAAACCATAAAAAGGAAAAATTGATGAATTTCTCTACGTTTGAAGTAATGATTATTCTTAGCTGGGCATGGTGGCATATGCCTGTAGTCCCAGCTACTTGAGAGGCTAAAATGGGAGGACTGCTTGAGCCCAGGAGTTTGAGTCCAACCTGGGCAACTCAACTTTGTAAGAACCCCATCTCTAAAAAAACAAAAATAAAAAAAAGGTAAAGATTATTCTTCAAGGAAGGAATTTTACACAAAAATAACCAATGGATAACAGACTAAGAGAAGACGTTTAATACAAATAAAAAGTTAAGAGCTGGGCACGGCCTCACACATGAAGCCAAGGGGGTAGGATGGCTTGAGGCTAGGAGTTCAAGACCAGCCTGGGCAACATAGCAGGACCCCATCTCTACAAAAATAAAAACAATTAGCTGGGCATGGTAGGGTGTGCCTGTCGCCCCAGCTGCTTGGGAGACTGAGGCAGGAGGATTTGCTTAAGCCCAGGAGGTGGAGGCTGCAGTGAGCCATGATCATGCCGTAGCACTCCAGCCTGGGCAACAGAGCAAGAGCCTCTCTCTAAATAAATAAATATACACAACAAAAAATATAAAAATAAAAACTTTTGGTCCATTGAATGTTATATTTGAGGTTGTTTATTGCTTCCTGGAGGCAACAGTGATTTGGAGAAACATAATAATATTTAGTAAAGAGGAGCGGAACTGCATGATGGAATACTACACAGCTATCAGGAGCCATGAATCAGCTACAGCCTTGTAGCTTGATCGTGAAAACAGTGTGGGGTTAAAGAACAGAGTTGTATCTATAATATAATATCATTTAGACAAATTAAGAAAACTAAGAAAAATTTCAAAGAAACATAGCTGAGGAGCTATCTGAATTACATTAGAATAGTAGCTTTATGGGGGTGATGAATGGCAGTGTGGATGGGGAAATGCTGAGTAAAAAATGAATTTGAACACAAGAGGATCTTGCTAAATTGATAATTAGTGTACCACAAACTGAATGGTAAGAAGAGCTCAAATCTCCATACTACAGGGACACACACACAAATCCCACAAAAATATCCAAATCATTCCTTCGTGCGCTACAGCTGTGGTACTCATGGCTAAGTCACCTCACCTCTCAGAAGGTTAGTTTTCTGGATGATAAAATAATTGCCTTATTCTTTAGAATTATGATTAAATGAGATAAATTATAGCAAGCTCTTAGAACACAACCAGAACACTGGATGGGGTTACATGTCAGCCACTGGGAAGCTGTGTGACTTCCTGGTTTAGGACAGCATCCTTGATGCCTGGCAGGCTTTCTGCTTTCAAAACTTGCTCTGCCAGTGACCAGCTATGAGCTTGTTCAGTTATTTATACTGCTTAAGCCACAGGTCTATTCTCTGTAAAATGGGCTTAGAATAACATAATCTCAGCTGTGCCATGAGGATCACCTATGGTCATGGTAAACAAAGTTGTTAGCTAAGAGCAGGCACAAAATAAAGCCTCAATGAATTATTTTAATTTGTTATTTATTAAAATGTTTAAAATTGAAAATTAGGTTCACTTAAACATTTTATTCAGGCAATGGCTGATGTAAAAATAATAGTGAATCAAGTTTCAATTGTTATCTTTTATTCATCTAATCCAATGGTTCCAAAAATTTTAGTCTCAGGATCCTTTACATTTTTAAAAATTACTGAGACCCCCAAAGAATATTTGTTTATATGGGCACTGTCTATCAATAAGTACCAAATTTCAAATTAAAATTGAGACATTTGAAAATATTTATTAGTTTAGCTAATATTACAGTGACAAACTCTTTACATGCTAACAAAACTAATGCATTTTATGAAAAATAAATTCTACAAAACAAAAGGAAGAGTGAGAAGAGTGATGTTGTTTTACATTTTTGCAAACTCTTAATAGAAAACAGTTGGAAGCTCATCTCTGCTTTGGCATTTAGTCTGTTGTGATATGTTGTTTTGGTTGAAGTATATGAAGAAAATCCAGACATAGATATGTAGTTGGCAAAGATAGGAGTTTTAAAATAGCCTTTTCGGATCACTGTGGATATTCTTCTTTCATGTTGTACCAAAATAAGTGGTAGTTTTCTAAAGGTTAGTTGCAAAACCCACAAATCAGGTGGTACCTGAAATTATATCAACACAATTTTATTTTCTATTAGATTAAAATCCATTGATCTAACTTATACTTTAAATGAATTTTCATATTGCCATGTGATTTTGTATTGCTATGCGTTGGTCATTTGGAAAATATTGGTTCACTGAGTTAATACTGATACATTTCATTAAATGATATAAAAAAATCATATTTGTTAACATAATCACCAAATCTCATCTGGAAATGCTTCAAGTGAAAGGAAGCTGTCTAGCTCGTTGTGGCAGATACACATTTTCCAAAATTCTAATTTTTACTTGAAAGCTCCAATTTTATCATTAACAAATACTGTCAGTTGTTTTCCTTGAAGTGACAGGTTCATCTTTGAGAACATGTCTGCCACATATTAAAGACTGAAGAGCCATGTGGTTTTTTTCAGGTGTTCTTTCAAATAAAATTGGTGTTCCCTGAAAAAAAGCAGCTGCTTCAGCTAGACACCCAATCACACAAGTCCTTTTCTTGAGACAACCATAATACTTTAATATACAGCAAAGGATTTTATGCATATTTTCCATCTCATTATCCAGGATATAAAAACTGTATTCAAATGTTAAGATGTAACATAATTAATAATTTTTATTGCTTCATCAAAGACATTTTACATTTTTTGGTATTATGTATTGTGGTAAAAAGTAGAATGACCACTAGTACAGTTTGGTGTTACTACTTAATTCATACTAAAGTGTCAACAGTCTTACCCACTACTTATTCTACAAATAAGGCTTCACTGGTATTCTTAGAATAATTGTAACCTCATGAACTCCTTGACCCCATCAGGAGTGCTGTGCATCTTATCTGTTGAAATAAGTATTTCCTTCTCATTTCCAAGGTGGTGTCTTCCATCTTTGACATCCAATTTCTACCTATGGTGCAATATGAAGGGAATCTAGGGAAGTGAATTATTTAATGCAGACAGGTGAGAGAAGAACAACAAGAAGAAAGATGCCAAGTGTGTAGGGAAATAAGTTTAGTAGGGCTCTATCACCTTCCCACATAAGAAAAACTGAAGCCTGAAATGCATGAATTATGAGCTTTGGTAAAGGAAAACAGAACACATGCTACTCGACTTATGGTGGGGTTACTTTTTTTTTTTTTTTTGAGATGGATTCTCACTCTGTCACCCAGGCTAGAGTGCAATGATATGAACCTTGCTCATTGCAACCGCTGCCTCCCGGGTTCAAGTGATTCTCCTGCTGCAGCCTCCCAAGTAGCTGGGATTACAGGTGCGCACTACTGTGCCCGGCTAATTTTTGTATCTTAAGTAGAGACAGGGTTTCACTATCTTGGCCAGGCTGGTCTCCAATACCTGACCTCAGGTGATCCACCCATCTTGGCCTCCCAAAGTGCTGGGATTACAGGCGTGAGCCACTGCACCCAGCCAGGTTACATCTTGATAAGCCATTGTTAAGTTGAAAATATCATTAAGTCAAAAATACATTTAAACCTATCGAACATCATGGCTCAGCCCAGCCTACTTTAAACATGCTGGGTACACTTACATTAGCCTAGAGTTGGGCAAAATCATCTAACACAAAGCCTGGTTTATAATAAAGTGTTGAATAGCTCATGTAATTTATTGAATATTGTACTGAAAGTGTAAAACAGAATGGTTGTGTCAGTACTCGAAGTACGGTTTCTACTGAATATGTATTGCTTTCACATCATTGTAAAGTCAAAAAATGTAAGTTGAACCATCCTGAGTTAGGGACCGTCTGTATAACCTGTCTACAATTCTTGCTGATTTTACGTGCAGTGAATAATAGGGCCCAGAGCAATTGGCCTCTCTGTTTAAGGCAGCCTCATCATTGTCATCTGAGCTGCAGAAGGATTAAACAATAAACCTCAAATCCTTCCCCACTGGCAGACCATCCTTCTTCTGTCATTTACAGCAAAGACTCTTGGGTAGAAAGGAAAGGAGATGCATGCACATCCATTAGGACTTTTTAAATGCCTCTTGATACCTCCCTTAAGACAAAGTGCCATTTAGGAGATTCTGATTGCCCACAAGTATCATCACCAATTATCTCCTTTATGAATAGATGCCCACTGTCAGGTTCAACATTCCACACACAGTCCTTATGTTTCAGGAATATATACGTTGTCCCCCACATTTATCTTATTTTCACTCTGCTTTTCCACCATCCCTCCCAGTCTTCCCATTCAACCCTGTAATTATTAGCTGCTTGGTAATGAGGAATGAATCACTTTTTTATGGCTTCTTCACCGTACTTCTGCTAACAGATACCATGCCACATTAACATTATGTTACACACCCTCAAGGAAAGGGTATGACCCCCTCCCATTCACATTGTAACAGATTTGTTACATGGCCAGACCACTAGGCCATGAACCTATTTATCTTGCAGCACCAGGAGCTTAATATATATCCTGCTCTCCCAAACCAGAAGCACTTCAAGAAAAATCAATGTAGAAAACTCCGATAGTGTGCAATCCATTGGAATATTTGACACTTTAACAAAGGAGATAATACATCCCCATCCTTGTTTAATCCTCAGACAAATTAAAATTATTTTAAAAACATAATAAAATAAATCATTTTATTTTAAAACATATTAAATATTATTTACTGTTTTATTAAATATTAAATATTAATGTATATTTAATGCTTTATTAAATATTAAATAATAATGTATTATTGCCATTGTTTAATCCTCAGACAAATTAATATTATTTTAAAAACATATTAAAATAAGTCCTTTCCTTTAGCACTCAACTCCACTTTCATGTACATACACAAAAACTCAGGCAATGCTGAGTTCTAATTGTTTCTCTGACCAGAGACTCCGGATTTGAGACTTCATTGCATTTTCAAACGTGGCCCTGATTTGCATCAAGGAGACACGTTACTAGTGCAGAAGCCCCTGCTGGGAAGACAGACATGGGAATGAGGCAGAGCCATCCCCACTGTGAGGGTGGTAACTGGAGCCTCTTCCGAGTGAGCGTTCACCACAGAGAATGCTTGGAAATTTGATCTCAGAGCAAATTTATCTGAGAATATAGAAAAAGGAAGCAGTTGTTCTTAGACTCAAGATCCATCCAAGAAAGGCAATTCGGCAGTAGGACAGAGGAAACTTTGTAGTACCCTGTGCTGTTTTAACGTCATATTTTCATTTGTGCTACCCCACTTATGTGCAGTGAACTTCCGCAACCTGGAACACTGACTGGGAATGTAGTCCGGTGGCTAGTTGAGAAGGGGTTAAAGAACGGACAGAGTGTGAGAGATTTAGGGTTGGGCCCCTTCCTGCCGCTCCCCATGTCGTGACTTTGGGAAATGGCAGTACACACTGGCTGTTGGCGTCCTCGTTGTAGAGGAGGCATTAGACCAGACATTTGGCCTGGGTCTGGCACTTGGGTTGAGTAACTTGGCTGAAGTCACCAACGAGGTCATTCTTGAGCTGAGATGAGAATGGTGGACTGGTTCTCTGTCCAGTGCCGTTGCTATGACACTGTGTGGTGGGGAGTGGAGGTGGAAGAACATGAAAGTAGTGAAGGGAATGTGCTCTGGCCATGGCCTGGCCCTGTCACTTAACTGACCACATGTGTGGGCTACTCACTTAACCTCCTTCTGTATAAACATGGATGAACCTTGGCCAGGCGCGGTGGCTCATGCTTGTAATCCCAGCACTTTGGGAGGCCAAGGTGGGCCGATCATGAGGTCAGGAGATCGAGACCATCCTGGCTAACACGGTGAAACCCCGTCTCTACTAAAGATACAAAAAGTTAGCCGGGCGTGGTGGTGGACGCCTGTAGTCCCAGTTACTCGGGAGGCTGAGGCAGGAGAATGGCGTGAACCCGGGAGGTGGAGCTTGCAGTGAGCCGAGATCGCCCCACTGCACTCCAGCCTGGGTGACAGAGCGAGACTCTGTCTCAAAAAAAAAAAAAAAGGATGAACCTCATGAGCCTACCTCCAAAGTCAAAGGAACACAGTGCACCACACATAATAAACGGTCAAAATGTTATCATTATTACTACTGCTACACAAAAGCATCTCCATCATTGTTGTTGAATTTGATGATCTCTCAAAGTATCTCATATTAATTTTCATGTTTCTGCTCTTTTCATGAATGCTATTCTTTAATAAAATAGTTAATTGATATATATTATTAATTATATTTTTCTTACATTAGAAGTCATGCTTTTAAAACAAGAAAGCTAAAAAAAAGAAAAAAAAATGAAAGAGTGCTGGGTGCGGTGGCTCACGCCTGTAATCCCAGCACTTTGGGAGGCTGAGGTGGGTGGATCACCTCAGGTCAGGAGTTTGAGACCAGCTTGACCAACATGGTGAAAACCCATCTCTACCAAAAATACAAAAATCTGCTAGGCGTGGTAGCACACACCTGTAGTCCCAGCTACTCGACAGGCTGAGGCAGGAGAATCGCTTGAACACGGGAGGCGGAGGTTGCAGTGAACCGAGATAGGGCCACTGCACTCCAGCCTGGGTGAGGAGAGAAACTCCTTCTCAAAAAAAATGAAAGAGCAACTAAAAAAAACCTTAATAATTCTACTCAAATGATGATTAATGTCATTTTGATATATTTCTTTCTAGTCTGTTTTCTTCACCCATGCACACTTCTTTAGTGCAATTGTGATCGTAGCATCTGTACATTTTGTGTTTAGAAAAAAAGTAACATGAGTAGATAGCATGTTAGGCTTTAAAAATACCATTTAATGGCTCATAAAAATATGAATTATTTATTTTTTAAATGGCTACATATCACATAGACATGGGTTAATGATGGATTAATCTATTTAATAATGGATTCTATAGAATATTCCTTTTTCATTGGACATTTAAGCTACCTGTAGTTTTTTTCTTTTATAAATATTATTCAATAGCATCCTCATAAACAGACAACAGCATCCTCATAAAACAGATTATTCATATACTTGATTATTTTAAGATAATTTTGGTGTAGAATTACTGATCAAAGTTATGATATCTTTGAATGCTCTTGATAAATATTAACAAATTAATTTTCTGACTGGTTATACCAGGTTACTCCCACTAACTAACTGGTGACAAGAGTAGTTATCTTTCTACACTGTTGATAGCATTTATTATTTTTCTTCTTCTCAGTTTAATTGGCAAAATATTATCATGTTACTTTTGAGTATGTACCATTACCATTAATTAAATATTTTTCTACAGATTTGTTGGTTTTTTGTTTTCTTTTTATTTAAATAGTTTTTCATGTCCATTGTTCATTTTTATACTGAGAAGTAAGTACTTACATTATGACCTGTAAGAGCTATTTAATATTAAAGGCATTATTTATTTGCCTGTCCATTTGTTAATTTTCCACCTGGCTTGTCATTTTTTAATTTAATTTTGTTTATTGAGTCTTGTTAGGCATTTGAAATTCTAATAATTTTTCCTCCTGTGCTTTTATATAAAGAGACTTTGTCCACTTCATTACCTTTTCGGCATCTAAGTCCAATTTTCATTTTTGTAATTTAAATTTTACATTTATTTTGTTAAATTGGTTGGGAATTGAGTTTTGCATAAAGTCTAAAATGAGATTTTACTTGATTTTTTTCAAATAGCTATATTCTCCTCAACAATTTAGTGAATAATTTACCCTTTCCTCATTATTTTGTGATGTTTAGTTTATTATATAAAAAATATGTGTTTAAGAGAGAGAAACCCTCTTATCGAATTCTATTGATACCACTAGTTAATTGGTAAAGCAAGAAAGCTGATTCTAAAATAAAATATGATAAGAAATGGTTCTTATTCTCCTTCCATATTTTTATATGCAAGATTTTGTCAATAATGTGGTTCCAAGGCCTTTTTGAGTATATGTCATTGATTGAAATTCTCAATCCCTTTTTTTGTGTAAATTACATATATTGCATCATTTATATTTTCTTGATTTAGTTACTTTAAAGTAGAAAGAGGATGTACAAAAGCAAACCAAGATAAGAAACCTTGTATTTTTAGTGGCTTAGTTTTGACTACTTTTTTTTTTTTTTTTAGAGAGACAAGGCCTTGCTGTGTTGCCCAGGCTAGAGTGCAGAGTGCACTGGCTATTCACAAGAGAGGTCATATGCACTGTAACTTCGAACTCCTGGTTATATACTTCAAGCAAACCTCTCGCCTCAACCGCCCAAGTTGCTGGGACTAGAGGTGTGAACGACTGCACCTGGGTCGTTTGGCCTAGTCTTTGTAGAGCATGCAACATAGTTTGCAGTTCATCAACAATTCCCCCTTTAACACTCATGTTTCAGTGGTTCCAAATAATAAAATAAAGTAATTATAATATTAAAAGTCAGCTACATAAACAGGTTGTAGAGAGACATCACTGACTTGGGAAGTAAGTAACTCTATGGATGGCAAAATAATTTACACACACACACACACACACACACACACACATTTATTTAGTTTAATCCCTGAGTGTTTTAGGTTCTGGGCACTGGTCATTTTGCTTTATAGAGAGAATGGAGAGTGCTGAATTGCACAAGTTGGTTAAAAGAGCTGTTCACAATATGCACATACATATGTGTGCGAATATGTTTTTGTGTTTATATAGCTCGTTTGTGGCTAGCAGTCCTATTTCAATGGTTTTTCAGCTTTCACACCAGTAAGCAGTGCTTTCATTGTATCTTTAAAATATGTTTTATAGCTTTGAGAACTCCTATACTATTTATTTTTTTTAATGTTCTTAGTGAGACTCCCCTGTGAAATCTTCCAGATGAATTTTAGAATAATTTAGAATTTAGAATAGTTTTCCAAACTTCCATGAAAAAAAAAATCCCAATGGGATCTTGATTGTAATTATATCAAGGCTATATAATAGCTGGAAGAATTTTTTTTTTCCCATAGGCATATGAGTCAGTGACTCAGTGAATTCTTCAGTGATTCAGATCTTGTCAGGAAAATATTCTCATCTATTTACCATATTTAGCCTATTCCTAGGATCTGAGGATACCTTGGTGTGATGGTTAATATTGATTGGATTGAAGGATGCAAAGTATTTTTCCTGGGTGTGTCTGTGAGGGTGTGGCCAAAAGATATTAACATTTGAGTGTGTAGACTGGGAAAGGCAGGCCCACCCTCAATCTGGATGGGCACCATCTAATCAGCTGCCAGCCAGCCAGGCTAGGATAAAAGCAGGCAGAAGAAGATGAAAAGACTGGACTGGCTTAGCCTCCCAGCCTCCATCTTTCTCCTGTGCTGGATGCTTCCTGCCCTCGAACATCAGACTCCAAGTTCTTAGCTGTGAGACTCTTGGTCCTTCAACCACAGACTGAAGGCTGCTCTCTTGGGTTCCCTACTTTTGAGGTTTTGGGACTCGGACTGGCTTCCTTGCTCCTCAGCTTGCCGACGGCCTATTGTGGGACCTTACCTTGTGATTGTGTGATTCAATAGGCCTTATAAACTCCCCTTTATATATACATCTATCCTATTAGTTCTGTCCCTCTAGAGAACCCTAACTAATAAACTTGGTCAACCAGGGAACATGTTGCTGTCCATGTGGATGGAAAAGGCTGTCTGCAGTCCCCTCTTGTCCTGTATTTCTCAGCAAAGTCTCCATTTACCCTTCCTCCTGCAACCAGCTCCCTTCTCTAAACAGCACCCTTCATGCAGAAAGCTCTCCACAGGCACCTTATTGTTATGTTTCTTTTCAATTGAACTCAGTTAAAGGGTTCTGTAATAATGCTTCAGCTCCAACTCCTCTCTGGGATATTTTCATTGTGATCAGATTATTAGATACTAAAAAGTGTTCAGAATTACAATAGCATAATTATATGCTAGCATTTGAAATTAAGATGTCAAGAAGACTGGGTCAGAGGAAAAGGCTTTGGCCTGAGTTAATATACAGAGTCATGCTGCTATCTTGGGGAAGTAACTTTTGTCTCCTGATTTCCAGTTTCCTTGTGTGTAAAATGAGGTGACTACAATTACTTAACGTTTCCTTTTGGTTCTAGTATTTGTAGTGAACAGAAATCTTAGGCCATAAATCCGTAAGTTTAAGTACTATATCTTTACATTTCTATAGCTTATCTCAAATTCTATTTTCTGCTCCCAATCTGCTGGTGGACACACAATTCATAGGACGTGTCCTCATTCTCTTTTTCTGGGCCTGTCCTTATGGTCCTGGGTTTTTGGAGACAGTGTGGATAGTGGGAGAAACACCCCCCAACTTTGTACAAATTGGAAAAAGAACTCCTAGCCAGGCGCAGTGGCCTAGGCCTGTACTCCCAGCACTTTGGGAGGCTAAGGTAGGTGGATCACTTGAGGTCAGGAATTTGAGATCAGCCTGTCCAACATGGTGAAACCCTGTCTCTACTGAAAATACAAAATATTAGCCAGACATGGTGGTGGGTGCCGGTAATCCTAGCTACTCGGGAGGCTGAGGCAAGAAAGTTGCTTGAGCCCAGGATGTGGAGGTTGCAGTGAACTGAGATCATGCCGCTACACTCCAGTCTGAGCAACAGAGCAAAACTCCTTCTCAAAAAAAAAAAAAAAAAAAAAAAAAGACTCTTTATGGAAAGATTTTTTTTTTTCCAAGGATGCTTTTCCCCCACTGTTGTAGGTTCAGATCCACAGCCACAGAGTAGTAATCAGGTCAGGGGCTCAATTCTTGGTGAAGTTAGATCCCCTGGGAAGGCACGCAGCAGGCACTGAACTGGGCCAGTACCCCACACACTGCTTCCTGGACATATGCCTGGAGTCAGTGGGTGGCAAGGCCATGGAGATGTGAAATGGGTCTTTGAGAAAGGGCCCTGGTGCTCTGCTTCCCTAGCCGAGTTCATGGGAGCTGGCCAGACTACAGAGACAAGATGGCCTGTTGCAGGCACTACGCTGAGGCAGAGGACATGGGCCACCTTACAGAGATCTCAATTTCACAGCTTGGCACAGTTCAGAATGCGAGTCCAGTAAGCACTAGTACAACAAAAGGAGACTTCTCTGCAGTCTCACCATCCACCTACTCCAAGGCTATGTACAGGAAGTGGCCATTGAGTTTCGACCTTCTGTCCCCGCCAGTATGCCTGCTGCCCACACTGGTCACACAGGGCCCAGCTTAACAAAAGTGGGGAGAGGCATATTGGTCTTTCCAAATACACACTTCTTGAACTTAGCTGAATTGTAATGATTATTGCATTCTTGTAACTTATCATCTCCAAGGACTATGTTTTGCATGCTTATCTCTTATATTACATTTTCTGTTCCCACTTGACTGCGGCACCCAGGGCTAGCTTATGAAGAAGGCAGAATAGACACTTGTCCATAATTGTGTGCACTTAGAAAATCAGTTTAGACTAATGAAATTGGCATTTTTGTGGGGCAAAATGGTTCAATGTTGGTGATTTTATGATTCAACTGAAACAGATTTATGAAATTAGTGGTACAATAAAAAACAGAAGTGTAAATTTGTAATTCTCTCTTATGTCTACATAGTCCCTTTCACCTCCTTTATTTGATGAAGTTGTTTGGTCCTATCCTCATAGCTTCAGGGGATGGATGTGACAGGACAGAGTTCCCTCAGGCTTTGGTGTCTGTCCCCAAAGCCCAGGCCCTTAGGGCAGTGGTTTTCAACTGGGTGAAAGTCGGTGGAGTAGGGGCAAGTGTTGAGTGTTGCAACTAGAAAGGAGGGGTGCTACTGGCATCTCATGGGTAGAGGCCAGAAATACTGCACATAAAAACTAGATGCATATAAAATCTCCCTTCACAACGAAGAAGTATCTGGCCCAAAAGGTCAACTGTGTTGAGGTTGAGAACCCCAGTCTTAGGGGAACTTAGGGAACTCAGGAATAAACAAAATATTTTGGAGAAGCATCAAAGAAGGACAGATTCCCTCCTTCCCACGCAGGCTCCTTGTTCTACCAACACTAGAAAAAATATGTCAAACAGGGGGTGAGAGAGATGGGCTGGGCATCTTCTCTGTCCTCTAGAAATTTATTCCAAATTTGAGTGCAGTAAGCATTAGTGGAACTACACAAGTCTGCTGGATGCATTTGTGAAACATTTCAGAATAAAGTGTGACATTAGTATTTCAGTTTGATTCATTCTTAGTGATTACTTGTAGTCACTGACGACAAGTGGTTTCTGGATGCCACTCTCTCTGGGGTTTGGATGCTGCTGCATTCAGGAACTGAGTGTCTAGGAGACTGAGAACCTCTAGAAGAACTTCCAGGCTGCTAGCAGGATCTTGGAGAGTTCATCTCTGATTTTAACCGGCACAGGTTTCTCAACTGCTCAGATTTTGACACGTGTTTATCTGAAGTAGAATTAACAAACAGTCCTGTTCAATCATTAATCCAGCACCTCACATTTAGAGCATGTACCCAGCTTTCCATTAATCTTCTCTATCTTTTCATGGCAGCAGGTGAAAAATATAATTGTAGGAAAGTATAATTGCCTTTAAATTTTATCACACATCAGTAAAGGATCTAGAAGATTTGGGGTAAGAAATTACAAATGCAAGAATGATGTGCATATTTAAGTGTAAATATTCAAATTAACTTGTTTTGTATCTATTTACATAAAGATTCTCTAATTTTCAACTTTAAAATATCTGAACATTTTTCTAATATTAACAAAAAATATTTTCCTAAGTGCCCTTAAACTAAAATGAGCTTTTTTTTTTTTTTTTAAGAATGCTTTTGAGTGTACTGGCTAGGAGAAGAAGAAATAGAAATGGGCAAAGCTTTCCATAAAGAAAGCCAGTTTTTTTTTCAGAGAATATAAAATTCTTCCCATTCATGACTTTATGTAAAAAAATAAATTGGAAGAGACCAATGTTACAGACACTTCTATTTCAGCGAAGAGATTCTAACATTAACTGTGATGATTATCCAAGTGTGCACTGGGCTGGACTCACTAAACAGTAAGGAATTTTGCAAGTCAGTTGTTAAATGCAGCCATTATTAAAAATTAAACTATGTAAATTTAGAATTAAATAAATTATTTTAGAGACAAAGGTAATAAATATTCCAAGCATATAACTGACTATTTTATTATATTTCACCATTATCTTTTTTGATCTATATGGTGGATATATGATCTAATGGTGTGCTATTGTGCATCATCTCTTCCTAACTCCATGTTCAGTGCTCACAAGTTGGGAGCTTAAAATCAGCCCTGGTGGAAGTACTTACACCATGGAAATTGGCAAATACTACTACTGATCAAGCCTTCCTTTCCTGCCTGCAAACCCCTCCCCACCATACACACACAACTCCCCACTGACTGTTAAACATTTACTGGCACATCAGTGACAAAACTATATACTAACATAACGTAACTATACTAACATAACATAACATGGTAGAGGGAAGCCTCTACCATGCTGTTATCACACAAAGTGGAAAATCAAAACATGCTGACTTCACCGATGGTAAGTGAGACATCGAGATCTTCATTCTCAAGCCAAACACACACAGATTAAACAGAGGAAGGTGGCTCTGTCTAGGTACTCCAGCCTTCTCAAAGAGAGGAACTCTTCCTATGATGGGGGAAAAAGGCTTTAAAAGTAGAATATAACAGGCTAAGGGTGGGCATTTGGGATGGGGAGATAGGTGAAGAATAAAAGCTTTTTATTCAGAATTTTGTTATGTGACTCTGGGCAAGTCATCTCACCATTCTAAATGGAAATTCAAAGGATTTTAGGTCAGAAGTGAAACAATAAGATTTGCCTTTTAGAAAGACCCTTCTCTTGTGTCTTTGAAAGGTAGGATTTGGAAGTCAGGGATAGCCTAGAAAAAAGAGAGACTGCTTAGAACGTTGAAGCTTCTCATTTCAATGGGAAATTGAGCATAGAAAGCCATGGGCAGGGTCTGGCAGGATTAGTTTATTAATCTCAGGTGTCTTTGGCTCAAAGCACACTGCCAATTACAGAGTGGGGACTCAGTAATTACCTGATCAATAAAAGAAAAGATGTCAACCATTTTTTCTATACTCTATAGTCGTTCCTCAGGCTTAGGATTGGTTTTGCCTGAAGGTAGTACAACAGACTAAATTACATCTGTATGGTATGATCTCCTAGCTCATCTCTCAATTTGGTTGTGGTTAGTTTTCTACAAAGCATATTCATACATACATTGAAAGAAATTTTCTCATAGTAAATGAAGAAAAAAATGAAGAGTTACAGTTTATAGTGACTTTTGAACTTTTGATCAAGACCCAACATAAAAATTAATTTTTTAGCATGACTCACCGTGTGTATATATGTGTGTATATATATATGCATATACAAATGTGTGTATTAGTAAAAAAAAAGTTTGCATAAAATATTACTTATCTTTATTATTTGCATTGCACATGGATTTTAAAATTCTATTCTGTTTCATTATAAAATGTTGTTTGAGGCTCTGTAAGTTGATTTCATGACCTACCAATGAGTTAAAACCTACAGGCTGAAAAACATTCTTCTGGTTGATGAGAAAATGTCATTTATGTCTTTTTTTCAGACATACCACATTAATCTAAACAGTAAATAAGCAGTTTATGGGTAAAATTAAATGCATAAACACATGTATTTATGAAACAAACAATAAAAGAAAACACTGACAATATTTAGTAAAGTCATAGAAAATGTTAGCTTGCCACCTATAGCTATGCAATTTTTCATCTTTGCCAATATATTACAGTAATTTTTGATAATAAGTCTCTGTCCTGCTCAGGGATGCTGCACAGCTAGCATTTTTTGTTAGTGGCAGCATTATAATGTATGTGTTATGGATTGAATGTTCGTATCTCTCCCAAATTTATATATTGAGACCCTATCTCCCAATGTAATGGTATTTGAAGGTGATGCCTTGGGGAGATGATGAGGTTTAGATAAGGTCTTGAGGTTGGGGTCCCTATGATGAGATTAACATCCTTATAAGAAGAGGAAGAGAGGCCAGAGATCTCTCTCCATCTTACTAGGACACAGAGAGAAGGCAGCTGTCTACAAACCATGAAGAGAGCCCTCTTGGACTCTCTTCATGGAAAAGGATCAGCTGTGCCTTGATCTTGGACTTAGCAGCCTTCAGACCTGTTCAGAATTGCAACTATAAGTCTATTGTTTCAGCCACCCAGTCTATGATATTTTGTTATAGCAGTCCGAGCTGACTAAGACAATGTGTAATCCACCTGCTTTTACAGTAAAAGCCAACAGTGATTCTCCATCTGGGGGATTCCCCAAGATGGCAACCAAGTTTCCCCATCATGTTCTCATTTACAAGTAAAAACCTAAACCTAAACCGAAACCAAAATAACTTCGGAAACTCATTAGTATAAGAACACAGGAACAATACAGCATCCTGTGCTTTGCATCCTGCTGTCAATACAAAGCACTGATTGCTTCTTGGCTACCCTGCAACCCTCTTAAACAACACTGCCTTTGAAAAATCCGACAGAATTTAGGGCACATTTTACACTTATGGAAATATACAGTATGAAAAAGAAAATTGATTAATTTCTTCATTGGTTTAGGTCACATATGTATGAACTAATGACATTATTTTGAAAGGTAGCTATATAGCCACACACAAGGTGAGTTATCTAGTTTGATCATATAATGTATTGAAGATCAATTCATTGTAATAATTGCTCAAACTCTGTACCTTCAACTCCTCTTGTCTTTCTACCTCAAGTGGTACAGTTCTCCCTATTGATCTTCTGGCCTGGTCTCAAGATCTGCTTTGAATAAACCCATAATCCATGGACAAAGATGTCATAAATTCTGGCCTGTGATTGACAACCTTAGTGTGGCACTTCAGATTCAGATCCCTTCATTAAAATGAATCAAAGTGATTCTGTCAGTAGCCACTTCTCACGGGGATTAGTAGAACTCCAGAGCCCTTCCCATTGAAATCAATGATGGCAAAGCTATTGCTTTGTTGTTAAAGAGAGTATACCAAATGATTGCTATGCCAGAGGTTTTGTGGTTCCTATTCCTAACGAGATAAAAAATGCTTAGACTAATTATATTATATTATGTAGGTAGGAACTTGGGATATTCTTCAATGGCTAGAGAGCAGGCCTGGAACTTTAAGTAACAAATGCTTGGATGAACTCAAGCATTCCGAGTTTTCCTGTGCTTAATATGTTACATTGCTATGTTGATATGTAATGTCACAGATGGTAATATTAGTCATGAAAGAACAAAGAAGCCAAGTTCATAGCCAAATGAGTTGAAAGGAGGGCACAAAGTGAGCTTATCCCACAGACAGGTTTTTCTTATTGAAAACATCTTAAACACCATGGAACACCTTCCCAAGATCCATGTGTTGGCACAAGCAGATGGGGAAGACTGTAAATCTCAAAACTGGCTTAGTTCCCACTCAAGAACTAAAGCAAGGAGTGTGGTGAAATCAAATTCAGCAATGAATGGATGATCCTAATTTAACAATGGGCAGCCTTCCCACAAATTCTCATGCAAACCAGTGGTGGCTTCCTCTTTTTTTAATTAACTACACAGCCTTTTCCATCCAGGAGATTTAAATATTTACTTCTGTTTGCTTTGCGTCATTTGCATTTCTTTTAATTCTAAAAGGAAATTAATCCCTTTGGCCTAGGAGGGCATCCTCTTGAAGGAACAGACAAAATTGCAAAAAAAAAAAAAAAAGTACAAAATCAAACTCCCAAGAAATAAGCCTTTAAACACTCACTACACACATTCATGTCCAGCTAAATAAGATGGCCAGTATTTTGAATGATAACAATAGTGAAGAAATCAATATGCAATAAGCAGAGAAAAAAAAAACTAGATTTAAATAATGCTGCTTTTACCAAAAGAAAATTCTTTAAATCCCTAAGAAGGAAGAGCAGATTAGATACTGAGTCACTGTAGAGCAATGTAAAAGGTAAATTCCTTTTCTACTTGAGAAATTACACAGATTTCTTCTCCCCCTCAACTTTCAGATGAAATGTAGGAGGTAAAGAGAAAAGAGGAGTATTTCACCTACTCAGTATTTCTATTGTTGATTCATTTTGACAGATGCATTCTACTCGTCTTGGGCACCTGGGCTATGACTAAGAGAGACTGTGATAGCTGACTCTGACTACAAGAGCTATATTTGGAGGTTGTAGCAACAGAGAAGGAGAAGGGCTGGCTTGGGTACTCTAGATGGTTGTAGTACAAGATAATTAGATGGAATTGTACACGGAAAAAATTTGTTAGAGTTACCAAAAATATTTCCTAACGAGAAGCCTGTTGTGCTCTGAAGTAGTCAAAGGGATGCAATGAATATTTCATCTCCTGAAACATTTAACAGAGAAAGGAATGCAGGAATAGAAAGTATATCTTAAAGCTATTTTCTGTTGGGTGAAGAGTAGGAATCGTCCATCTTTCTGGCCTTTGTTTCTGCTTCGACTAATAGGGTGCAGAGAGTGATAGCACAGGGAAGATATTTCCCAACACAGACATTATAGCCACACTATCATAAGAGATCAGATCTCTGGATGTAAAGTGGTGGAGATAAATATTTCTATGCTTTATGCAGTGAAAAAAACAAAACAAATGTTTTTCACTTTTTCTGCTACTTAGTTCCCTTTAGCAGATCCTTTAGTATTTCCAGTTCTAGAAAAACAAGCAACACATTGTTAGTTTATTGATATTGAGTAGAGACAGTTTATGGAAATAAAGGAATAGCACTCTTGATATTTTGAGGATGAAAGTGATTAAGGAGATCTTTGGTCAGGAGAGAAGAGTAATCTAAAGAGAAGGATACCATTCCAGAGAAAGAAAGAAAGAAAGAAAAAGAGCACCAGCTCTGAGGTTGGGTTCTGTACAACATCAGAACAATCAGGTAATTAAATGAGACTCTATACACCCTGGTTTATTTGACTGAATGTTTCTTACCTTTTAACTGGTTGTTTGGCTTTCACTTTAACTCAGTGATGTGACTACTTAAAGACATAATTAGCTCAGCTATCCTGGGTGTATTATGTAGCACTTTTCAAATGTAAATGTGCATAGGATCGCTTGTAGGGATTTTGCCAAATCGCAGATTCTGATTGGGGAGGTCTGGGTGGGGCACAGATTCTGCATTTCTAACAAGCTCCGAAGCGATGCTGATGCTGCTGGTCTGGGGACCACACTTGGAGCAGCAAGCGTGTGCTGCATGACATCACTGCCTGCATTCTTCTGTGGATACAGACTAATGAAAGGTATTCCCCTCGTTTAATATTGGTGAATGTATGAATTAAGTGACATTGTGTTTCATATTCCTCTTATATTTCCTAGAGCCATCTCAAAACTCTGATGGCAAATTACAAAATCATTTAAATCTGATGGTCCCCAACCCTCACTGCACATAAGCATCCCCTGGGGACCTTTTGAAAAATACAAATGTCCAGGCCCTAACCAAAGTTGATTAAGAATATCTGGGAGTGAGGCCAAAACATAATTTTTTCTCCTTCTCATTTTATTAGAAAGCCATTTTACATTGACAGTGTGTTGATTACCCATATGTCTATTGCGTAGTTGAAAGAAGCTTAATGATTATCCATATACCCGTATATCTAGATCCATCAACTCTTGCCATTCTGCTATATTTAAATTATTTAATGATATATTTTTGCTTTATCTAAGGCAGTTCTCAACTGGGGGCAATTTCACACTTCAGGGGACATTTAGCAATATCTGAAGACATTTTTGGTTGCCACAACTAGGGGGAGGGGAACAGTTTGTGATGCTAATAAAAGTAGAGGACAGGGATCTTATTCAACATCCTATAATGCACAGGCCAGTACCCCACGACAACGAATCATCCAGCCCAAAATGTCAACAAGGATATAATATAATATAACATAATAATTAATATTGAATCATTTGGAATTAGCTTCAAGATGTTTTTATTTATCACTCCTGAATACTTTAACATTTCCAAAAATCCTCCCACATAACCACAACATCAATATCATACATAAGAGGATGAACAATTATTCCTTAATATCTTCTAACAGTGAGTTCACATTTAAATTTTCTCAACTGGACTCTACATTTTTTTTTACATTTTTTAAACCAGAATTCAGTTAAGTTTTGTGCATTGCACTTGTTTCATTTCTTTAGTCTTAAAATTTAGATCAGTCCTCCAGACTTTTTTTTTAAGTTATTTTTCTTGAAGAGACTAATCTAATTGTCCCACATTTGGGGCTTGATTTGATTATTTCCTCTTGTTTTATTGTTCGACTTATTTTTCTATTTCTTGTATTTCCTATGAAGTAGATGTGAGATGTTTATAAAGGCTTGATTAAATTCAAATTAAACACTTATAGCAAGAATATTGAGGGTGGGGCTATGTACCTTACGTTGCATGATAGCAGGAGCTACATAATTTCTGGTTTCTCCTCTAACTGTGTTGCTAAATTTGATCCCTTAATTCAGGTAGTGATTTCTCCCCATTGTAAGGTTCATTTCCCACTTTGTGATGAGCAAGTCTGTCTTGGGATGGGTTTTTGACACCTTCGCGTCTCCTAGCCTTCAACTAATTTCACTTTATAGTGTTAGCATCCACTGATGCTCTTTGTCAGAGTCAAAGGAGGTCAAAAAATCATATTTCTTCATTTATTAATAACTTTTAAATTCTATAATCTCCATTTTTAGCTAGAATTCTATTTAAAAAAACTCCTTCTACTACAATTTCTTCCAAAAAAGGCAGAATAAATGATTAATTCCTTCCTTTAACCTCTACTTTTCCGAATAGACTTCAGAATAAGAAGCTGATGTTATACTTACTTACCACCTAGTTACTCCTAACCTGGACTTTGCTGCAATACAGGAAAAATAGATGAATACAGCAGGAGATGTTACAAACTTTCTACAATCAGAAAAAATAAAGCTACAAGGTTTTCTTTTTATTAGAGTATTTGTAGTATGTAAAAAACATGTATATTAATGTAATTTCAAGTTAAAAGAGGTAAACTTCTTCTAAAGTTTCAGAAAGGCATTTACCTTTATAAAGATATTTGTCGAATATCAACTGTAAGATGGAAGACGGGTTGAAAGTCATTAAGTTGAAATCGATTTCTTCATAACTTGGAAGATATTTGAATAGGCTGTTTAGTCTCTCCTGAATCCACGGGTGTAAGTGATGTGTGAAAGCCAAACCCTTTTCAGACAACAGCTAAACAAATACTCAGTTAAGTTCTTGGATTTAAAAGACGGTTGTGTTTGGAAATCATTATTTTCCACAAGGGAAAGAAGACATGTTACAGGAAGCAACTGGAACCAGTTTTACCCCTTTGTTTCAAAGCCTCCAGTTCTTCATCTCTGAGCCTAGAATTTCATCTTGGTTCCTTTTTTTTTAGGAAGAGCAACTTTTAGCTGGCTGGCAGTTTTTAATTCACCTTGGTGTGGCACACCCGTTTCCTAGGCCGGGTCTCAAACCTACACCTGGGAAGGTAAAAGTTCATTCTTTGAATTCATTGTCTTAGATCTGGCCATAAAGGAGAGCCCTGCCTTCAGTTTATAACATGGTAAATTTGATTTTATGATGAATAAATGGGCACTTAGCACCAAAATCTTGCAGGCGTCATCCAGATGTCTCAGAACTTGAGTGAGCACATGGATCTGGCCACATGGACACTTGTGTTCACTGGATGGATGCACAGTCTGGAGAGAAGTTGCATTTTTTCAAGGTCTGGAAATTTTAACAGTATCTGGCAGCTACTTGGTTTTTAAGATAATCCTGTCACTGTTTCTGGTTATGAATAGGGGTGGGGGTGGGGGCTCCAGAAGTGATGGTTTGGTGGCTTATTGAAATTGGGTGGAGATGTTGGCATGTGGGAGCCTGGAGCGTGAGCACAAGCAAGCTTTCTGGGAAGAGACCTGTGATCGTGTTACTCTCGGTCACTTAAGAACCTGAGTTGTGTGGGCATAATGGGTGGAGGTGGGGGATGGGGGAGAGAAAAAAGAGAATCAGAACATGAGTTCTGTGGACACAAAGAAATTGGTTAATTTACCCAGACTTTCACTTTTCAAATAATTGTTTGTCTGGTCCTTAATCCTTAGCCAAGTGATTCCCTAAGGATGTGTTAATTCATTATTTTATCTATTAAAGATGTGCCATCAAAACAACCCTTTCTCAAGTTACAAAACCATCTTCTCAGTTAGCCTTTGCTTGTCTGGCAAGGTTTGATAAACAGGCTAGTCTGTTGTCCTGATGACTCAGCCAGGGCTCTGCTCTGCCTCTCACTCTCATCCCTTGCTACTGGTGGCCCAGGAGTAGACTGTCACCAACTAGTACATGTGCATACTATTAAAAACAAACAAACAAACAAACAAACAAACAAACAAAAACAACCACTGGGCAAGTGCTTCCTCAATTTTCTTTTCATTGAATCAAGAGGCTCTCTTTATTACTCTTTACTGAACAGTCAGAAACAGAAATAAGGAGGCCACTTCCAGATAGATGGAACATCACAATCATTTTGACCTCTTGATTGTTCAGTTGAGTCAAAATGATAATTTCACTAACTTTACCCTGAAATCAAAGAGCTCTGTGACAGAATCAACCAGAGAGATTGGTAATTTAAATAGGTATTAACATATTTAAAACAGGAGAGAAGTCTTTTGGTAAATGACAGGATTGCAGCTTTGAAACACTTCTGTCTCCCTGGAGAGTAATGTACTCTCCTTGGAGAAGCTCACATATTTTAGAAATATCAAGGAGTAAGGCTACTAGCTAGGAGGACCTAACACTACCTCCTTTTCCTTTAAAAATTATATTTAATTATTCACATAATATAAACCTATGTATACAGTTATATCATGTATCATATACATAAAATAAACACTTAAGCTTCAACTTCATAATGCACAAATAGAGATACTGATGATCCAAAGAGGAGACATCAAAAAGAAAGTAGAAAACAACAGTGACTCATACAAATTGCACATTGATCAACGTAAGTTTCACATGGTCCTGCAATAGGAACCGTAAGACCAGCATGAAGGTTTTTTAATTGTAGACCATCATAAAGCTTCTCAAGACAGAGCCTCCATTTTTGTCTACCAGCTCTAATACTTTTTACTTACGTGACTACGTTACTCATTAATTCAACATATATTTATTGGATGCCTACTGTGTGCCAGCATTATGCCAGATTTTCAAGGTTACAAAAATAACCAAAAGGCAACCTTCTGGGGAATTGCTATTCCATAGAAAAAAATGGTAAATTTAATCATGATCTATAGGTGCTACAATATTAGGTTGGTGCAAACTTAACTGAGGTTTTCGGAATTAAAAGTAATCTCAAAAACAGCAATTATGTTTGCACCAGCCTAATAGAAATAAATACATGGATAGTGGAGGCTCAGGCAAAGAAGTAAATTCTATTTCTTGATGAAGCTATTTTGGGGAAGCATGGACATTTGAAACTGCCAATTAGAGCTGCTACTGTCTCAAAACAGTCGCCACTTCTGAATGGAGTGGCAACAGGTTTTTGATCATAGCCTCCTGCACAGTCAGAAATGAACAGTGCCCTTTTTTTTTGAGATGGAGTCTCTCCCTGTCTCCCAGGCTGGAGTGCAGTGCCATGATCTTGGATCTTGGCTCACTGTAGCCTCCGCCTCTCAGGTTCAAGTGATTCTCTGTCTCAGCCTTCTGAGTAGCTGGGATTACAGGCGTGCACCATGATGGCCTGCTAATTTTTGTATTTTTGTAGAGATGGGGTTTCACCATGTTGGGCCACGCTGGTCTTGAACTCGTGACCTCAGGTGATCCACCTGCCTTGGCCTCTCAAAGTGCTGGGATTACAGGCATGAGCTACCGTAATCAGAAATGAACGATATACATGTTTTTTTGTTTTGTTTCTTTTTTTCCCCCCTTGAGCAAATGTCTGCTTTCACATTTTCCTTCATCTACTCCTAGAATAATAAACAGAGGTGAGAAGGCTCTGGGTGTAAAGTGAGGGCTTTACTTGACTCAGAAGGGAAATGAAAAGCAAACTAGAAGTGACAGGTGCCAGCAGGGAGGGCAAGAAGAGGACCCAAAGGCCACAGACGAAGACAGGCAAAATGGAAAGGACCTCAAACGAGAAATAGGGGGAAAAAAGTAAATATTATTTGAAGGTGATTTAAACTACAGGAATTAAAATTATGGTAAGGGGAAGTGCTGTTTGGACGTTAAAGAAGAAACGATCAGCTAAGCCCCAAAGGGCAGGCATGATGAGAGCCCTTTCTATTGTTCTGGGCGAGGAAGTTTGGTGCCAAGTCAGTTGTGTGATGAAATCTGTTATGAATTCTCTCCATCTCAACATTAGATTAACACACAGGGCTTCATTTTCAAAGGGGTCCAAGGAAAGCAAGGCAGACTACTCACACAAATAAATGGGAGTTGTGTCTGAAATTCCCTCAAAATGCTGAAAAACAGCCCCCTTTAATGTCATTATGTATTTTAACCATTTGAAACCAATGTATAACAGACATGAAAGTATTCTTGTCTACAGTAGAGTTGGCACACGGCACTTCAGATGTTAAACATTTCCAACAAGCTTCCATTCACACAGCTCCCTGTGCTGGTGATGTTCCCAAGCTTCTCTTAAGTGGTTCACTCACAGGGAGGCATTTCTGAGACAGGGAGCACAATTACAAATCCCCTGGACTGCCCAAACCCTAAGGCGTCTCTGAAATTCTCTCTGTGTGTTTCAGGAGGTTACACTTTAAAAACAACGAGGAAATTCTTAGTTCAGGCTATAAAAGACAACAGTCAGCTTCCATTTTAGAGGTAGACATCTTGAATTTTTAACTGATCATTTGTCTGGAATGCCGCTGAGGACATGGTGAACCTGTGACCTGAGTGATTCCTTCTTTTGGAGCTCGGCTTTTCACAACTCAGGAGAACCCAGGAACGTGTTTTTCCAGTTTTGCCTCCTTATTCCTCCTTCTTGTCCTTTCTTCCCTCCTGTCTTCCTTTTCTTTCTTCTTTCCTCTTTTCCTTTCTCCCTCCATTCCTGCTTCTCTATTTTCTTTCTCTCTCGATCTCTTCTCTTTTCTTTTCTTTCTTTCTCTTTCTTCTTTCTTTCTACCTTCTTTTTTCACTCTTTTTTCTCCTTCCTTCCTTTCTCATTCCCCTTCTTTCTCCTCCCTCCCTCCATTCCTTCTCTCCCTTCCTTTTTCTTTCTTTCTTTCTTTCTTTCTTTTTCCTCCCTCCCTCCCTCCTTCCTTCTTCCTTCCTTCCTTTCCTGTCCTTTCCTTTCCTTTCCTTCCTTCTTTCTTTTTTCTTTCCCCTCCTACCTCTCTCCCTGTCTTCCTCCATCTCTCTCTCTCTCTCTCTTTCTTTCTGATGTCCTTTATCCTTTCCCATTGTACCACACAGACTCATATATTCATCACCCAACAAGAACAAAGATCAATGCAGTTAATTAAACGAACATTTAAAGAAGCAAACTGAGAACTACTCAAATGGACATAGGTCAAATCCTCCCCAAACCTTCTTCCAATTGTAGAATTTTCATATAAAGTGAAATCACTTGTTCAAAGCAACACAGCTGCAGAATCTAGTTATGCTTAGACTAGAAATGCTGCTTCAAGGTTGGGAGTCCTCTCTCCTACTCATAGCTTGGATCAATCCACCCATCTCCAACTTTCCTTACTATGGTTAACAACAGGCCACAAGGAAGTTACCATACTGGTCCCTTTTCTTGAAGGATGAAAACTCAATTTTTTATTTTATCACCTACTGCCCTGATAAGTCTCACTTCTTGAGGAGAAACCTTGATCTAGTGACTTCCACTGGTTTACTGTTTATCCATGTTCTCCTCTGATCCATTTCCTGTGCCCTTCTGCGTGTACATGGTGGCTGCCATCCCTTCACTGTATATGACTGATCCAAGCCCACTAGGGTCACATCATCCCCTAGGTGATTCCTATACAAATAACTGGAATCCCTGTACTAGTTATTGTTACAGGGATAAGTAGGCTTAAGGCTGTGGGAGAGTGAGATGTAGGAAGAGGTTTACTCTGGGTTGGTAGGAAAGTGATTCCACTTACCATCTCTCCTGCCATCCTGTGAACAGGAAATCTCACTGGCTCCATTGCTGCCTGTAGTGCTCTTAGGACCAAGAGGGAGCCCATGATGAAATGAAGCAGATGCCCCAGTAAGCAGAGGAGGGAATCAGAGAGAGAATGTGCATTGTCCAGGCACTGGTTCAACCTACCCTGAAATGTACCCTTGCCTCTGACCTTCCTGTTATATGAAATAATAAATATCCTCATTCCAGTTAATTTGATTTAAGGTCATTAAATTAAGGCAGTGTGTCCTCATTGACACACTTTTTGTTGTTGTTGTTGTTTTAGAGGCACAGTCTCACTCCCATTGCCCAGGCTGGAGGACAGTGGCAGCATCAGGGCTCATGGCAACCTCAACTTCCTGAGCTCAGGTGGTCCTCCCACCTCTGCCTCCTGAATAGCAGGGACTACAGGTGTGCACCACCACACCCGGCTAATTTTTTGTATTTTTAGTAGAGACGTGGTCTCCCATGTTGCCTAAGCTGGTCCTGAATTCCTGGGCTCAAGTTATCCTCCTGCCTCGGCTTCCCACAGTGCTGGGACTACAGGCACCAGCCTTCATGTCCAGCTAACACATTCTAGAGTGAAAAAATCTTTATTCCTATCCCCCTTTCCTCTCTTTTTTTTTTTCCTTTTTTGCTTAATTCTTTTATAGTGTTGGCTAGTGACAGCTAGGGTAACCAATTCTCTTTATTTTATTGGGACTAAGGAGTTTTGGGGGATGTGGGTCTTTCAGTGCTAAAAGTGGGCTGACCCAGGGCAAATGGGATGGTTGATCCCCTATAAGGTTAATGAATCATTTGCATAATTATACTGAAGGTCACCAATCCCTGGAGTTTGGCTGCTACTTTCCATAAGGACTAGCTTTCTATCAAAATCTGCAAAAGGGCTAGGCATGGTGGCTCATGACTGTAATCCCAGCACTTTGGGAGGCAGAGGCGGGTGGATCACTTGAGATCAGGAGTTTGAAACCAGCCTGGCCGACATGGTGAAACCCCATCTCTACTAAAAATATAAAAATTAGCCGGGAGTGGTGGTGCATGCCTGTAGTCCCAGCTTTGGAGTCTGAGGCAGGAGAATCACTTGAACCTGAGAGGTAGAGCTTGCAGTGGGCCAAGACTGCACCACTGCACTCCAGTCTGGGCGACAGAGCAAGACTCAGTCTCAAATGAAAAAAAAAATCTGCAAAAGCTCTTTCTTTTTATTATTGAGACACAACACTAGAACACATCTGGGCCTGAGAAAGAAAACAAACACACAAACAAATGCTTGGATTTTCATTCCTAGCCTTTCTGGTTCTCTCAGCTGGCCACCACTGAAGAGGGACCACCAGGAATGTTGGAGGTGTCTGGCATAAGTCTCTCGTATCATTAGAAAGGGAGAGAGAAAAGAGAAGAAACCAGGAAGGAGGTACAAGAGTGTGGATTCGCCAAAGATCTCAGAGCAACTAAATGGCTGAGCTGAGGCACAAATGGAGTCTCTTACCTGATACTTGTTCTTTCCACATTTTCAGACACACATATCAGTTCTCTGCATACAATGCTTCCATTCCTCTCATTTACCCCTATTCAAAAAGAATACGATCTAGATTAGAAGAGGACAGGAAGCTATGTGATTCTGCACCTGGATGATCTTAGGAAAGGCTCTCAGTTTCTCAACAGTGAAAACAGGTCACTCATGTTTGGTTTTCCATTCACACTCAAAACTCATACTCCATTGCTTGCTTTCCTGCTTTTACCTCTGAAGATGTTTAAGCAGGTATTTCAAAAGTAACCTTTTGGAAGCCATTATGCTCAGCAAATAATGCAGGAAAAGAAAACCAAACACCACATGTTCATTCTCACTTATAAATAGGAGCTGAATGACGAGAACACATGGAAACATGTGGGGAATAACATACACTGGGGCCTGTCGGTGGAGAGGTGGGGAGGGAGAGCATCAGGAAGAGTAGCAAATGGATGTTGGGCTTAATACCTAGGTGATGGGGTGATCTGTGCAGCAAACAACCATGGCACGCGTTTACCTATGTAACAAACCTGCACATCCTGCACTTAAAGTTGAAACAATAAATAAATAAAATGAAAAGTAACTTGTTCAAACATTCTATTGACTACACCTGAGAAACATACAAACCTCCCACTTTCCCCTCTATGACCCCACTTCAGGAAAGCATCTCCTCTTGCCTGAATATTGCAATAGCTCTCTGAGGTCCCCACTTCCACCTTTGTCCACCAAGCCCGTAGGACTCTCCACATGGAGACAGCGACCTCCAGACACCTAAGCCAAACCATGACCTCTCTTCTCCGTGAAGTCTTCTCTGGACAGTCTCTATCCCCAGCTGGCTGTATTTTCTCTGTAGCACTTATTATCATCCAATAACCTACAGATTTTACTTCTTTATTCGTTGAATACATGACTTCCTTTACTAGAATGCAAACCCCATGAGGTTAGGGATTTATCTGTTGCGGTATCACCAGCACTCAGAACAGTACTCAGTACAAAGCCATCTTCAATAAATATTTCTTGAATAAATGAAAATAATTTATCCATTCAAAACCCCTCAGAGGCTTCCCACTTTATTCAAAATAAATACTAAGGTAATGGCCTACAAAGCCTTCCATTACCATATATTAGTTCGTTTTCACTTTGCTAATAAAGACATACCCAAGACTGGGTAATTTATAAAGGAAAGAGATTTAATTGACTCACAGTTCCACATGGCTGGGGAGGCCTCACAATCACGGCAGAAGGCAAAGGTGAAGCAAGACACATCTTATATGGTGGCAGGCAAGACAGACCATGTGCAGGGGAACTCTCCTTTATAAAACCATCAGATCTCATGAGACTTATTTGCTATCATAACAGCATGGGAAAGAGTTGCTCCCATGATTCAGTTACCTCCCACCTGGTCCCTCCCATGACATGTAGGAATTATGGGAGCTACAGTTCAAGATGAGATGTGGGTGGGGACACAGCCAAAACATATCAAGCCACCTCCCACTCCAACCCCCTAGCCACCCACACTTCTGTCTTCTCTGCTTCCCCGGCTCTGACACTGGACTCCTCACAAGTCTTGGGCATGCTTTTGACCAGTCTTTCCTGATTTCTTTTGCTGTTGGAAAGCTCCTTTTGCAGATATCTGCCCAGCTTTCTCCTTTACATCCTTCAGGTTTCTGCTCATATGACATGCATCAGAGCCTTCACTGAACTCTTAGCACAAAATAACCTCACCCCTCCCTGTATTCCCCATTCCTCTTGGCCAGCATTATCTTTCTTTACAGTACTACCATTTTTTTTTTTTTTTTGAGACAGGGTCTAGCTCTAGCTCTGTTGCCCAGGCTGGAGTGCCAGTGACATAGTCTCCACTCACTGCAACCCCTGCCTCCCGGGTTCAAGCGATTCTCCTCCCTTGGCCTTCCAAGTAGCTGGGATTACAGGTGCATGCCACCATGCCCAGCTAATTTTTGTATTTTTATTAGAGAAGGGGTTTCATCATGTTGGCCAGGCTGGTCTCGAACTCCTGGCCTCAAGTGATCCACCCATCTCAGCCTCCCAAAGTGCTGGGATTACAGGTGTGAGCCACCATGCCTGGCCTCTTTTATCTCTTGAATTATTTTTTTTATTATGCCCCACCTTCAGTCTGCCCCACTGAAATGTAAGCTTCATGTAGAAATAAAATTTGTTCTATTGGCTACTGTATTCTCACTTGGTAAAGAGTAGTTGCTCAATAAATATTTGTTGAATGGATGAATGGATGAATTATTGGTTTTATATGGGCTTTTTAGTCATTACTATTTGTCATTATATTTATTGCAAACATTTTTTTCCAGTCTCACATTTGACCTCTAAGTCTTTATGGTATTTTTACACAGAAGAGTAATTTAATTTTTATGCAGTTAATTCTTTCTGTCTTTTCCTTTGTAAATGCACTTGCCTGAAAAGCTCTTCTGACCTAAAACTCAGTAAAGACACACCTATGTTTTCTTCAAGTATTTTATAGTTTTACTTTTTGCTTTTTATCTTTTAATATACTTGGAAATGGTTGCCTATGTGAGTGAATCTAAACTAATTATTTTCTATGAAACAATTTTCTGTATGTTACAATGTATTGATTATTATATTGTATTGATCATTATTTTGATGTATAGATTATTGACTAATTAATTCAATAGTTAGCTATTTCTTTCTATTTATAAATGATTCTAGGTTATTTATTCTTTCCATGTACCTTAGGGTACTGTTCTAATCATTACAGTTTTGCAATGTGGTTTAATGTTCTATATTTAAAAATTGCTTTTTTAAATTCAAATTTTATTTATGCTTCCTCTCAATTTTTAGGCTAACTAGAATTATGTTAGCAAAGTTCTCAAACAATATTATTGAGACATTGACTTAAACTGTGTTGAACATC
Source organism: Homo sapiens (assembly GCF_000001405.40). Taxonomy (NCBI): domain Eukaryota; kingdom Metazoa; phylum Chordata; class Mammalia; order Primates; family Hominidae; genus Homo; species Homo sapiens. The sequence goes on along the minus strand of NC_000007.14, from coordinate 41,616,747 downwards.
ATTACTTACTGGAGGAACAGTGAGCTCATCACAATACTCTTAACAGGCATTGTGATTCTAATGGCTGCTCTAATAGGAGATGATTGCTTAGTAAAGGTGTATTTGGTCAGGTTTCTCCTCTGTGAAGTTACTATTTTTTTCCCTTTGTAGTTAGTAAATATTTGGTGAGTAATGCACTGACACTATGAAACTATTCTGTTTCTTCTCCAACTTTTACTCAATGCTTTTGTTGTTCATTGGTGGGTCTTGCCAGCAGCAATTAGAACCATTAAGTCTATTAATGGTTCTAACCATTAACACCCTAAGATGTTCTAATGGTGATTTATCTTATTCTTTCTGCATTTATTGATTAGAATTCTTCAGTGAGGAGGTTATCCCTCCCCCCTATTTAGTTATTCAATTATTTATTTATGACAGTAAGGACTCACAGATAATTTACTTTAGTCAATAGACTACAATCTAATACTATTATTTGTTTTGTTATTCAAATTGTTCATGCTCTGCCCATCGGAGCGCTTTCAGGTTGGCTCCTTTGCCCTTTTGAGAAGCCTCATCCTTTTCGGCACTTTCTTACTCTCTAATACCACAATGTTTCTTACAATTTAGCGTACTTTCTGATATCACAAGGTTCCTTATGATTTCTCCAAAGAAAGATGTGGCTAATTCTTAATTACTCAGCATTTGTTAAATAGTTTGAAGATTTTGGATATATTTTTTTCTCCATCTGCAACCATTTATAGATAATAGAAATGTTGATTATCCTACCATGACAAAGATAAATAGTTTAGGAATCAGGGAGAACGACAATTTTTATATTGCCTATATTTTTGTTATTTATTTATTTATTTATTTCTTGAGACAGAGTCTCACTCTGTTGCCCATCCTGGAGTGCAGTGGCGTGATCTCGCTTCACTACAATCTCTGCTTCCTGAGTTCAAGCGATTCTCCTGCCTTAGCCTCCCGAGTAGCTGGGATTACAGGCATGTGCCACCATTACCAGCTAAGTTTTTTTTATTTTTGAGTAGTGACAGGGTTTCGCCATGTTGTCCAGGCTGGTCTCCTCACTTCAGGTGATCCGCCCACCTCAGCCTCCCAAAGTGCTAGGATTACAGGCGTGAGCCACCGCACCTGGCCCTTTTTGGCTTTTTAAATGGATAGCTCTGGTAAAATCTAATATGATGCTTAGACATTCTTTATACATACAAATGGTCTAAGCTTCTAATTTCTGTAAGTAATCAGACCTCCGCTTTCTATACCACAGAATGAGCTGTGAGGAACTCCATTTTCTCCATCTCTGTCCCTCAGCCACTCTGCTACACCCTAGCAGTTCTGGAGGCATCCCACGGACCCAAGGTTCCCCAAACACCATTTGTAAATAACTCATACTGAATAGTCCAATCCCCTCATTCTACAAAGAAGCAAACTGGGGCTGAGGATATGATGAGTTATCCAAACTCACAGAGTTAGTCAGTGGCTAAGTTAGGAACAGAACTCTGTGTTTGGGATCCATGTAAGTATTCTTTCAGCTTACCATACTCTGCTGAAGGAGGTAGGACTATTTCAGTTTCTAAATGTCTGCATCGACAGTAAGCCAATAAATGTAAGCTAAAATGGACAGAATCCAAATTAGACAATAAACAAAGAAAATTACATTAACAATGAAATAAATGGCTTTGGGAAATTTTTTTAAATAAAAATTGAACTTAAAGCTCACAAATGATACAAGATTACAGTTCTATCACATGCTCCATGTGGGTCCCTCAAACCTTTTAAGTACTGTGTTACATATGGTAAACTTTATGTTCTCCAAAGGCAGGCTCATTTGTCCTGGTGGCTTTTAAGGTGAAGTAGTATCATTAAGATCCCTACAGAAAAAAAAAAAAATATATATATATATATATTTATTTATATACATATATATATATGTATCCAGACATAGTCATAATATGGAATAATTTTCCCACCATTCTACTGAGGTTCTTGCACTCAATTTTTATTTATTTATTAATAGTCTCATCTTTCAGGTAATCATAACAAATCCAAACTAGAAGTTTTATCTCATTAGCAAGCAAGACCTAGATTTCCTATCCTCTCATGTAAAAAAAATTTACCCTCTCATCTTCACAAGCTTCCAGGACCATACCATTAGACAAATGTCTTATATTTTGCTATAGTGTCCCTTTCATGTGTATGACATTTTATTTTAAATATCTTACTAATTTTATCCACATAATATGCTCTAACAATCTGTTATGAATTGGTAAAAGTGTAATAAGACCAGCACGGGCTGGGAAATGGTAAGAGTGTTTCTCTAGGGTAAATGACATACTACTCAAGAAAATGTGTATCTTCAGAAACATTCTCAACCTTCAATTAGAAGTTCATATTTACTTGGCTAAAAGGAGAGAAGGAAAATAAGTGGTATTATTCTAAGAATGCACTTCAGGCCATTGAGCCCAGTAAGGAAAATCTAATCCTAAAACGAAGTAAAGTCATGGCTAGTGACTTTGACTATTTGCATATATGCTTAATAATTTATGTGGTGCAAAACAAAGTATTTTAAAAGTTCTGGCTTGTATTTTTGCAGTAGGTAGAATAATGATACCCAAAATGTTCCCACCCTAATTTCTAGAACCTGTGAATATGTTCTGTTACATGAACAAAGGGAATTAAGAGAACAGATGGAATTGAGGTTGTTAATAAACTTACTTTAAAATAGGGAGATTTCCCTAGATTATCCAGGTAGGCCCAATGTAATCAGAAGGTTCATTAGAATGGAAGAGAGAGGCAGAAGAGGAGGTCAGAGTCAGAAAGAGATTTGAAGATGCTATACTGCTGACTTTAAAGAGAGAGAAAAGGACCACAAGCCAAGTAATGCAGGCAGCTCTAGAATTTGGAAAAGACTGGGAAACAGATTTTCCCCTGGAGCCTTCAGAAGGAATGCAGCCCTACCAACACCTTGATTTTAACCCAGTGAGACTCATTTTGACTCTGAACTTCTAGATATGTAAAACAATAAGTTTATGTTACTTTAAACCATGACATTTATGGTAATTTGTTATAGCAGCAATGGGTAATGAATATAATTTGAACAAATTCTTACCAACAAAAGAAATGAATCTATGCATAGGTAATGATTACCGAAAAGATTTAGGAACTCATAAAATGATGATATTTGAGAATGTGTGATATCCAGAGAAGGGAAGAATATACTCCAAAGTTTAGAAACTAAAACTTGTAAAAGTTGAGTGAAAAGTTTGCATTACTCCATAACATGAAGTTTTGAAAGGAAATATAACTTTAGAAGGTTGGAAAGTTCTCAAAAGATGTAATTATGACTGTATAATCCTATAGATTGAATTGTATGAAGCTACAGAAGGCATGCTTATCAAATATGTAGATGGCATGAAGCCTGGCAAGAGAATGAACACATTGTATGTCAGAACCAGAAATGAAATAACAAAAAAAATCTTGTCAGTCTGTAGCAATGGGATGAATCTCTAAAAAGATAGAAGTTAACAGGGATTAACATAAGATCCTACACTTGGGTCCAAAAACTCAACTGCCCAAATGCAGTTGGAAGTGATGTAGTGTAGCAGCCTGTGATAAAATGACGGTTGAGTTTTAATAAACCAAAAAGTTAAAGAGTTATGATATGATAATGGAATAATAGAAGTGCTAACCATTTCAGAAAAGTTGTTTCTACCACTATCTGCTGGTCAGATCATGTAAAGCAATTGACTAGTTTTGGATTTGTTACAGGAAACAAATCAATAAAGCAAACATGCATGACACTTAGAAATAAAACATAGTTGAATATCTTGGTGGTGTTTACACTGAAGAAGACACAACTCTAAATTCAGAGTGAGGAAGGGACTGCTAGTTCTCTTCAAATATTTTAAGAACTTACGAGTCAAAGGTGTTAGACTTACTGTAATTGGGTCTAAAGAGTAGAACTAGGATCAGCAAGTAGAAGCCACAAGAAGATAGAGCCTAATTCAATTAAGGGAGAAGTTACAAGGTTGTCTAAAATTCAGATGGGCTGTTTACAGAGTGGGTTCACCATCCATGGAGACATTCAAACAAATTAAACCACAACTTGGTAGAAAATGTGTTGAAATTCATTCAAACAGTGAAAGAAAATGTAGATCAGATTACCTTAGTTTCCGATACTATGACTAAGGATTATTTTGAGAAATAATTCCTATGTAAGATCCGTTTTCATTCACTTTTTACAGGGGCAAGCTTAATTTGTTGGGTATTATGTCCGTATCTTGGTAATAACAAACTACATTGTCTCATGCTCCTTGTTGATGCAATGTAAAAAGCCGTACTGGAAAGAAGAGAAAACTGTAAGTTTCAGGGAACTTTGACACAACTTTGTTGTGGCTTTTAATGATACTGCAAAAATGGAGTTGTTTAAGTCATAGGGAACTAAGTACTCAGAAGAGCTGACTAAAATCTCACTGTTCAATTATAGAGGAAAAGAGGTTAATTAAATGGTAAATATTATCTGTTCATGTGGTAACAGTAAGTGATTCTCTCAGACATGCCACATTCTCAGCTAAGAAACCCCAGCACTGCTCCTTTTACCAAACTCTCAAAGGTGAAGTTATAGTGGTAAAGACCTGTGTACTTCTCCGTGGCCAGTGCTCAATGAGGCACCGCAAGCTTCTGAAGCATTTCCAAATTAACGCAGCTCAGCAAAGGCTTTGATGACATTCTTATGTCTAGAAATCTTTCACCTTTCAATTGTCCTCAGAGTTACCACTTTTCATTTCTCTCTTTCTACTCTACCTGTTTCATTCTGTTCTTTACTTAAATTGCTAAAAAAAAAAGTCTCTTATTTTCCTAGATAATCTGTAAAATTATCTTTTTCCAAAATCAAAAGAAAGGAAGAAGTTGAAGAAAGGCAAAAAGGGAGGCTTTGAGTTTTTGATTCAAAATCTCCTTGGAAAAGCCTAAGCTAGGCTCTCTCTGAGTTTGGACAGAACTTTTTCAGGCCCAGTTAGTAGAACTGCAATTAGGAAAAGTGCAATTCGAGAAAGGACATAATCAGATGAAAAAAGGGAAAAACAATGTAAGAGATTGAGTTCATGAGTGGGTAAATCTCCCCTTTGCCATTGTAATGATTAATTTTATGTGTCAACTTAGCCAGGTCGTGAAACCCAGTTATTGGTCGAATACTCATCTAGGCATTGCTGTTAATTATTTTTTAGATATAATTAACATTTAAATCAGTAGACTTTGAGTGAAACACATTATCCTCCATAATGTGAATGGACCTTATCCAAGCAGTTGAAGGCCTTAAGAGGTCCCATGAGAAAAACATAATTCTGCTTCCAGAGTGCCTTTGGTCTCGAGACTGCACCCTCAACTCTTCCCTGCTGGCTGGGTCTCCAGCCTGCTGGCCTACCCTGCTGATTTTGGACTTGCCAGCCCGACAATTGCATGAGTTAACTTCTTTAAATAAGTTATTATCTCTATATATCTAGATGTGTATTTATATCTGTATCCTATTTGTTCCATTTCTCTGGAGAACTCTAACTAATCCAACCATGAATTTCTTCAGTTTCTTGCCCTACTCACTCCATGTTCCCCCTTTTACTTTATCCATGAAATTTACTTTCCACTGGAGTAAGACCTAGTATCTGCTGTCCCAACACTTTCTGTGTCAAGCCACTTCTATCTCTCTTCTCATTTTATAATCATACTTTAGGTAGTGATATCAGCAAATCTACACTTGAGCACATTTTGAAAAAAACCTGAACTTATGGATATCTTCCTATCAAGGAAATGAAAACTTTGATAAACTTCATAAAAGCCTCACCCAGGATTAGTGATAAAGACTAGTTGAAATAATATATGTGAAATAGCTTTTCAGACATAACCCTAACACATTTTTTTTCTTCTTTCTTCATTCTCAAACTTATATATATGCCACCTACCTCACTGAAGAACCAGTCTAGAGTACAGGGTACAAATCAGTTTAGGGAAATCCAAAACATATCACTGAGAATCTACTATGACAAAAGTGTTTGGCTATCCTGTGGGAATCTTTGTACCACAGAAGCTCAGAAATGGATAGAGGACACCTATAAATACTTACATAACTCTGGGACAGACAGATCTGGGGGAAAATGCATTAAGAAATTCATAGTAATGGATGTGCTAAGGGAGTATAAAGTAAAATAATTTAATACTGACTAAAGATATCAAAATGAATTTTTTAAAAAGGTAGAAAATGTGGTGGTCTTTAAATGGAAGACAGGAATTTAATAAATAAATATCCAAAGAAAAGACATTCTAGGCAATTATAATTGTAAATAACATTACTTTATTCCTGATTATGCTTTATTCCAGAGTACTTACACAATGTGTTCAAGATCATATCAATATTTTTTCAGTATGATCTCATTTAACTCTGTAAGAGGTGCACCATTAATAACCCCATTTTATAGAGGCAGAAAGCGAAGCCTTGAAAGACAGTTAATGGCCCAAGTTCAAGAGTGACAACAAATACTTGGATTTGGAACATCTAACTCCAAAGGCCAACCTCTTAACTGTCATAAGGCAATGCCTCTTAAATCAAGAGGAATTAGTAGGATCATTGCCTGGAAGGGGGAAAACTTGGGAAGAGTTTTTAATGTGCCTGTGTCATATCATGATTAGACATTTACATGAGGCAACATGGCAGACTAGATGTCCAGAAATATACCTCATGGTATAATACACCAAAAATTCTGGATTAAATGTTAAATAGAATTCAAGTAAGCTATTGAGTTGGTAAAAAATAATCGATGGTCCTTCAGAGGATAGTGCTCATTAAGCTAGAAAGGTAAACAAACTCTGAGGTTGGCTGGTATGGGCCCTGGGGATGTCTGCCTAGCTGAGGGGTCTAAAGCCTGTGTAGTATTGGTCTGTATACATTGGGAACAGGAAACAAAGCATTAGGCTGGCGTAGGACAGAAGATAGATAGCTAGAGACTTCTGCATGAAGGTCAAACATCTGAAGGCTGAGGCTCCCAGTGACTGACAGAAAAAAAAAGAAAGTTGATAGTAGGGATATACACTTTTCAGTCTTGGCTCTGGATGGAATAGGAAAAAAAGTGCAAAAGTCTCCCCTGAAAACTCCTAATTATAAGCATAAACTCACTGGATAGGAAATAGAATTCAAACATCTATGGAGGCTAAGAAACCCCAAAACGTAGTGGAGAAAACAGTGGCTATGAGGCTGAGAAGCTGAGCAGAGTTTTCAGTCATTTTAAGGGACCTGGCTAACGTGGTGAAACCCCGTCTCTACTAAAAATACAAAAAATTAGCTGGGCATAGTGGCGGGGGCCTGTAGTCCCAGCTGCTAGGGAGGCTGAGGCAGGAGGATGGCGTGAACCTGGGAGGCGGAGCTTGCAGTGAGCAGAGATTGTGCTCCAGCCTGGGATACAGAGCGAGACTCTGTCTCAAAAAAAAAAAAAAAAAAAAGATGGAAACCCCAGCAAAAATCCATGTTTTTGAATTAAGAAATTTAAAGGAGTAAACTTTAGGAGCAAAGACTAACTGGAATAAGATTATCTATCACAATGAATACAAGACATTTCAAACTAGCTCAATACCAGACTACATGGGGTGATCTGTGTTTATCCTGACACCTGCAATAATAAAAACATATCATCTATGAAGGGAAATTATATTTTCAAGACTTTCAATTTATGTCTTTAATTTTTTATCACAATGTTTGACTTTCCATAAAAAAAAAGTGACCATGCATTTCATGAGACAAAATAATTGACCAAAAACTGCAAGACTAAGTCATTAAGAGAATAAAATCTAAGGTCAACTGACATGCAGAAATCAATAAAGACTTTAATGTAATGATTATTATATGTTCAAGAAATTGGTGAAAAATTTAGTAGACAGTTAATTCTAATGAAGAATTAAAATAGAAATTCTAGAAGAGAAAAATATAATGATTACAAACAAGAGCTCAGTAGCCAAATTAAGAGCAGAACAGTTTTAGCTAAATAGAAGACTACGAACTAGGAGACAGTAGAAAATATATAGACAGAAGAACAGAGGAACAAGTGGATAGGAAAAGCAAGTTAAGCAAAAACAGTCAAACAAACAAAAAAAAGCCAAAGCTATCACAAGAGACAGGTGAAGCATGGTGTAAATATTTCTCTTAGATGCATTCGAAGTCCCATAAGCAGAGTAGGAGAATGTTGCCATTTTTGAAGTGATAGTGACCAAGAATTTTTCAAAATTGATGAAATACATCAAGCTGCAGAATCAAATAGTTTATGCAGTCCAAAATGTAATAAAAACAAAACAACAAAAATAGGAACAAAGCATATTGTGGCATATCATTGTAAAATTAATTGAAATCAAAGAAAAAGAAAAAAATCTCAAAAGCAGCCAGATGGGAAAAAAGACATATTACCCTCAGTAATAAAATACTTTCAGTAACTTTAAGGCTGTAAAAATGAAACTGGTCCCTTAATAAAATGATCAAAGCCAAAAGACAGTGGAATGGCATCTTCAAGGTGCTTCCAGAAAATAACCGTCAAGTTTGAATTCTATACTGAGTAAAATGTTCTTCAAATGACCTAGAATTCTATAGCAGCAAAAACATTCTTTGAAATGAAGGCAAATAAACACATTTCAGGCAAAACATTATCATCAGCAGACATATGCTAAAAAAGAGAAAACAAACACAAAGAGAGTTTCTCAGGCAGAAAAAAAGTGGTCCCAGATGGAAGAAAAGAAAATGAAAAAGAAATGAAGAGCAAAGAAAAGAATAAATGTATACACAAATCTAAATGACTATTGATTATACCCAACAATAACAATTATATCATGTTGGGGTTTAAGTAAATATGGAATTAAAACATACAATAATAGTGAAAAAGAGTGGAAAGAAGATATGTGGTTTAACATATTTGCATTGTACTGAAAATTGTAGAAGTATTCATTAAAATCAAACTCTAATAAGTCAAAGATGCATATTGTAAGGTCTCAGTTAGCTATCAAATGAAAAGAATGTACAACTGATAAGCTAGTAGGAGGTGGAATTGGGTTATTTTGAAACTTACTTGATTAATACAAATAAGGCCATAAGAGAGGACAAATGTCACATACCGCAGGTGAAATTATTAAAAATTAAGCCGTATAATGGTAGATAAATCCAAATATATCAGTAATTTAAGAAATATAAATAGATTAAATATATTGATTCAAACACCAGGTAGATAGAAAAGAAAAACCAAACTATATGCTGCCTACATGGAATATTTAAAGAGTGAAAGTAAAAGGATATAAAGGGACTTACCATGCATACCCTGAAAACCTACTTAAGCTACTAACATCAAAGTAGACTTTAAGACAGGAAGCATCACTAGAAATAAAGAGGGATATTCATAAAGATATAAAGGTCAATCTATACGAATGATAAAATAATTTTAAATGTATATGGACATAATATTTGATGGAAAAACTTACAGAACTAAATGAAAACTAACATTTACTTTATAAAACAGTAACAATAATCAGAACAGTTGGCCACCCTAGCTGCTTTATAGGGCCATAAGATAGAGCAAGAAAGAGAACACAATGGCTCTTATGACTTAATCTCAGAAGTTACACACCATCACTTTGCCATAATCTGCTCATTAGAAGCAATTCAATAAGTCCAGCCCACAATCAGGGGGAGGACTTCATTTTTTTCAAGGGAAAGTATTGAAGACTTTTTTTTTTTTTTTTTTTTTTCAGACAGAGTTTCACTCTTGTTGCCCAGGCTGGAGTGCAGTGGCACGATCTTGGCTCTCCACAACCTCTGCCTCCCAGGTTCAAGTGATTCTCCTGCCTCAGCCCCTCAGTAGCTGGGATTACAGGCATGCACCACCATGCCTGGCTAGTTTTGTATTTTTAGTAGGGATGGGGTTTCTCCATGTTGGTCAGGCTAGTCTCAAACTCCTGACCTTAGGTGATCCACCAACCTCAGCCTCCCAAAGTGCTGGGATTACAGGCGTGAGCCACTGCACCTAGCCAATGAGGTTTTAACATGTAAAAATTGCTGTACTATATGTCCAACTGAAGAAGTTAGAAAAATTCAACCCCTCATATCTTATACAAAAATCAAGTCAGAATGAAACATAAATCTAAGTATAAAACAAAACTATGCTACTCAGTTATAATAATTGCTATAAATGTATATAAAGAACTCTAGAAGCTTTAGAGTAAGAAAGTAACCCCAATTAAAAACTGAGCAAAGTACTTGAAGAGACATCTCACCAATGGGAATACACGAACGATACTAAGCACATGGGTCGCTAGGGAAATTCAAATTAAAACCACCGTGTAATACCACTACACATCTATTAGAATGTGTAACATAAAAACACCTGACAATACCAAGTGCTGATAAGTATGTGAGGCAACTGGAACTCTCAATTGTTGGTGGGCATGCTAATGATATAGACACTCTGGAAAAAAGTTTAACAGTTTCTTACAAAGTTAAACATACATTTGCCACATGATGCAGCTGTTCCACTTCTGGGTATTCAACCTGGAGGAATGAAAGCTCGTGTTCACATGAAAACCTATATATGAATGTTGACTGGGCGCGATGGCTCACGCCTGTAATCCCAGAACTTTGAGAGGCCAAGGCGTGCGGATCACGAAGTCAGGAGATTGAGACCATCCTGGCCAACATGGTGAAACCCCGTCTCTACTAAAAATACAAAAATTAGCCAGGCATGGTGGCACGCACCTGTAGTCCCAGCTACTCGGGAGCCTGAGGCAGGAGAATTGCTTGAATCCGGGAGGCGGAGGTTGCAGTGAGCCGAGATCACGCCACTGTACTCCAGCCTGCCAATAGAGTGAGACTCTGTCTAAAAAAAAAAAAAATGTTTATAGCAACTCCATTTACTATTACCAAAAACTGAAAAAAACACCCCAAATGTTCTTGAATCAATGAAAAGTTAAAGTATAGTATATCCATAACATAAGATACTATTTGTAACAATAAAAAGAATCATTCATACACACAATAATGTGGATAAGTCTCAAACGCATGCTGAGTGCAAGAAGCTAGCCTCAAAATATTACACATCGCATCATTCCATTTGCCTAACTTTCTTAAGAGATAAAACTATAGTGATAGAGAACAGATCAATAGTTGCTTTGGGTGGTGGCAGAAAGTGCCTACAAAGGGGTAGCAAAAGAAAGATTTGGTGGATTATGAAACTATTCTGTATCTTGACTGTGGTGGTTGCACAAATATATCCATGTATCTATCCATGTGTTAAAATTCTACTCTGTTAATTTTTTTTTTTTTTTTTTTTTGAGACAGAGTCCTCTATCACCCAGGCTGGAGTGCAGTGAGGAGATCTTGGCTCACTGAAACTTCTGCCTCCCAGGTTCAAGCAAGTCTCGTGCCTCAGCCTCCCAAGAAGCTGGGGATTACAGGCATGCACCACCACTCCCAGCTAATTTTTGTATATTTAGTAGAGACGGGGTTTTGCCATGTTGGCCAGGCTGGTCTCAAGCAATGTGCTTGCCTCAGCCTCCCAAAGTGCTGGGATTACAGGCGTGAGCCACCACACCCTGCCAACAGTATGCTAATTTTTAAAAATAATGTTGAAAATAAAATAAAACAAAAATTACTTCTTTAATGAGGAAATTTGAAACAAAATGATCAAGACGTAAAGAAAGTATGTAAAAAAGAAAAACAATGCTGAAAGGAAACATAATTCCAGGTGTTGCAAAGACTTGTACTCTAGTAAGAGAACATTCTAAATATCTTTATATCAATGCATTTGAGAGCTTCGGTGAAATGGACACTTTTGAAGAAAAATATATACAACCTAAACGGACTAAAAGGTTTTTTTGGAAAAATATCTAAAAGAAGTGAAGCAGGCCGGGCGTGGTGGCTCACACCTGTAATCTCAGCACTTTGGGAGGCCGAGGTGGGCTGATCACCTGAGGTTAGCAGTTCGAGACCAGCCTGGCCAACATGGTGAAACCCCGTCTCTACTAAAAATACAAAAATTAGCCAGCATGGTGGGGCACGCCCGTAAAACCAGCTACTTGGGAGGCTGAGGCAGGCGAATCTCTTGTACCCAGGAGGTGGAGGTTGCGGTGAGCTGGGATCGCGTCACTGCACTCTAGCTCTGGTGACAGAGCAGACAGAGTAAGACTCTGTCTCAAAAAAAAAAAAAAAAAGTGAGGCAGTAATTTACAGTAATACTACAAGGAAAGCAACAGGCCCAGAGTTATAGGTAAATTTTCTCAAATAACATAGGCAATAAGTAATTCCAATCTTATTGAAATTATTTCAGTGATAATAAAATGGGGAAAGTACTTTTGTACATTTACCCTAAACTTGATACCAAAGCTGAGAAGGACACATGAAGAAGGAAAGTTGAAGATTAATGTCCAGCCTGGGCAACACAGTTAGACCCCATCTCTATAAAAATAAAAAAAAATAACCAGGCATTGTGGCACATGCCTGTGGTCCAAGCTACTTGGGAGGCTGATGCAGGAGGATGGCTTGAGCCCAGGAGTTTGAGTCTGCAGTGAGCTGTGATTGCACCACTGCACTCCAGGCTGGGCAACAGAGTGAGACCCTTTCTCGATAATGTATAGATATGTATAATATGCATTATAATTAAGTTGGGTTTATTTTAGAGATGCAACATTGGCTCAACATTTAAGTTATTAATGTGATTTATCATATTAACAAATTAAAGAAGGAAAAACACATAATTATCCCATTAGATAACAAAAAATTGATAATTTAAGTATCTATTCATGAGAAAAATCTATTGACTGCCTGGGAAAATAGAAATGAATATACTTAAGATAAAAGACATGTACAAAAATACCTGTAATAAACATCATATTTAATGGAAAAGGTTCAAATAATTTTTAAAAGTTAATTTTTTAACTAAAAACTTTTAAAATTCACAAATGTCCAATATCATGTCTTCTATTAATTATCGCAATGCAAATCCTAGCCATGTCAAAAAGACAAGCAAAAAAGTTAGAAAAATGGACAAAAGTGAATTTTTGTCTGCCTGTACACAGAAAAAAAGTATAATTATCAGAAAAAAAGTATAATGTCAAAATTATCAGAAAAAAGTATAATGTCAAAAGATAACACTTAAAATAGTAATAATAATGCTGAGTACTTAAGGAATGAAGTTCCCATATAACCTAATCATTGATACAACACAAAAATTTACATTCACCACATGCAAGAAAGAGGAGCCCAAGAAATGAGGAGAGGCACCATGTTTATAATGGTAGACGCAGTGTCATGAAGAGGGTCATCCTTTCCCGAAACTGCTCTGTGAATTCAGTACAATGGCAATTTTAAATTACTTATAAGATATTTTGATTGTTTTAAATCTGTCAGTTTGATTCTGAAATTTATGTAGAAAAGCAAAGGGCAAAAATAACCATGCAATTTCTGGAGAGAAGGATAGGCTGTGAAGACTTGCCTTCTGAAGTAGCAAGAGTTATTTTTCATGTGTAGTAAGTAAAAGGGTGAAATTGGTGCAAAGATGAATAAATGGACTAATTAAAAAAACAGAAGCTGAAAAGCTGAGTCACACAAGTATAGCAAGAGAAGAATGAGCTAATCAATAAATGAAGCCGAGACCTCCTCAAGACATGATTGTGCTCTATTGTGGAGAAATAAGCATCATGGTAGGTGAAATAAAATGGATATTTGTCTGACACTGTACAACAAAAGCCAATTTCAGGTTCATTAAACACTTGCATGTAAAAGTCAGTTTTAAAACTTTTAAGAAAGCCATAGAATTTCTTAAAAGCCTTTATCATACAGGAAAAATTTTCTTAAAGAAGAGACTAGGTTTTAAACCATAAACTATAAAGATTGATACATTTTACTGCAATAAATAACTGATTTTTATTAAAAGAGCTAATAACGAAATGACATAAGGCAAACAGAAATTTTGTAACAGATAATGGATGTATTTTATACATCAATTACATAAACAGAGATAAAGCATATTTACAGAAATTCTATAAATCAAATGTGAAAAAAAAACAACACCTCACTAAAGCATCTATGTTTGACCCAATGGCATAGAGGCTTACCAAAATACCTAGAGACCATGTTCATAGATTTTAGATAATGATTTAATAGTTCACTTAAAAAATAAAAAAATTGTGAAATGCTGACTTAGAATGATAAAGTCTCATAGATCCCAATTTCCCAATTTTTTTTAAGTATGTTATTTACAACCACTTCCTTTGTCTTTTGAAGCAACAATATCGTTTCACTGAAAAGCAGCATCATTAATCTCCTTTTTCTGAACTAACAGCTTTAAATAGTTAGGAATATATGAATATCCTGTATCCTCTTTTAGAATAACTTTATTTTGGTTATTTACTTATTTATTCATTTGTATAAGAAATTCATCATTAACAGCAAGAGCCAAGAAGAAAGGGTAATAAAATCAATGTCCTTATAAAAAGCAACGAAAACTATAAAATACTAATAGTAAATACAAAAATGTTCAAAACTTAAAACTTACAAGATCATATAGAACAGTTTTTAAAAATTGAGATGTCATCCATGCTTCAGAATAGTTTTGAAAGTAGGGATATTAAACTTTCCTAAAATAATCTATATACTTATTAAAAGGCCAATAAAAGTATCCCAACAGGATTTTAAAATAAAATGCAATAGCTCATTCTAATATCATCTAGCAAGACACTACCTGTGAATAGATAGGACAAGTTTTAAAATTAGGCGTTATTTTACCTATTTTTAGGCATTGTTTTTCCTATTTTTAGTGTACAAAGGTCTGTTTTGTCTAATTCAACCTTGCTAATTACCTCTTTTTTTTTTTTTTTTTTTTTGAGACAGAGTCTTGCTCTGTCACCCAGGCTGGAGTGCAGTGGGGCAATCTTGGCTCACTGTAACCTCCGCCTCCCAGGTTCAAGGGATTCCTGCCTCAGCCTCCTGAGGAACTGGGATTACAGGCACGGGCCACAAGGCCTGGCTAATTTTTGTGTTTTTACTAGAGAGGGGGTTTGCCATGTTGGCCAGGCTAGTCTCAAACTCCTGACCTCAAGTGACCCACCTGCCTTGGCCTCCCAAAGTGTTGGGATTACAGGCGTGAGCCACCGCACCCAGCCTATATCAGTTCTTTACATCCTCATTTATTTTTGATGACTTCATATCCCAAAAGCTGAGACAGGAGCTCTAAAAATCTTTGTCAACATTTAAGTTTCTATAAATTCTTCCTTGTATATCTCACAGATTTTGACTTACAGTCTTTGATTCTTTGTTACTAAAGGCAAAGTTTCAGGAGTTAACTGCATCTTTTTACCAACTACTTTTTGTGTTTGTCCTATTTAATCCCCCTTATGTTGCTCAGATAAAATCTTTTAGTGCATATCTCCATTATATTTTATAGACTTTTTTAAAGATTTTGTAAACCAGATTTATTAGTCAACTTGATCTCTCCTTTTCAAATGTTTCTATTTTAGGTTTGAACAGACTGGAACATGTTTAATATTTAAATTTTTTAAATACATTTCTCCAATTCTTCATCAGTATGTTTCTTCAGTTAGGGACCACTATTTATAAATCCTGGCTTTATTGTTTTTATTGTGACTTGTACTTATTTGAAGGAAGACATTTATTTAAAGTTTTCAAATACATTAGACAAAAGTAATGGAATTTTCTTTTTAATATGGGTTGCTTTATTTACTTTCTCATTTCTACTTTACCAATAAACAGTTTATTCACAAGCAAGTTGTTTTCCATTAGTGTTTAGAAAGAATGAATTCCTAAATATATTCATTAATTTTATTGTTCTGATGTCTTTTATTTATTTGTTCTGGTCTTTCTCCTTTATTAAATCTTTCGTTCTATTTAGCTTTGGGGTTTTTTCCATTTTTTTTCTTAGGATTTTAAATAGATACTTAATTCCTTTATTTTTCTCCGTATTTTTCATTCCTTCTTTTTTGAAAATAAACAACCTGAAGATTTTTGCTCTGGTAATTTCTCCTAAGTTTTTATGTGTAAGCTTTAAATTTAAATTATTAAAAAAGAATACTGAGTTGTTGTGTTCTCTCTAACCTCATTTGATCCTGTTGCCCTTTAGGACACATTTGTTTGTTTCAACATAAGTGAAGATTTAGAAAATATTTTCATTATATGCATTATGTATTGCTTTTATTATGTATCTATATTACATAATCCATCGCTAGACAAAATATATGTTTTTAAAAAATTTACTCAGACTTTATCGTGGCCTAACATACTATAGGTCTTTGTAAATAAGACGTTGACACTGGGAAAAAAGTCAGACGCTGTGTTTTGTGATCTAGAATTAGGTGTAAATTTAAGTATTTTGTTTATAATCAATATGCCTTTATTTTTATTTATGCATTGAAAATAAATTACTAGCGGTCTCCTTCAGAGAGGAGAAGCTAATATTTTGTTTCTAATGTTAAAGACCCATGCTTCTTCCCTCACAGGTGGAACAAATCATTTTGTGTATTTTTGTGTTTCACAGCTAGAGAGCAAATGCTCCCAGTCAGCCATGGCCCTCCCATGTCCTGGGGGCTGGAGGATTTTGCAGAGATTTCTGTGGGTTAACTGTGGAGTCTGTACATTTCTTCCTGTGGCTTTTGAAGCTTCCACCAAAGGTTTCTATGTTGGAGCCCAGCACAGAGGGAAGGAGCCACCAGCACATTTCATCGCCGTCTCAGTAACAGCGCCCCCAGAAGGCCTGCCTGCATGCTGCACCCTGTGGGTTGACTTGTCAGAAGTCTTTTTTGGTCCATTGAGATGGTCACGTGATTTCATTTTTTATTCTATGAGTATAATGTGTTACATTAATTGATGTTTAGATGTTAAGTGAAACTTGCCCTCCCAGGATAAATCTTACTTGGTCATGGTGTATAATTCTTTTTGTAGGTTGTTAGATTCAATTTGGTAGCATTTTTTTTGAGGATTTTTGAGTTCATATTAATACAATATGTTAGTCTTTAGTATTTTTTTCTTTTCATATCTTTATCTGGTTTCAGTATCAAGGCAAAAATACTGTCATCATGAAATGAGTTGGGAAGTGTTCTCTCTCATATTTTTTTGGAAGAGTTTGTGAAGAATTGGTATTAATTTTTCCTTAAGTGTTTGGTTGAATTCAAAAGAGAAGTCATCTGGGCCTATGTTTTTCTTTGTGGGGAGTTATTTGACCATGAAATTAATCCCTACACAAGTTGTAGGTCTATTCAGATTGTCTATTTCTTCTTGAATCAGTTTCAATGGTTTATATTTTTCTAGGAATTTTTCCATTTGAGCCAAATGATCTATTTTTTCTTTTTCTTTTTGAGACAGGGTCTCATTCTGTTGCCCAAGCTGAAGCGCAGTGGCACAATCATAGTTCACTGCAGCCTTAACCTGCCAGGCTTAAGCAATCCTTCTACCTCAGTCTCCCAAGTAGCTGTGACTACAAATGCACACTACTACACCCAGCTAATGTTTTATTTTTTCTTTTTGTACAGATGGGATCGGGCTATGTTTCTCAGGCTGGTCTCAAACTCCTGAGCTCAAGTGATCCTCCTACCTTGGCCTCTCAAAGTGTTGGGATTTCTGATGTGAGCCATCACACTCAGCCCCAAATGTTCTAATTTTTTGTTGTACGATTTTTCGTAGTATTCATTTATAATGCTTTTTGTTTCTATAAGGTTGATAGTGATGTCACTTCTTTCATTTTTGATTCTAGTAATTTTAGTGTCTTTTTTTCTTTGTTAATCTGACTAAAAGGTTAATCTAGCCTCTTTTTTCTTAATATAAGCATTTGCGGCCATAAATTTTACTCTAAATAATTTAGCTGTATCTTGTAAGCTTTTATATGTTATGCCTTCATTTTCATTCATCTCTAAATATTTTCTGATTTTCTTAGTGTTTTCTTCTTTCACCCGTTGAGAATGTTCCTTCATTTCTACATATTTGCAAGTTTTCTTAAGGTTTTTCCTGCTATTGATTTTAATGTCATTTCATTATGGTTGGAGAACATACTTTATTTCTATTCTTTTAAATTTATTCAGGGCTGTTTTATGTTCTAGCATATAGTCTATTCTGGAGATTGTTCCATGTATACTTGAGAAAAACATGTATTCTTTTGTTCTTGATGGAATATTCTGTCTGTTGGGTATAGTTTATAGAGTTGTTTGTCATCTGTTGCCTTGTTGATCTTATGTCTGTTTGTTCTGTTCCTTACTGAAAGTGATCCTTTAGTGAATGCTCCAAATATTATTGTCAAATTGTATATTTCTCCCTATATTTCTGTCAGTTTTTGCTTCATATATTTTGATGCTCTGTTATTAGCTGCATACATGCTTATAATTGTTATATCTTCTTGATGAATTGGCCCTTTTTTCAAATGCTCCTCTTTATCTCCACTAACGTTTTTTTAAAGTCTATTTTATCTGATATTGGTGTAGCTTTTTTTATGATTGCTATTAGTGTGATATATCTTCTTCATCCTCTTACTTTCAATCTATTTGTGTCTTTGTGCCTACTGTGTCTCCTGTGGAGAGCATACAGTGGGACTATGTTTATTCATTTACTGCAACAATATCTGCCTTTTTGATTGGATGGTTTAATTCATTCACATTTAATGTTACTGTTAACATAGTAACATTATGCTAACATTAACTAGCTGAACTATGTCTGCTATTTTTCTTTTTGCTTTTCATGTCTCATATCTTTTTTGTTCCTGTATTTCTTTTTTGCTGCTTTCTTTTTTAAGTGGATATTTATAAACTAGCATTTCAATTTCTTTAATGATTTTTTTCATGATATACTCTTCTTTTGAGTTATATGTTAGTGACGCTCTAAGATTTACTGTATACATCCTAACTTTGTAACATCAACTTCAGGTTTATACTAGCTTAATTCCAGTAATATGTAAAAAATGTTACTCCTATATAGTTTCTTTTCCTGTTGTTGTGGTGCTTTTATTATATCTATTAATATTACAAACTCAACAATACATATTTATAATTATTACTTTACTATCTGCAGTCATTTTCTTAGCCCAGTGGAGCTTTGCTGTCACTCATGTCCTTTGTGATGTTATTGGCAAATATACTACACATATTTTACATTTTTCTATGTCATATCTTAACATTATATTATATACATATTATTTTATATAATTGCTTTTAGATTAATATAAAAAGAAAACATGCATCTAAAATACTTTTTTACAATTACACAATTACTTTTGCAAGTGTATCTGTTTTTTTTTAAATATAGATTCAAATTACCATCTATGGTCACTTGCTTTCAACTTGAAAACCTTGCCTGAGTATTTCTTCTAAGACAAGTCTGCTAGTAACAAATTCTCTCTGGCCTTTTTTTGTTTTTAATTGAGGAAAGTTTTTTGCCATCATTTTTGAAAGATAATTTTGTTGGATATAGGATTCTTGGTTGACAGTTTTTTCTTTGAATCTCTTAAATATGTTATCCCACTGTCTGCCAGACTGTTGTTCCTGCTTGAGGTTCCCTTGTAAACGACTGGTTGTCTCTCTCTCAGTGTTTTAAATTTTCTCTTTGTGTTCTACTTTCAGCACTTTTGCTATGATGTTGTGAGATCTCCTCAAATTTATGCTACTTAGCCTTCGTTGAGCTTTCTCAATGTGTAGGTTATAGTTTTTCAATAAATTTGATACATTTTCTGATATTATTTCTTTGAATATTTTTTCTATCCCTTTTGCTTTTTCTCTGTGATATGACAGTATGTGTTGGTGTCCTTAGTAATATTCTACATTTGTCTGAAGCTCTGTTCACTTTTCTTCATTCTTTTTTCTCTTTGTTCTTTGGCTTGCTTACTCTATCAATTTATCTTTCAGCTCTATAAATCTTTCTTCTGCTAGTTGAAATCTACTGTTGAGTGTCTATAGGGAATTTATTCTTCAGTAATTTTCAACTAAATAATTTTCGCATGATTATTTTTCATAATTTCTATATATTTAGTACTATGCTCTATTATGCTCTGTGATGTGACATTGTCATCATATGTTTCTTTTACTTCTTTAATCATGCTTTCCTTTCATTCTGTGAACGTATTTATAATGACTATCTTGATGTATTTTTGTTAATTATGACATTCTTTGCCTCTCACAGGCAGTTTTTGTGACTACTTTGTTCTCTGGTATATTTTTTTTCTGGTGCATTTTTCCATTTCTTTGAATGCATTGTAATTTTTCTGTTGGAAACTGAATATTTTAAATAATATATTGTACCAATACTTAGGTTTGATTCCCAGCCCCCTGTGAGACTTGTTATTGTTAACAATTTTATGTTTTAGTGACTAGCTGGATTATTTTACTGAAATCTATTTTCCCTACATAGTGTTCAGCATGTGATGTTCTTCCTCAGGTAGACTCAGCTTTTTAGATCACTTACAGTTTGGGGAGGGCCCTCTTTCTCTCTTTCCCTGATCACACCCAGCTGTTTAACTCAACTAATTGCCCTCTGATTGCTCTAGTTCCTTCAACAATATTCTGGGGTATATATTGCTGTATAAACACATCCAATCAAATTCTTGCTCCTTGGAAGGAATAGTTTCAGAGGTTCATGTTTTCTATTTGTTGTGACCCCAAAGGTCCTCTCAGCTGTCTTATTTTCCAGTTCTCTACTGCAAACTACCTGGCCTAATCTCTGGGTGTATCTTCATTAAATCTACAAATTTCCTCTCAATTGCTTTTCAACACAACCTCTACTGTTTTTGCTCTTGAGAGCATCCTTAAGTTTGAACTTCATATTCTCTTGCAAATGAGAACTTTTCTTTTGGATGAGATTAAGAGCTATATGTTTTGTTGCCTGTTCTACCCTCGGGGAAATCTTGGAGCCAGGGAACTGGAGCTGGGGATGGGACAATGGCAAGATTTTCTCTGAGCAACACCCCCAGTCTAGGATCTAAGCAGTTGGTGGGAGGTGGCAACAGCCTGAGTTCCTCTCAGCTTGCTTTTTCCATCACAGGACCATCACCCCATGAACTGGGGCAAGGGTGTTTGAAATACTGGTACTCTCAATGTGCCATGTTTAAGGTAGAGCCTCCATTACATGAGTGGCGGTTGATCTGAACAAAGAAACCACCCCCTCTCAGTTGCACTCACCCAGGACTTAGCCTCAGCAATAGGTAGCTGGGGGCAGAATTACAAATGCTGAAGTCTTGCTCCTTCTTGGAGAAAAGCCCTCTGACTGGGAACTTGGGGTAGTGGTAGCCTGTGTTCTTGACTGTGGCAATCTGTAGTGGTATCTCCACCTCACCGAGTTGGGATAGGGATTTTTGAGGAGTGACAAGTCTTGGTTCACATACCACAGAGTCTTGCTTTTCTTACCAAGTTTTAATATATTTTTAAAGAGAGATGTTTCTTGATTTCCTATTTTCCCTTAAGACCATTTCCAGAGGCTTTAAATGGTTGGTCTTTAAAAATAATTTTCACCAGTCTCACTGGGGCCAGTAGAGCTCCTTACACTGTCATTCTGGAAGTTGATCCCCTTTTCTATTTCTTAATGAAGTTTAAAAGCCTCTTATCATCAGACCCCTCTTCCTTCCTGAGCCTTATTCCTCAACTTAAACTCTGCCCCTCAGTCATAGCTTCCTTTCATTTCCTGAACAAGCCACAGTCTCTTTCACCTCTATATTTTGTTCATGCTATCCCTTCATCCTGGGTGTGACTTTCCTTTCTTCACATGGCTAATATCTACTCCAATACGGAAAAAATTTTGCCAAATCTCCAAATCTGGGATAGATACCTCCTTATGTATTTCCACACCACTCTAATCTTCCTGCCCATATCATTTATTGCACAACAATTGCCCATTTAGGTATACATATCTCTCACTAGATGCTGAAGTCTCTTAAAATGGTGTATTAGTTAGGGATTGAGTTTGGCTGCATGTAACAAGAAACGTAACCAACAGTGGCTAAAACGAAAGAGTTTATTTTTCTCAAGTAATGGGAAATCCAGAGGTGTACTGATACTGGTTCAGCTGTTTGGGAATACCAGGTCTGTGGATCCTGCAATCTTCTTGCCCTTTTCCTTCTGGATACATGATGTGTTTCCAGCTCTAGCCATTATAACTGCGTTCCAAGGAGGAGGAAGATAACAGAAGAAAGAAGACACAATAATTTGTTAAAATAGCAATCAAAATCAGCAGACTTCTGTTTATGTCTCCTTCTTCTGAATAAGTTATAAGACCAACTCTGCCAACTGCAAGAAAGCAGGAAAATGCAAGCTTTTGCTCTGGTTCATAACAGAACTAGAGTTTTGTTGATAAAGAAGAAAAGATAATGGACATCAAGTGGGCAAAAGTAGTCTTTGAAATAAGCAGGGACTATATCCTTCTTGTAAACCACAGTGTTTAGCAGAGAACCTGTCATATAATAAGCACTAAATCAACAATAAATAAATAAATACCATAGGAAAAACAGTGTGATAGACTCATAATGAGGCACCTCCATGTAACATGGAAATATTCACATAGCAGATAGTAGCAGACTGCAAGGGACCTTGTTCATCCCATGCAATAATTCATAACCAGGGTTGAAGTATGGCTGGGATGAAGGATGCACACCAGAATCTTGAGAAAGAGAGCTTTAAAGTATATCCATTCCTCCTGCATGTGCTGATATACTTCCTCCCTGAGACTCACTGATCTGGTACAAGCTACTTGGGCTCTAGATACAAAAACTGAGGCAGTTAAATAACTTCCTCAACCTAAGATTATTGGTGCCTAATGAATGTTGAATATTTTACAATACTATGAAAAGAATTTAAAACAAAACCAGAAGAATACAAATTAATAAATTATAGATTTTAAATTGGGTTTTTTAAAGAGGTAAGTTTAAAATCATCAAATATCACTGGGATATAGATGAAGTTTGCTTTGCATATGTATTTCCTGACATCTTACTTATGAAATGTGACCTTGAGAATCACAGTCTTCCTTGTCATTTGTAAAAGAAGAGAAAATTACAGAAGAACATCTGCATTAAACCCTACCGAAACTTCAATTGAAGGATGGCAGAAGAACAGAGGGTAATTTAAGGCACATGTCTTCATGGTGCAATGGCCTTTTATGTCATTTGAACTAACATCTTTCCTAGTTGAAGTTTACAAATAAATTTTAAATTTAAGAACTCCTTCCAGAAATGACTTCATAATATTCTGTGGATAAGAAAGTTTTCACATCATCTTTCCATCTTTGCCTACTCAATGAATTATTCTTTTTAAGGGTTACATTTTCCATATTTAGTTTTGCATCTGTGTCTTTTGAAGTCCATGGACTATTGTCATCTTGGAGTTGAGTACTGTATGTTTTCAGATAAATTCAGGATTGGCAATCTGTTTTGCTTCCTTTTTAACTGGAAGCATGCTATCACAATTTGCAAATGAATGCCATTCCTCTAAGGTGACAAACCAGGCAAATGAATGGTTTAAATAACCTTGACAGAAGCTCAAAAGTGGATTAAAAATCTCTAAAGGTGGTCTTCCTGCATAGTGAATTCCATTCCTGGTCCTCACCCACATAAAAAAGACTTAAATGACAAATCTTTAAATCTTTTGTCTTGTCTTTTAAAATAGTATGAGTAAGGATAATATATTAGAATGTAACACCTTAGACTTCCTTGAGGGCAGTATGAAGCTTAAACATTCCATTTGACTACATGAGACTAATGCAGAAAGCCACTCAAAGTCATAGGATTTAACCAGTTGGTGCCAGGGACTTAAACTCTAATCTCCTTACTATGCCCCTTGCATTGCTTTGCCAACTCAGGGAGGTTAGTAATATACAAGGATGTGGCAAAGACTGCTAGCTTCATCTCAATGGATTTTTATACTCTTTTTCCATAGTAGTAGAATGCATTTTCCAGTCTCCCTGGTAACTGGCTGGCTATGGCTATGTAACCAAGTTCTCACCAATGGAATTAAGAAAAATAGTTGCAAGGCAGTTTTGGGAAACCTCCTGAAGAAACTTCAGGCAAATAACTGTCAAGCTGCCGGTCAAGATGTTCAAGTCATACTGAAAATAATAGTCAAAGCTCCATTCACTTACTGCTGCAGTGCAGGCAAGTATAAGCAAAGGGCCCCAGTTCCCTAGCATTCCATTTTTCTCTGTGGAATGGCAGCAAGAGAGGGCAGATGACATGCAGTACACATGGGAAGAATTGTCTCACTGAGAAGAGCCACTAATAAATGGCTTCTGCATTTTATGAACCTAGGAGACCAGAGGAAGGAAAGGGGGTAGAACTGGGAGTTGAGAAATACTGAGTCATTGCGGGCAAAATTGCCTCAGCCAAACCAGCTGAAAAGGAGGTCTTGGGACAACATCTGAGGACCCCAATAAAGAGGCCTCTCAATGGAGGCACCTAGGCCAGGAATATGAGCATATGAGCTTCTGAGCATATGAATATGGCTTGTCCAGGCAGGGTTGGGGGAGCAGCTGAATCTGACTGCAACTCCTTCCAGAGAACTGGAATGTACTTGCTGTGCACCAAGTCTGATGTGAGGAGGGCAGCCTTCTCCTATGAGGCCTCCCAGGTAAAGTCTTGCAAATGCTTATGGTTGGGACCAAGCCTTGCAAATGCTTATGGTTGTTGCCTAGAGCTGGACTCCTTGATGACAATTGTTTATTTTTCTAATCCCACTGCTATGAATGTGGCTCTAGTTCACATCTTAGATGATGATGATGAGAACCATATACTAAAGATGGCAGAAAGGTGAGCTGGAAGAATCCTGGATCCCTGAAGACTTTGTGGAGCAGAATCACCATACCAGCCCTGGACTCTTCCTGGACTAGCCTTAGGTCTCCTCATCTTCTATGTGACCAAAAAACACAAATTTCTAACTTTCTTCTAGTTGTTGTTGAACTTAGCGCTAATTAATACATATTACACGTTTTTCAAAGCAGCTTCTGAAAAGTGTGCATATTATCCACTTTTTGTTTGTTAATTAACAAATGTCTCTGGGTTTTGTGGCTGGGGGTGATAGTCATACAGTAAACATTTTATCTACCTGGGAAGAATCATTCACTTTGTGCCTTTTTTTTGGGGCTAACCCAGTTAGTGTAGAGGAAAATGAAATGTGCACCATTGGGTCTTTTCTGGTTTAGCGCTTCCTTTAAACTCACAGTTTTATTTTACAGTTTTCATCAGTCCTCTGATGGTGTTCCTTCCCTTCTTGCCCCAGTTTTGTTTTATGAGTTTCTGAAAATTACCTCTGTCCAGATGACATTCTGCATTCTCTCTCCACCCATTCTTAGTTTCTAGCAAACAACTCTTCAACTTTGATGACCTACCCTTCAATTATGGTTGGATGGACCACTTTTCTTCCATTGACAGCTGTTTCTGGTTAGGAAAATACATCCTGGAATTAAATCCTTTCTCTGTACTCTATGCCTGTCAGTAGGACATGTGCCAACTCTGTATAGGATTCCCTTGATAAATTATCTGTTCTGACAGTGCTTTTTCTTCAGGAGAGGAAAGTCTGCACAATCCCAGTTTATTCCATAATGCCTCTTCCTAGGAGACAGCCAAATGTCTCACGCTTACTGCTACTAAAGGACCTTGATTCATGCCTAGACAGGAACCTGTCTCCTAAATGACTCTTATTCAGAAAATGTGTAGTAACAGGGTGGTGGATATTAGGGGCAGGCCATGTAACTGTAATGCAAGTTTCAATGCTTAGCTCTTTGCCTGTCTTGTCTACTTAATAACCAGAGATCAGATGATTGCTACTATTTTCCCTTCTAAGAGGAAATAAGGTCTATATATTTTCCTGGTTCTAAAACATTTGGTTCCTGGCTAATTCCAATCATAATTTAGCTGTTTCCCTCAAACAGTGAGGGTCTGGGGCAAGATTGTCATTAGGGAGCCTGTATTATGGGCAAACAACACCCACTGAAGAAACAAGTTAAAGCACTAATCAAGATATCAGTGATAGAGATTTTTTTCTGGCATTTTGAGACTTTATTGTTATTTATATCTCAGGAGTTTGTCAACAGATGATAAATGTTTGATGCAGAAATTCTTATTGAACCTACTATAAGTGAGACACTAAATCCTGGGG
This sequence comes from Homo sapiens, assembly GCF_000001405.40. NCBI lineage: Eukaryota > Metazoa > Chordata > Mammalia > Primates > Hominidae > Homo > Homo sapiens. The sequence goes on along the minus strand of NC_000007.14, from coordinate 41,590,620 downwards.
TTATGATAGCTAACTAGAAATTCAAGATGTTTCAGTGGAGACAGACAAGAAACAAGTACATCAGTCAAATGTGGCAAGCCCTGAATGACTTCTGCGCAAGAGTGCTGGGGGCTGAGTAGTACTGAAAGGTCAGGCAAGGCTTCCCCAAGGAGACTCTTCTTTCAACAGATTAACTGCCTACCTTAATGCAAAGACTATTTTTCAGGGTCTTAATTTTGTCAATCAACAACAATCAATAGTCTCATATACTTCAAATTTAGCTGTTCTCTACTATATGCTAGGGATTCTTCTTAGCACTTTGGAGTTTATTTCATCATTAAACTGTGCAATCAGTGAAGCAAGTAAAATATGGCTTTCTTTTGAAAAGAAATACTTGCTAGGTATTTCATCTAGTGCGAGTGATGAAGAATAACCTAAGTGAAATTTTGCACTGATAGGAAGATAACTCCATATTACTCATACCTTATGGATGTCTAGGCAGGCTAAGGGTATGGGTTATAGGTGAAGGTAGCACATAATTTAATGTTCAAGCCAGAACTCTTTGAGAACTGAAAGACAGTGCCATTAAAAATAGTTATACCAGGATAACTGGTGAAGTGCAAAACAAACTTGTCCCAGCTTGGAGGCCTTTGTAAATCTTGTAAATCCTAAAGTCCTTTCCATACACTCCAAGTGTGAAGGAAACATCTTTAGAGTTATTTATGCCACAACAAAAAATATATGAGAGAGAACACCAGACAAAGAGACAGTAGAACCATTTTCTTCTCTTGGAATCATCTGTACTAGCAGAAAATTGTGAGCTTATATTGAGGAGCTTTCTACTCTAAGGTTGCTCTCCATTCTAATTTTAGAAGCATAGAAAGGTAGACTTCCAGACTAATAAGACCTTGCAGTCAGTGGTCCAATGCCCTTAAGCATCACTTATGGCATTACTTCTTTGATGTCTACCTCCTGAAAGCCCATTATAAGCTCCTGGAGGACAGAATTCTGTCTGTATCAACTGTACCAAACAGGGTCTGGCATGTGGTGTGTGCTCAATGTTGGTTGAATTGGGGAGGAAATTATGATAAGCCCAAGGGAATGAATTTAGGCAGATAGAGAGTCAAGAGGTGGGTGTAATAGAGAGGGACAGAGGAAAGTTTCCAGGGTTCTCTCACATTGAAACATATCCTACTTCAAAAATGGTCAACAGTGATAGTCCTGCACAGTTACTGGGGCCATCTTACTCCATCTCTGAGACCAGTCCCACCACATTTGTAATCTAGAATAGGAGTCAGCAGACTTTTTCAGGAAAGGCAAGGTAGTAAATATTTTTGGTTTTGTAGGACATGCTGTCTTTGTGACAACTATTCAACACTTCAGCTTTTGTAGCATGAAAGCTAGTATAGAAAATAGGTAAACGAAAGAGGACAGCTAGGTTCCAATAAGCTTTATTTACAAGACCCGTCGCTGGGCTGGATTTGATCCCTGGGCTGTGGTTTGTTGACCTCTAATCTAGAACTAAAAGGGAGTGTGCAGATGACAACAACCTGAGGGTTATTCTGCCTACCTTCCCCAATTCTGGCCTACAAGAGAGCTGCCTGGAAGGTAAACCTTTGGCAAAATGCAAAGATAAGTAAATCATAATTTCAGTCTCTCTATTCCAAAGAAGTGCGCCAAGTCCTCTGAGATACTAAGCCTGGGAATGGCTATGCATTTTTATTACTTTATCTTTCTGAGAGTTTTGAGATGTGTTGCTGTTTTAGAATTTTGCCTCATAAGTTGTTACTGTGGTTTTGATAGATTGTGTCTATCAAACTTTCATTCCTACAGAGTAGGTTAGGGCTAATGTGACAGCACAGGAAGACCCAGCTGAGCAATTCCCATCCTCCTCATAGCAGAAGAAGAGCGTTGGACAGGAGGAAAGTCACTACCTCTACTGAAGGCTTACCCAGTATAAGAGATTACACTGCGTCTTGGTCAGCTCGGGCTGTTATAACAGCTCAGGCTATAGACTAGGTGGCTTAAACAGCAGACATTTATTTCTCACGGAACCGGAGGCTGGCAAGTTCAAGATCAAGGCACCAGCAAATTTGTGTTTTGGTGAGGACTTCCTGTCTGGCAAATAGCTCCCTTCCTCTTTTTATAAGGAGGCCCCACCTCCTAATACCATCACATTGGGAGTTGGGGGGCTTCAACATATGAATTTGGTGGGGACATGCTTAGTCCATATCACATTGGTAGCACACAAACCTTATAAAGTAATGTACAGGGAGCAAGAAGCATTTTATTACAGAGTTTTTTTTTAAAAAAATAATTAAAATTAGATTCCCAGGCTTCACCCCCCTCGCATGGTAGAGAAATTCATTGTCAGTCATTACTGTGGTTATTCTCTGTAGTAAAAGGCACCTCCAGCCCTTAGTCATCAGGTCACACAGATTGCTGCTGAGACCCCCAATTCCTGCAGATATGGGCTTTGAGCAATGTGCTTGGAGTCCAGAAACGTTCAGGTAACCTGTGAGCCCTTCTGTCTTTTGTACAGACTTCCTTTGGGCATCCTCTGAGGTCTTTTCACCACCCCAGGTCACTGCTACACAAAAGTCTATGAATTTCTCTTTCATTGTGCAGCCTCCAGCCTTTCTGTCTTCAGTCTCTACCTCTGTCTTTAGCGTGCCCCTCTTCTCTCCTGCAGTGATAGCTCATCTGTGAATTTAGGTGATGAAAATGGGCAGGAGGCATGTTTCTACAAAGACAAAGAGTTCTCCTTCATGCAATGAAAAGTCCTTGACTTAAGGAAAACCAAAGATTGGACCATGTGTGAGTGTGTGCATGTGCGGGGGGAAGGAGATGCGGAGGGAAAATGCAAATTAACATGCTGCCAAATTAACCTACCACACATTGTTTGTTTGATGTAATGACCATGGAAAAGATGTAGATGTAATCATTCCTGGAAAAGACGTTAGATGAGGAATCTGCAGCTTAAAGGGGTTAAACAACTTCTGGAGGTCACAAGACCTCTTAGCAGACTTGACCTTGGATTTGTGTGTCTTCAGAACCCTAGCTTCTTCCACTAGGCTACAGTGCCTTCCCACTAATTCTTTGGTCTCTTGCTAAAGCAGCCTGGCTTCCCAAGGGAAATTTCCTTATTCTGTGTTTGAATAATCTTAGCTTCTAGTGGCTTAGGCTGTCAGCAGCAAAGATCTTCTCTTCCCTTACATCTAGATATAAACCTGATCCCAGGGGTAATTCCTGGCAGAGAAAGCTGGCTGTTGTGGTCATGGATTGGACCAGAAGGAAATACTTCAATTCGTATACGAAATTCATCAGCTGTTAAGTATCTCCAAATTTTCCTCTAATAGTCTCATTAGGGATCTGGAACCTGTCTTCAAAAAAACAGCATCATTCACCATTGGCTTTTTGAGGGATTAGCATACACATAGAATAGAAATTACAGCCAAGTGTGGTTATATTCTTCATTTAAGGAGGAAAGAAATAAATCAAGCCCTAGGTCTGTTTTCTTAAGATAAGGGAAACTATAAGAATTGGGTTAGTTCCTAGATGGTGGGTTGATAGGTGCAGCAAACCACCATGGCACCCGTATACCTATGTAACAAACCTACATGTTCTGCAGTTGCATCTGAAACCTGAAGTAAAATTAAAACAATAAAAAAAAAAGAATTGGACTTGTTTACTCATTTTTTTTCCTGTATGGATCCACATTCAATGTTTACATTATCATAACAATTCAGAGCAAAGTCAAATCACATTTAAACTATATCTTCCACATATTCCAGGAAGAGTGTAACATATGCACTAAGACATGAAAATGAGAGAATGAACAGAATATTCAGAATATTTTGTCTGGTAAGCTTCTAGCTAAAGCTTTGTAGGTATGGGGATATAGTTGGAAGAGTAGATTGCAGTCTTATTTTGCAAGACTATGCTTTTCATTTCCTAAATAGTGGAGATCCATTGATAGATTCTGAATGGAGAGTGACAAGATTGATTTTATGTTTTATAAGAAATAAATAATAATAATTATAAATAAAATATCTGGTAAAAACATATAGGTGGGGTAGAACAGAAAATTGAAGTTAAGCAAACTAGTCAGGAGTATTCGCATTAGTCCCGGTGAGACAGGAAAAGAGCCTACCGGATACTTTGTACTCACAATACATTTCATGTATCTCTGTATTTTCCAGACTTTCTTGAAGTTAGGTTAGATCATGTTCTCACCAATGGTCTGCCACTTCTAACTTGTGTCACTTTACTTGAGGAAGCAAAGAGCTGTTCTGTCTTCTCTTCTGTCTCTTCTCTTTCATCTGAGATCATAGAAGCCTCTGTTGATGTAGCAGAGTCACAAGATGAACACAGAATGGATCTTGAGTTACTACATGGAGGAGGGCATGGAGGAGTGATCTGGAGATCACTCAACCTGCATCAAGTTTGGGTGAGTCCATAACAACAAGCCTTTGTTATTTTCAGCCATGTAGAGTTCCGAGTTTGACAGCTATAACAGCAGTGTTAATTATCCTGATGAATACAAAGGACCTAAACCAAGACAGCAGGTTTTGGAAAGAGAAAAAATATTTAAGAGGTGAACACTACAGGACACAGAGACTGGAGTTGAGTGTCAGAAACAGAGAGAAGTGAATGATGACCCTGAGCTCTTAGCCTGAGAGGATGGCAATGCCATTGACCAAGACAGATGGGGAGGAAGGAGGGAAAAGTAGGTGTTGAGTTTTAAATGCCTGAAGAACATCCAAGGGGAGGTTTCCAGCTGGCAGTAGAAAATATATGTCTGGCACTTAGGAGAAAGATCACTGCTGGAGATAGGCTTGGGAACCATCCTCCTTGAGCAAGTAGAGTGAGAAAAGAAGAGGGCTGAAAAGGAAGGATCTAAGGGTAAGATGTGAGAAAAGCAAAACTTCCCAAGCAAGGAGATGAATAGAGAAGAATGGAAAATCAGGAGGATGTAGTGGCAATGCCAGGGGAGGAAGGAATTTCAACATGAAGCTGGTCTTCAATGGGATGTGCCATAAGCAGTACCTTCTACAAGGTAAGTACCAGCTGGAAATAAGCTGGCCAGTATTAGCATCTGCTTCATGATGGATGTGAATCCACTTGTTGGAATACAAAGCTTGATATTAAAAATAAAGATTAAGGTGACACATGGTTATGGGAAATACAGTTACTTGTTCTCTTTCTTCAAATCTTCTTGCCCAGACATTACAAACAAATATTTCTTAGTTAAAGCTATGATTTTTGTGTAAGAAAAACACTTGAAACTGTCATCACAAGCATCTTTATCAATGAATATTGAAGCTACACATAATTTCAGAGGCAGTTTCTGCTACTTGGAAGTCTTATTTTAGTCCCAGAAATGGATCACATGGAAGGAATGACCAAAATGATACAAGTGCCTGGCGGAGGGCAAGTGCCAAAAGGATGATTTAAGCAATAAATAGCTCCATAACTCTAGGCTAAAGACTGGGGCAAATGGAAGACGTCTTCCTAGAAGAAAGGATACTGCACTGGAAGTTGAGAAAACAAAGGGAAAATGAAGACGAGGAAGACGTAAAACAAAGGGGAGCCTCAGAGAAGGCAAAGACATGGACGAGGCAAAAGTTTGTATGTGACATGTAGTGACTAAGTCATCTGCATTGCACAACACTATGAAGTGATACTCAAATGGTGGCTCATACAGACAGTTCCGTCTGGAATTGCTCAACAATTCAGTGGTTCAGAACATACATCTACACAAAATCTAGAAATGGGCTGGAGATGAAGCTAGATAGGTAGACAGGGGCCATGTTGTAAAAAGACTTGAATGCTGGTATGAAGGCATTCCTATTGAACTTCAACACTTAGACATTTTTGAATGGAGAAATAAAGTGGGAAGAATTGTGTTGAAGATATTCTCCTAGAAGAAGTGTATAGGGTAGGTCAAAAGAATAGAGGTAGGGTGAAAAACTAAAAGACCATTGCCAGTGTCCAGATTTTAGGTGGTGAAGTTCTTATTTTCCAGTTGTAATATCAAGCATGGGAAGTGAGCAGCTCAGTGGCTCATGGGCTATCTATCTACGGTCAAAACTCAAAATATTGAGTCAGCAGGTAGAGAAGTTCAGATTTGGCCATCATTTGGGTAGAAATATGATGAATTTTGCTTTGGAAATTCTGATTTTGGAAAGATAGGACATCTAGTAGGAGACATCCGGTTGGAAGTTTGAGATGTGGGACTGGAATATGTGTTTGCTTGTGGGTATGGGTGGAATGCAGAGGAGTGAAGGGATACTCCAAATAATGAGAAATCAGAAAAAGAAAAGCAGAAAGTGGAAGATTCAGTCCTATGGTGTTACTGTGTTTGAGAGTTAGAGAGGGCAGTGCTGCTGAGAGTGGGGTTTGCCCAAAGGCAAAGACCCACAAGGGGTAGACTTCAAGGGTTTTATGTAGGGGTGAGCGGCCACACTACCAAAGTACCAGAAAATAACACTGGGAGATAATCTCCTGAATTCTCTCTTCTTCGCAGCTCCCCATCTACTCCCTGTCGTTAAAGCAGTTTCAGAACAGTGGCTGAGATAGATTACAAAGGGTGAGGACTGCAGTGTGCTTCTTTCTGGAAATGCCTTCTGGAGATGGAAAGAGGTGACCTTCAATCCAGCTCCCTACAGAAAACTGCCTGCTCTGCTGTGAGGCAGTTAGACTCAAAGTCCTTGGCTAAGAGCTTCCAGGGAGCCAAGCAGATGGCAGCTCCGTCAACTGCAGCTGCAAACAGCTTCATCTTCGGTTTATTTCCAGGAACCAGAGGAGCTCGGGGATGGCTAACAGCTGTCTACCTGTAGGGACTCAAATGATCTCTGGGCCATCAAACCATCATATACTAAATAGTGACTTAGCAATTTATCCAAATGCTTCCTGGTGGCCTGAAAGAGCTATCCAAAACTTCCTTGATATTCCCAAAGAGGGACTTTCGCTGGTTCAAAATAGAGTAAATATACTCTTTATTGAAGATCTTTCACAAATGAAAAGATTCTACAAACCATGACTGTTGGTTGTTCTCTCTGAAAAGAAATGTAATTATCTTATTTGGAGGTTTCTTTTTATAACAACTTCCCAGGGAAATATTTTTCCTTCTTTGCTGAAATCTATAGCATAATCCATGGTCTTTAGAATAAGGAATGTTAACCACCAGCTAGAGTCACTGCCAAACCCAAGTCCTGCCAGGCTACTGCAATACCGTGGAATTGCTATGAATATTTGAAAGCATACAACTGGTTACGGGAAGTAGTACCTGGCTTGACATGATTTCATGTGAGTTAGAATGCAGTGTTAATTTATTAAGTAACAAACATAGAAGCAAATTCACCCTCAAACCCACTCTTGAGAAGGCATTTTATCAGGAGTTGGATTGAAAGTCACTTCTCTCCATCCCCAGAAGGTGCTTCCAAAAATGAAGCACATGGCTGGCCCTGACCCTTGGCGATCTATCTGAGCCAGTGGCCTGAAACTGCTCCAAGGATGAGAGTGGGAGTGTTAGAGAATTCGGGAGATCTTTCCCCAGGGGTATTTACTCTTGTACTCTTACAATCAGCAATGGGAGTCAATGTCTTTGTCATTATTTATTGAAATACATTTATATTGAGTGCTACCAGGATGCAAGGCACATAGTATGCACTCGTCTCTGCCATATATTTCTGTATACAAACCACCCTAACACTTAGACAATTGCTTAAGACGATGATGGTTTAACACTCCTCATCATTCCATGGGTTGGCAGGTCTTAGCTGGGTGGTCCTTTTGCTCCAGGTGGTGTCACTTTGAATTCAGTTAGGAGATCAGCTAAGATTAGAAGGCCTGAGATGGCTTCATTCATATGTCTGGCACCTCATCTGGGGTGACTGAAACGCTGGGAATGGCTGGGTTGCTCTGTGTCTCTCCCTCTCTCTCTTTCTCTCTCCAACAGGGTCATTATGGTTCTTGCACTGTAGCCCAGGGCTCCAAGGGCCTTTGTTCCAAGAGCAAAGAAGGATGTGTCAAGCCCCCAAACTGGCACAGTGGTTAAAGCATGTGAAAAGTTCAGTCTGAATTAAAATGGAGGAGAAACAGACTCTTCCTCTTACTAGGAGAAGAGGCATGGTAGGAATTGTTGGTGATTGTCTTTAGAGTCAATCTACAAAGTTTTACATACTACTTAAAATAAACAAAAGTCACTTTGTTTCCATATATGCTTCAATGTCTCAAATGGAGGAAATGCCAGATTTTTTCAGGGTACAAACCATGCCCTTGCACATTTTTCATTACTGAAAAAAAAATGAACACTTCCAGACTTGCTCCTGGGTAGTACTTGTTGGTTACTTGTTGGTGAGAAAGACACGAGATGAGCTCAGTGGTGTGGCATGCTGGGAAGACCAGAAAGTAGACAAGCCAGATCTACATAAGGACCTGCTGCTCAGGCCCTGGGTGGACTGGAGGGGGATTATCCTAGCTACAGTGGTTTCTGGAAAGGGCAACTTTGCAATCTTTGTGGACTCACTTTCAATGTCATGAATAATTCTGGCCATTATCAATAACTAGGGACCCAACTGACAGATAGGACTCGGGAGGGGGAAACTCAGGCCAGGGTACAATTCTAAAGGCAGATGAGCATAGCAGACGTTGTTGTAAAGTCTCTCCATCAGGCATAGTTCTTGCTAGTGGTCAAGGTGGAGGTGTCAGGATGGATTGTTGGTGAAGGAGAGGGGATAGGAGCCATAGCTGGGTGGCAGGGCCCCGGTTATGAGTTTCTGGCATTTTCCAAGAATTGGAAGACACTGGAGTTAAGCCACATCCCAAATGAGTAAGAAATCATGGAAACACCCAGTTCGATAGAAGGTATTCAGGCACTAGAGATTCTCCTTGTCCTAGATTCTGATTGAGTCTTTCAGAAATTGTGTGTGAATGTTCATGCTGTGTGTGTGTGTGTGTGTGTGTGTGTAGGTGGTTGGAGGGATGGTGTGGCGTGCTGGCATGCAAGTGCTCAGAGCTCATGGTTGGACATGTGAGCCCAAGGAAGCAAGAGGGTGGGGACAGAGGTGGCTCCAGAGCCTGGTGCATCTGGTCACATCCTATCACCTCTACTTAGAGAGGAAGTTAATCCCCAAAGTCTCAGATCATCGTCAATAAAAGGCAGACAGCCATAATAATAGTTTCTTAAGGGACTGTTTGGAGGAGGAAGGAGCTCAAGATTTATGTAGCACTTAATGTTTTGCTTGGCCACATACTGACTCTCAACAGCATTAGTTTCTTTCTTTCCATTCCTCCCTCCACCAACCCACCATTATCTGTGACTTTATCATGAGCTGAATGATGGGCCTTAGTTCAAATCCCTTCTGTTCCTATAAATATTAGCTAAGGAGCCAATGGGAACTCTTAGGACACATGTGGCTCTGGAGAGCTGCTCCAGACGGCTGGAAAGATAATGAGGGAAAGTGGGTCAGATTGCTGCTCTACAGAAGAGTAAACTTCTAGAGGCAAGGGGGTATGTGGTTTCAAGATTTATATTTCACTATCAGAAACTAGGAAGTAAAATCTCTTTACTCTTCCTTGTGTCAAAATCTTTTTTTTTTTTTTTTTTTTGAGACAGAATTTCAGTCTGTTGCCCAGGCTGGAGTGCAGTGGTGCCATCTCAGCTCACTGCAATCTCTACCTCCAGAGTTCAAGCGATTCTCCTTCCTCAGCCTTCCAAGTAGCTGAAATTACAGGTGCCTACCATCATGCCCAGCTAATTTTCATATTTTTAGTAAAGATGGGGTTTCACCATGTTGGCCAGGCTGGTCTTAAACTCCTGACCTCAAGCGATCCACCACCCTCAGCCTCCCAAACTGCTGGGATTATAGGCGTGAGTCATTGAGCCTGGCCCTTGTGTCAAAATCTTAAAGAAGTTTTAACTAATTCTTGTTTTCCAAACTAAGTAAAAACTATAATGTCACTAAGTGTTAAATTTGAACCTTGCCCCACTTTGATAATTCTTGACAGGTTTTACAAGAAAACATTTCACTTTAAGCACAATTTGTGTTTCAGAACACTTGCTTGCTGCTGGAAGATCATGGTGTTTCTGGCAGCTTTTCTTCGACCTCAATATAATTATTGTATCTTGCTAAACTCACCAGCTTCCAAAATCACTAGCTTCTTGCATATTTACCTTTGAAATCTCTATCAACCATCTCTTTGGTGACACTTGTTTTCAGCTGTCTTCTTAAAGAATGGGTCCTCAAGCATCTAAACCACAAGGCTGATTTTATCAGATCATTCTGAGAATTGAAATATCCCAACTCAACAATATAATTGTGTAGATATGGTGTTATACTTGATCTTAAATATGTAAAGAATTCAACTTGTTGTGTGTCATAGCTTTGAACTTGGGCTTCTAATAGAATAGGAATTCCACAGAATTCCTAGAAAAGAGCTCATGCACAAACAAAACAAGGAACCAGACATCCCTTTCCCCAGATTTGTGTGGAAAAAAGTATAGAGTGCTAGCACAGAGTGTGTTTCATGCCAAAGCTTTGTAATATGCCTTTTACTCAGTAAACCCTAATCATTCTGCACTTCACTTATGTAACCTCAACTATTTATGGGGGCTGAGAGGGAAAATATGATTAACTCCAAGTGGACAATTCTGGCTTCAAACCTCCAAATGATTCCTGTGTACTCAGTATTTACTCCCCTTAAAAAAGAACTGTTTCTATGGAGAACACACGTAGGTACAGAGAAGTCTCCATCACCCTGGGTGGGGTGGCTCATGCCTATCTGTAATCTTAGCACTTTGGGAAGCCAAGGTGGGCAGATCATGAGGTCAAGAGATCGAGACCATCCTGGCCAACATGGTGAAACCCCATTTCTACTAAAAATACAAAAATTAGCTGGATGTGGTGGCCCACGCCTGTAGTCCCAGCTACTTGGGAGGCTGAGGCAGGAGAATCGCTTGAACCTGGGAGGCAGAGGTTGCAGTGAGCTGAGATTGCTCCACTGCACTCCAGCCTGGTGACTTAGCAAGACTCCATCTTAAAAGAAAAAAAAAATCCATCAATAACTTCACACCAACAAACGTCATATTTAAAACAAAAGAAGCCCATGACATAATTAACTAGTTAGATTTTATCTAAGGACTGAATGTCCATAATAGAGTGGGAAAGCACACTTGTTAAAGTATAGTGTTCAGATGTGTTTTAGTTCAGCATGAGCTCCTCAAACTAATGTTCACAGGAAAAGTTTCTTCGGTGTTGTTACATGTTGTTTCATGTTGTTTGCATAGCATTTAAGCAAAGCAGAATATGCAGTAATAATCATCTGGTGACTCTTACTGCAAGTTAAGGAATAACTACATGAGTAGCAGTGGTCTTCAGATCCCCCCATTACAATTGCCCTCCCATTGCATTCCAGTAGATAATATTACTTATGAACACTTCTTATTTATTTAAATATAAAATCTTCACAGCTTGGGAGTGGGGGTACAAACAAGATATAGATTTTGAGAAAGCAAATTTGAGATACAGGCAATACAGATTCTCCTCTCTAATGAAGGCTTTGCCCTGCTTTTTGATTATTGTAGAAACAGCTCATTCATTCTTAAATGTCAAGGTTGTCTAGGCTGCTGTGTGAGTTGTTGTAAATAATACTAGTGACCACAAGAGACCACTTCCTACATTTCAGTGGCTTCACCCAATTGAGGCTTAATCTTTGCTTACACAAAGTCCAATGTGAATGGGTCATGTGGGCTTGCCTCCATTGTGTCGTGACACTGTCCAGAGCACATGGCCTCCAAGGTTGTCACAAGAGGGAAATGAGCTTGGAGGAGATAGTCTCTGCACAATGCTGAAGGGTACACTTCTTCTGTCTCACAGTGTACCCACCAGAACTGGTTCCATGGTCCTCACTTAACTACAAGGGAGGCTGGGAAGGATAGTACAGCAGGTGGGATACTGGTGACGCTATGTCTATGCTATGCTTAGTGTCTCTTGGTTCTAATTTTCTGGTATAGAAGTAAAAGCATTGAGTACCCAGGCATTGGCTGAGGCCAGCTAGGGTGGTGGCCAAAGGAAAAGGAAGGAGGTGGATAGACAGATTAGGTGGCAGAAACTTAAAGCAAAATAAGCAAAGTACCCGTTCCTGTAAGCCAAAGGTAAAGAGGGCAAGAAGATGTGTAGAAGCCTGGGTTTGTGGACACCATTTTCCTATTTATAAGGTAAAATACACTTTAGTTTTGCTTCATGGCTGCTTCTTGGCTGTCTGGTGGTGTAAAGTATAAGACTTTTCATGCTACCTCTCATCTGGACTCAGTTCCTGGGTCTGCGATTGCCACATGTGCTTGTTGGCTTTGGTGTGGGATAATTACCTTAAACTGACATGATTAGAACAGAACTTAGAATTTCACTCTGCAAAGTGGCTCTCCCTCATCTGTCTGTCTTGGTTGTTAGGGACACCAAGTCCTACATGTCTAGGCTTAAAACTTGGACTGCTCTTTAACTAATTCCCCAATTTTCCTTCTCAGTAAGTTATTCTCTGGTCCTATTTTTGTTCTCAGTTTATTTGGTTGTGAGGTTTGTTTGTTTGTCTTTCATGGAGCATGTCCGGGATTTGTTCCTTTTCTCTACTCTTTCTTCCATCATCCTAGACCAGGCCCTCATCATCTTAGTTATAGATGACTCCAGTAACCTTCCAGAGCTCAGTTCCAATCTGTCCTGTTCACCATTGCCAAATTAACCTTCATTCAGCAACTAAATTCATAACATTACGCTAACATTTGAAAGCCTTCAATACTCTCTGTTTTCTTCCGCATTAAATCTACATGGAAACCCTGTGATTATTTTTTGCCATATCCTAAACAGTAAACTAAATTCCTTACTTTTCCTAGCTGGTACAATGCATACAACTTAAACTATATTCCTTAATGTATTCATCTTTGTATATCTCATAGCAATTAGCAGTGTGCCTGGCATATAGTGAGGCCTTAATAAATATATTTTGAGTAAACGAAGAGTAGATTTTCAATAGATATTTGCTTAAAGAGGACCTGGGATTAAATGTTGATGGAACCAATATCCTGAAATACAGAATGTTTCAACATCCTTTTATGTTTGAACAATGCTGACTGAAAATCAATATGATAAAGACCTATTGAAACTTATTTAATGTAATACTTCGAAGTAGTTTCTCTTCACCGTGAATTTTTAATCATTCCTATAGCAGTCTGTGTGAAATTATTGACGATTTTTATACACACACATCTATTCTATCATACAAAATTCATGTTTTAAATAAATCACCACATGACTATTTTTTTCACATGATTATTCCCTTTCCTCGTCCAAATAAAGTAACTGCAGCACATTTATTCCCTGCAAATTTTGGAACACATCAGGAAAGAATCTCCTTTTCTACCTTTCCTGTCTCCCCTCGGATCCTCCTTCCCCCACCTCATCCTAGTCACTGATTTATTGACTCATTCCATTTGCAGTCATTATCTTTTTTTTTTTTTTTTTTTTTTGATGGAGTCTCTCTCTGTCACCAGGCTGGAGTGCAGTGGCGTGATCTCAGCTCACTGCAACCTCCGCCTCCCGGGTTCAAGTGATTCTCCTGCCTCAGCCTCCCAAGTAGCTGAGATTACAGGCACACACCACCACACCCAGGTAATTTTTGTATTTTTAGTAGAGATGGGGTTTCATCATGTTGGTGAGGATGGTCTCGATCTCTTGACCTCTTGATCCACCTGCCTCAGCCTCCCAAAGTGCTGGGATTACGGGCGTGAGCCATTGCACCCGGCCATCTTCTTTCTAAATAAGAACTCAATTTACCCACCAACTCTGCTCTCTGCTTTCTCTGCTATAGCCACTGCCATCTTTCACTCCCTTGTATAAAATAAATCAAAGGAAACAGAAAACTCTGGGACAGCATGATGTATGTGAGATACACATTTGATAAACACAAAAGTATATAAGTCCATGGTTAGAAAAATCACAAGAATTTCACTTTGCATATTCAACAAATCAATATCAGCAAGGTCAATATAAGAAGGACCCTCCCTAAAAGAAAATTACAGTTTACTGAGGAAATGAGAACAATGTAATTGACTGGCGGAGTGGGGAGGGTGTGGAGAGTCCTCTGCAGTTATAGCAAATAAACAACAAGTACAATGACGCCTAAGTAGCTTTCCACACTGGGAGGGCCCTGAGCCCTGGGACTGGAGGCAGCCTTCCTCTGGGTGAATCTCAGTGCACTTCAGATTAGCTGTGTGGCCTTGGGCAAGTTATTTATCTATGTCTCACTTTCCTCATTGAAAACATGGAGATAATGAAAGCAGTTTGGAGTTTTCTTAAAGAACTTAAAACAGACCTATGATTCAACCCAGCATCCTATTACTCAGAATATACACTAAGGGATATAAGTTATTCTCTCATAAAGACACATGCAAGCGTATGTTCATCACAGAACTAAATGCTCATCAATGATAGACTGGATAAAGAAAATGTGGTGCATATACACCAAGGAATACTATGCAGCCATAAGAAAGAATGAGATTAGGCCAGGCGCAGTGGCCCACACCTGTAATCCCAGCACTTTGGGAGGCTGAGGCGGGTGGATCACAAGGTCAGGAGTTGGAGACCAGCCTGGCCAATAAGGTGAAACCCCGCCTCTACTAAAAATACAAAAAAGGTAGCCAGGCATGGTGGCACATGCCTGTAATCCCAGATACTCGGGAGGCTGAGGGAGGAGAATCATTTGAACCCGGGAGGTGGAGGTTGCAGTGAGCTGAGATTGTGCCATTGCATCCAGCCTGGGCAACAGAGCAATACTCCATTGTGAGAAAAAAAAAAAAAAAAGGACGAGATTATGTCTTTCGCAGCAACATGGATGCAGCTGGAGGCCACTACCCTAAGCAAATTAATGCAGGAACAGAAAACAAAATACTGCTTATTCTCACTTGTAAGTGGGAGCTAAAATTGAGAACGCATGGACACAAAAATAAGAACAACAGACACCGGGGCCTACTTGAGGGTGGAGGGTGGGAGGAGGGCGAGGACTGAAAAACTACCTATCCAGTATTTTGCTTATTACCTGGGTGATGAAATAATCTGCACACCAAACCCCAGAGACACGCAATTTATCCATGTAACAAACCTATGCGTGCATTTCCTGAACTTAAAATACAAGTTGGAAATAAAATAATATAAAACAACTACAGAAAAAAAAATGAAAATTTAAAAAAAGTTGAGTTAACAGTTGCTGCCTTAATTGTGAATATTGGAATTTGAATCTAGCTCTTCACAAAAAGTACTCAGCACAGTGCCTAACACATGCATTAAGATGGCCCTTAATATCATCTTATTGATTAGTTTTATATTATTGAAGCATTGAAAATGTAAATGGAAACTTTGGTTAATATTATGACATTTAAAATTCAGGGAGTGCCCATAGCAAATTACTTTTCTTAAATACCAGAGTATTAGACAATATTCTAGCCTTTGAGTTCATGGGCTTAAAATTTAGAACAGTCAATAAACGAGCATGGTCAAAAGCTATGACTATATAGGAGTGAAAAATGTTATTAACATGGAGCAGTATGTTCCAAAAAACTAGTCGTGATGGATTAAAAAAATACTCTATTTTAAAATAAATGTGGGGAAAGACTACAGATTTTTCTGTCCCTCTTAGAACCTTACAATACTTTTTAGAATGTTATCAGCTCTGATAAGTCTCTACAGGGACTTTTTAACACAGGGTTTCTTAAAGTATTTAACTGTTTTAAATACAGAGTTTTAACACAGGGTTTTAACACAGGGTTTCTTAAAGTATTTCATCATGAAGACTTTTGAGAATGGGGCTATTCATTTTGTTCACAGATATATCCCAAACACTAACATATAGTAGGTGCTCAATAAATGCTGTTGAATGTATTCAAGAGGCATATACTGAGAGACTGCTTAGGAAATGGAAGTATGTTTGTGCTGACTTTGAGTTTCTCTAGAAATCAAAGCTTTATAAATGGAACTAAATTCCTCCCCAAGACTCATGCTCATAAGATGTTTAGAGGAACATATTTAAAGTCAATAGGAAACATTCTCTGACTCAGAGTAGGATTGGGGGTGCTTTGGTTTCAAGGAGCTGACTGTCTTTCTAGTTAGCAGGAAAGTTCTAAGATATGCCTATAAGAAAAATCCCAAGTCTCTCATGGCATTTTGCTGGCCAGAGATGGGTGTAATCTGAGGAAGTCCTGAGGAATCAAAATAGAATAGTGATGGCAGCCCCAACTAACCAATTCATTTTTTCTTGCAATGGCGACTAGATCAAGAGCTTTCTTGAAAACCTGGTCTAGATGGGACCATGAGGAAGAAGAATCCCTCCAAAGACAATAAATAATTGCCATCCTCAAAGGCTTTGGGGCTCCAGCAGCAAATTTTGGCTTATGCACAATCATATTCGTAACAGCAACAGCAAAATCCTTGCTCATAAAATTACCTTGGCTGCTACACTGTGTAAAATGTGAAAAGGAAACAAGTCATTTTCCTGATACATGAGCTCACTGCTTATCTGAAATCAGTTACACACTGCAAAAAACCCTCTTTAACCTCCTGCCTAGGTCTCCCATTAGTACACAATGTAATTTCACAGCTAGTGCTTGGGGAACTTTCTGGAAGCATTTTAGGCTGAAATAGTGAGGTGGGGGTGGCATGGGTCTGGTTAATTTCAGAATATTGAAGTGTTGGAATTACAATGTGATGACAGGATTCATCAGAAGGATTTATTTCTTTGGGCCTGTGGCCTAATGAATTGGAAAATATTTTCCTATGTCTTCTCCTTCAGCTCTAAATTAAAGTGACACATTTTATTAAAAAATGTCATTTTTACATATTAATGTATGAATTATGGTATGGCACATATGACAATAATGTCATCTGGGTGAAACATTCTAGTGATCTCTTGCGTTGATTTTCAGCTCACTTAGAAGTGAGAACATAGAATGAAAAAGTATCTATGGAAAGCTTTATTATGTGTGTATGTTATCCAAATACACTGTGTAAATGTGTAGGGATTTTATGTGACGGCTCATATATACATCTGCCTAGGCTGTGTGCTTGGGGATATAATTGCATGAACTCACATTGCTCTATAGGGCAAAGAAAGAAGAGGAGTAAAATGAAATCTGGTCCATTTTCATTTCAGGGTCATAGCAATAAAATCATCCAAAATGGCACAGTTAATGGAAATTGCTGGGCAACTTACTGAGGATATCTGAATTACCTCCGATTTTGTGCAGGTCTAACCAAAGGATGGTGCTGAAAATAACTTCTAGTTTCCATTCTCAGATCCACTTGGGAATTCTGCTACAGGTCACTCTCGGCATGCCATGTCAGAATGACATTGCTACAGTGCTAAGTGCCTACACACACTTGCAATGAAAATATCTTGTCAAAAGCATGAGTCACTCTCCTTGGATAAACAAAGTTGGAAATACTGAGGCAAATATGAACTGGAAGTTACCTGATGGTGATAAACAGATCCTCCTAGGATGAAAAATGCAGAGATTGAAAGGTAGAAAGTAAGACATTAGAAGAGGCACCCCTTCATGGAGACAAATACTGAATTATATCTATGTCTACATGTACAACTCTATTTGAGCTAACTCTGTATCTATGTCTATATCTATGTATCTATGTATCTATGTCCATTTTGCTAGATTTTACTGTTTCTGACATTAACAATTTGGAAATTTGACAGACATTAAGAATATGACTTATAAAAAGAAGATAATTCAATTATCTTTAATGAAACTATTAAGATTAGATTTTGTTAGTATCAATTTTTTTAATAACTTACCAAGTATCAGTAATCCCCTAAACAATGGTACTTAAACAGTGGTTTAGGTCATTTAACTTTAATATGTTTCAATAGTCTAATTAATGCTTGTATACCTAGTGGCCCAGATTTTTGAATTAACTTAAATTTCATTTTAGGCAAGGTGCAGTGGCTCACACCTGTAATCCCAGCACTTTGGGAGGCCAAGGTGGGCTGATCACCTGAGGTCAGGAGTTCAAGACCAGCCTGGCCAATGTGGTGAAACCCCATCCTTACTAAAAATACAAAAATTAGCCAGGTGGGGTTGTGGGCACCTGTAATCCCAGCTACTTGGGAGGCTGAGGGAAGAGAATCGCTTGAACCCAGGGGGCGGAGGTTGCAGTGAGCCGATATGGAGCCACTGCACTCCAGCCTGGGTGACAGAATGAGACTCTGTCTTAAAAAAATAATAATAATTTTAGTTTTACCTTCTTCAAGCATCATAAATGCTTTTGTGAATGACCTCATTCACTAGATCGGCTTCAACTGCTATATTTTTGCCCATTTGGGCTGCTATAACCAAACACCGTAAACTAGGTAGCTATAAACAAACAAAAAATTGTTTCTCACAGTTTTGGAAGCCAGGAAGTTTAAGATCAAGGTGCTAGTAGATCTAGTGTCTGGTGAGGGCCTGTTTTCTGGTTCACAGACTGCATTTTCTAGTTGTTTCTTCCCATGGCACAAAGGGGCAAATGAGCTCCCAGCAGGTCTCTTTTCTAAGGGCACTAATCCAATTCATGTGGGTGGAGAAAGAATGGAATGAGTGCCCTTAAAAAGAGGCCCATTAGTGAATGGAACCAATCTCACTCACCTCCCAAAGGTCCTGCCTCCTAATATCATTGACGGAGGTTATGATTTCGACATACGAAGTTTTAGGGAACACAAGCATTCAGACCATAGCTGCACACACCAGTGAGCCCTGTTTATATATCTGTAACTTCTTTCTATCCCTGGATCCTCTGTTTATTGCACATATCTACTGGACGAGGGTGTTTATCATCTGAAGCTCAAGAAACCCAATAAAACTCTCTCCACTTTGTCATTTTTGGCTTTCCCCAATTCTACTGTTCTCATAGTATTTACGCAGCTAAGGGCATCATATCTTCATAGCTGTCAAATTTAAAATCCCTCCTTCAGTCCTCATATCCAATAGCTCATGAAGACCTTTAAGTCTGCCTCCTGAAACTATCAAATATACTCCCTCCTCTCCACCCCCCACTGACTTAGTTCAGCAATATTTTCTTTTCTCTATGATATTACAACAGCCTCTTTGTCTTCCTATGTCTATTTGCTATTATGTTAGTTTGTACTTCCTTCAAATATTATCCTAAGATAAATCAAATCTTCTCACTTCCTTACTTAAAATCCTTTGGTGGAAATTTGCTGCAAATCATTTGCTATCTCTCCACCACCTTCTTTTCCAGTGCTCCCACCTTCCTCTCCCTCACAAGCACCCTGTGGTCCACCCGCTCTGAAACGCTTGACTCTTTATACTTTGGGGCATTACACATGCAGATTTCTTTCTTGGAATGAATGCCTTTTCCCTTATTCTCTGACTGGCGAATTTCTCCCCCACCCAATTTAAATGCTGTCCTCTCAGTACAGGCTTACTAGGTTCTTCCACATAATCACTCCTTCTTGTGTGTTCCCAATATGTACCCATCATACTGTATCTTCATCCCTAACTGAATGCCGATTGCCTCAAGCCAAAGAGCATATTCCTTTGGGTGAGAGGTATCACTGATGCTGATCCTAGTGCCTGGCACTCTGTAGGTATTTGATAGATGTCTGTGGAGTGAGGAAATGATCTAATGGGTGACCTTTAGCTCCTCTTGATCCTTGAGATGATAAAGGAGGTGATAGAGGATTAGTGTGTAGTAAATATAACAAATTTCACATTAGGAAACAGTCATAGCCAAGTTACTGTCCAAATTGTATTTTGTGTTCTGAAAGATAAATCAATTCCTCCAAGACCCCAAGTCACCATTTTGTGAATTATTAACAAAATACATCATTACCCAGCTCTTGAGTTGAAAGCACCGTGACATGATTTTTAATTCACAGCATATAATTTCCAAGAACTAGTCTAAATTCAATGAACAAATTGTATTTAATATACCAAATTTTGAGTCTATTGGGACTGCAAAACACTTTTAAAATTTGTAATGTGCTTGGGCCCTGTTTATTGCTGAAATGTATGTACTTAATAACAGGTTAAAAGCTCGTATGAATTTAATCTTTATAAAAATTACAGAAATCCTTAGAAAAATATTGCAAAGCTATTTGTGTCACTACTTTTAATATATTTTCACTTTGTATGAGCACTAAGAGTGTCATAATTTTTTAAAAAACACAAATGAATACCTAAAAGCTGATATAATAGTGAAACAGAAGAATTGCAGAACTCTAACACTAACGTTTATTATTCTCAGTAAACCAGTGACCTAAAAACATGTTAGTATACATTGTTTACTCCGGATACGTTATAGGAAGCACAGCTGTTGAGTGGACTCTACAATGAAATAGCCCTGCCTTTGTCTAGACGGCTATTAACACCAAACAGAACTGAGCAGACCAATAGTTCAGGAGTACAGGGTTTGATCTTTCCCTCAAGTGACTGTGATTTGAATGGCATTGCCGCATGGCTCTTTTGTTAGCCATTAACCATTTAAGGGAGAGCAGCATGACCAGCTAAGGTACATTGGGTAGAGAAGAAAACTTTGAGAGGAGCAGCTCTGAGCTCTGCCAGATAGAAAGGCCATCTGGACATTGGAAATAACATCATTAATTCTTTCTCATTAAGTCACAATAATCTTAGTTAATGGTACTTCCTGGTATTCTAATTGAACCTTCTCTTCTTAGAAAGTGATAATGTTACTTTCTTTCTAAGAAAAAAAAAAAAGATTCTCTTCATTTTCTTCAAACGATGATCTGTTTTTTTAAAAAAGCCCAAAATCTCTTTTTTCTATTTTGGCTACTTTTTATGTTTTTATTCTTTCTCAGTCTCATCTTTAACGTTTCATGACTTTGAAGTCTTCTTCTCAGCCCCAGACCTGCTTGGGGACCCTGGAGCTTCCATTCTGAAGTATCCTTCATGAATATATCTGTGCCTGTCATATCTGCCCCTTTTACCTTCTTGCTTCTGCTTCTAGAGCCTTTACTGGAATTCTAGAAACTTCCTGGGAGTTAGCTCAAACTAGATTTCTCTTTAATTCATTTCCTCCTCCTTACTGCCATTTTATATTAACATTATTTCTCAAGATCTTGTTTCTAGTGCCTGAGAACAATTTTTTATCCTCTCTCCTCATCTCTGCTGTCTTTCACACAATTAACTAATACTCACTCTTCTGTCCTCTTTGCCCTGAAGACTCCAGGGAAATCACTTTCCTTCAACAACAGCAGGAGTCATCAGGATTCTACCTGGAACAGCTTAGTTTGCTGAGAATACACCACATGCACTATCCAGGCAGCCTCTGTTTTCATGCATAGATACACTGTTCCTCCTTCTCTATCCCTCCCTTCCTCAGGTGAAAACATTCACGTTTATGCATGTCCCAACTATAAGGACAGGCTTTGATGAATACATTCACCTGTTGATTTAAAATAAATGATGGTTTTGTGGTTACTTCTTACAGAGATATTTTCTTTTCTATAAGAAACATTTCTTTTTTTATTTAAAAATACAAACAGGCTAGGTGCAGTGGCTCCCAGCACTTTGGGAGGCTGAGGTGGGAAGATTAGTAGAGCCAAGAAATTCAAAACCAGCCTATGCAACATAGGAAGACCCCATCTCTGCAAAAAACTAAAAAATTAGCCAGATGTAGTGGTTCATGCTTGTGGTCCCAGCTACTTGACAGGCTGAGATGGGAGTTTGAGGCTGTAGTAAGCTGTGATCATACCGCTGCATTCCAACCTGGGCAACAGAGCAAGATCCTGCCTCAAAAAAAAAATAGTAAAAATAAAAACACAAACAGCAGCCAGGTAACATTTACTGAGCCTTTAACATGTGCTAGGTTACTTGCTAGGTACTTTACCTGGTGCTATTTATTCTTTATAATAACTCTCTGATACAGGTGTTGTCTTAGTCAGTTTAGGCTGTTATAACAAAAACATCATGGGTTGGGTGGCGTAAACAAGAAACTGATTTCTCTTGGTTCTGGAGCCTGTGAAGTCCAAGATGGAGGCACCAGCAGATCTGGTGTCTGGTGAGAGCCATCCTCCTGGTTTACAAGGCTGTCTTCTTGTTGTACCCTCATATGGTGGAGGGAGAGAGAGGAAGCAAGCTCTCCTGTCTCTTTTTAAGTGCACTAATCTCTTTCATGAAAGCTGCACCTCATGACCTAATCACCCCCCAAAGGCCCCGCCTTCTAACACCATCACACTGGGGATTAGGCTTTAACTTGTAAATCTCAGAGTGATACAAACATTGAAACCATAGCAAGTTATTTTTTTCCTGTTATAGAGTGGGTGAAGTGAGACTGAAAGAGTTTAAATGACTTGTAGAAGTCTATACACCTACAAAGTGACCAGGCTAAGATTTCAGTCCCATTCTGTCTGACCCCAAAACATGTATTTTAATTCATTTTCATCACTGACATCCTCTGGTTGAGAGAGAGTTACCCAGTGCTACTCTTCAGCTTATAACACTAAAGCCAGTCTATGAAGATGGCCAAACATGGATTTGTTTTAAGTTCTCAAAATAAGTTAAGTTTATTTTTGTAAGTTCTATATATAACTAAGATTTCTTCTCATTCACAATGTCAAATATTGGTTGTACATTGTGCAGCAGACCATATGAATCACTTCCTATTTTCCCCCTTGGTGATGGAGAGATTCTCATCCCAGAGTTATGAGGATGGCCAAACAACGACACCTGGCATTGGACAGACAAGATAAGCAGCAGTTTATTAGTCACATGTACCTACTGCCCAGAGGAGGAGCACACTGCACGCCATGCAGGGCCACACAGAGGTTGCACTTGGGAACAGAACAAGCAACCAGGTGATAGGGGAGGCAGACTTTGTGATGTCAAGAGAGTGAGGTGCCCCTTGGTTCTTGTGGGAGGATGTGATTGGCTTGTTTGAATAATTCTGTGGTCTAGAAGGGATTGAATCCCACTATTCATGGTAAAGCAGAAGCTGTGCCTGGTCTCCTTGCTAAGAAACATTTGGCTACAGGACCTTATCCATCCACAAGAGCAGAGTAGGGAGGGAAACTTGTGGTTAGGCTGGGTAAGGCCTTCCTGTTTTCACCACATGTTAAGACAGCACATCATATTGGGCCTGAATTTTTTTTCCTTAGGCCACACCACACACTGTTACCCAGCTCTGAATTTTACTTTTATTCAACTCACTTGAAGAATTGGGGCTCTGGAATATGTACCTGAAAACTCTTAAGCACTAACCAAGCAGCAAGATATGAGAAAAGAAAAGAGTCCAGGAATAGGGTTCTACTCTTAGTTTTGCAACTAAACAGCTCTGTGACTTCAGTGACTTCATCTAGTATCTTCTGGTGTTCTCCTTTTTTAAAGGACTACAATATTACTAAGTGGAAAATAGTTTCAGCTGAGTAAGGACAGTCCCCAGAAAGGAGGGAGGGAGTAAATGGCTTTCTGTGAGAGCTTCTTCCCTATCTGCATTTCCTCCTATGATCTGAATGTTCACATCCCTCCAAAAACGTGTATGTTAAATCCTAATCACTAAGGTGATGGATTAGAAGGTGGGGACTTTGAGAGGTGATCAGGTCATGAGGTAGACCTTTCACAAATGGGATTAGTGTCCTTATTGAAGAGGTTCTAGATTGCTGTCTTGCCGTTTTCACCATGTGAGGACACAGCTAGAATGCACCATCTGTGAGGAAGCAGACCCTTGTCAGACATGGCTGGCACCTTGATCTTGAACTTCCCAGCCTTCAGAACTGTGAGAAATACACTTCGGAGAAGCTTGAACAGACTAAGACATTCCATAATGCAGAATTTCCCAAAGTATGCTCCGTGGCATCCTGTTCATTCTGGATGCTGTCTAGACAAAAAGCTCTGGGATGAAATAAGTCTGGGAAACAATGCATTCTTTGCCTTTTCCTGCAGATTTACAGTTCTAAGTAATCTACAGAAAAGTTCTAAGAAACCAGACCATACTGAAACTGGATGGTTTAACCAGAGATCCCCCCACATTTTTGCGCATGAATCTTTTTGATTGAATTTTGTTTTTGTGGAACCTTTGCTTATATCGATGGGAATGGTGTTCTGTAAAAAAAAAAAAAAAAAACAGAAAAAAACACCTTTTGGAGATGGAGGTGAGTGGCATTGGTTGGGTAGGGGTAAGTGCCAAAAAAGAGTAGGCAGGTAACCGGCAATCTCTGCTGTGCCACACATTCTCCCCCAACGGTCAGACACAACATGTGCTCCTTTTATCCTTCCACAGTATGCAGAATGACCCATTATCAAACCCAAGGTCCAGTCTTGAGCCATGCACATGGCTATCACTGGTTTATGGAAATGGCTGGACGCAATAATGTAAAATCCAGAAATGGCTTTATTTTCTTCCCATCACTGCCTTCAAATTCCTCTTGTCAGTGTTCATTCTGTATCGATTTGGCAACATGGTTAGAAGAGGCTGCCACTTTTCAGTTCCTTTCAGGTTTTATAAAATCTAATACAAACTAAATTTTTATAAATTCATCTTACATTCAGTTAAAAACTTCATCCCTCTCCATTATTAAAGCCTGACTTGAATTCTCTTTACTAGCAATAGGGGGGCAAGGGGGTGGGGAGACACAATCTGGCTTTCCTAACTTCACTCATATCCCACCACTACTCTCCCCTGGCTCTTCTGAGAGGAAGGTAAGTGGTTATAACAAAAGAAGCACAGGACTTAGTACTTAGCTGGTGCTATTCAGATCCCTCACTGGGCTTTTCAATGCCCATTGTATTGACGGCGTCTTCTTTCAGAATTGCTTTTTGGTGGGTTCCTCTGAGCCCCTGCCCCACACAGACGCAGCTGCCAGTGACTTCTGAAGTCATGCCCTCTTCAGGACATCCCTGTTTTTAGACCCTGTGTTGCTGCAGAGAGGCTTCTCGAGCATTTCTCAACATGACTTGAGTCTGCACCCACTCCCTCCAGGGGCAGCCCCACACCTCCTCTCCCTGCAAACTCTGAAGTGGAGGGTGTCCCTGCTGCTCTCCACAGCTCCTGGGAGCTGCTTAGCCTGCCTCTGACTCTCAGGCTTCTGTAAAGGAGAGGACGAGTCCAGTCTCCATCCACACATCTGCCCTAGCCCCTCGGGGCATCAGTCATGTCTCTCACTCTGCTTTGGCTGAAGACCTGTGGACATCTGTGCTCCTCAAACATCCAACTGCTAGGAGATACGCATCTTCCCTCTCACAGACCACCCAATGTCTGACAGTGTACCTCCCGGAGCCCACTTCTTGGATTAAAGCCTGTGGGAAACGACAGGAGAGGGAAAATGCCACAGGGCTCTGCTTTTTTCTGGATGCCCTTCAAAGAAATGGCTTCTCCTCCTTTCTATGCAAACCCTATTGCTCTCTTTTTATAGACTATTAGGAGTGATTTAAGATGGTTTAGAGGCTGCTTAGCAAACTCTAGAGAGTAGGGAGTATCTAATCTAGTGCCTCCCTTTGGAATGCAGTGGTACTTAAAAGCCATCAGGCTAAGCTTGAAGCTTTAGTTAAAATTCCCAGACAAGAGGAAACGTTCCATTTCATAACCTGTTGTGATGTCCAAGAACCAGACAACTCCTGCTTGGCTATCTCTGCACCGCCATTTTGTGTCACTGGCTTCACTAGCTGACTGAAATAGGATCATGCAACATTTGAGGAGCTTGTGTTCACTCTCACAGACCCTTTCATCCTTCCTTCTCCAAATGGCTCAGAGCAGCACTGGAAGAAGATGATCTGTGGTTTCAGGCAGAGAAGAGGTAATTCTGAGCCAGCAATGTAAAAAGCCACTGGCAGAGATTCTTGAGCTGATGGCCACTTAAGAACTTTCTCCACTCATTCTTGCCATGAAAATATCATTGCTATGCAGGTGCCAGGAAAATCTAGGGAGGTCTAATGTTATATCAAGGGTAACAAAAATAATTATTAATGAAACAGTCATAGAATGGGAGAAAGTTACAGGAGACATTTTTATCTTAGGAATTCCAAACGTGGTAGAGTTTTCCAGGAAGATGTGGCCAACACTTGAGGTCAGAGTCACACCTGCCTCCTGAAACACAGCATCATCAGGACCCGGCGTGGGGTTGGGTACAGAGGAGCTCCTCCACAAATATTGCTCAGTGGATAAGTGATTGGTTCCTTGGTATTGTTTAAGAAGAATTGCATTAGGAGATTTTTGTGGTCACACCTGATATCTTTTGTGACAAAAACAATTAGTTGTATAAGGTGTAAATCTTCATTTCCCTTTTTATTATTACCTTATTAAAAAGATTGCTCACATATTTATGCTAACCATGTTTAAAGACCTTAGGAACATAAGAAGGAAAAGCAATTCCCTTCCTCAAAGACCTTCTCCTTTAAAGTGGAGAGAGGCAAACAAAAAACTACATTGAGAAAACATAACTACTAGAAGGAGAGTATATACTGAGTATAGCTGTGCAGGAGGAGGCTTTAAGTCAGGGAGAAAGTATCATTTGAACTGAGATGTACATCCTAAGGTAGCTTTTATAGGTCACAAATTGAGAGGAGGCACAGAAAATGCATAAATTTGAGAAAGCCTAGCACTTCCAATACTGTGGGAGCCTAATGAATAAGAACCACAAAGGTTCCTAGACAAATGTTGACTGCAGCCTTGTCAATCAGTTTTTCTGATGAAAATAATTGTGCATTTTTGGTATTGAAAATCGACTATTGCCAGTTGAGTTTTAGGGTGCAAAAGAAGAAATAATTTATATCATCAATGTTTAAGGAGAAAAACAGTTGTCCCAAGCCTAGGCATCTTGATCAGGTTCTTAGCTGCCCTCTTGGTTCAGAAGCCATACCGTGAATGAAATTCAGTGGAAGAGCTGCAGCCCAGTGTCCAATCCCACCACAAGAGTTGATCAAAGACTCCCTGGCCACCACCCTGCACAGGATCTAACATTAAAATAAAAAGTAGGAAGGACACTACAATTCAGACAAGAGAGAAAATGTTTCTAAGTATCTGGGTTTTAAGCACAATTCCAATCCTTTGAAGTTAGAGTTACGTTTAGCCTTTTACCCTTGGCCAACTTTTTTGGTCCAACAACTGAAATGATAATAAAAGAAGATAGTTTAAAAAGTTTAACAGACAAAAAGTCCAAATAGGTTTCTTGGACTTGAATCTCGTCTTGCAAAACAGCATTTGGATAAATTATTTTTAAATTAATCAAAAACACATAGATTATAATTGTTTTACTTCTATCAAACTACTCATGTATCAAAAATCAAAGGAAAATTTGTTTTATATTTGAGTTTGCTGAGCTCCATATATTTCTGTATGACTTCAAGAGACACATTCCCCTAATCAAAAGTCATGGGCATCTATTGTAAGTGGTCTAAATTCTCAGTGGCCCTTGGGTCATAAGGGATGGTTTTTCTCAACTCTGAGGAGAACCTAGACTCTTCATGTCCATGTTTCAGATGAAAACTGATATGGTTTGGCTCTGTGTCTTCACCCAATCTCACCTTGAATTGTAATAATCCCCATGTGTCATGGGAGGGACCCATTGGGAGGTAATTGAATCATGGGGGTGGGTTTTCCCATGCTATTCTCATGATAGTGAATAAATCTCATGAGATCTGATGGTTTTATAAAGGAGAGCTCCCCTGCACATGCTCTCTTGACAGCTGCCATGTAAGATGTGTCTTGTCTCCCTTTTGCTTTTCACCATGATTGTTAGGCTTTCCCAGCCACGTAGAACTGTGAGTTAATTAAGCCTCTTTCCTTTATAAGTTACCCAGTCTTGGGTATGTCTTTATTAGCAGCATGAGAACAGACTACTACAGACACCACACATAAACTAAGCAAGAAGAAGAAGAAGAAGGTGAAGGAGAAGGAGAAGGAGAAAGAGGAGAAGAAGAAGAGGAAGAAGAAGAAGAAGAAGAAGAAGAAGAAGAAGGAGGAGGAGGAGGAGGAGGAGGAGGAGGAGGAGGAGGAAGAGGAGGAGAAGGAGAAGGAGAAGGAGAAGGAGAAGAAGAAGAAAGAAGAAGAAGAAGCCCCCACCCAGGAACACGGAGTGGCTATTAGGAGCTCTAATCTCCTCCAGTTGGCAAAGCCCTGCCCTCTCATGAGCTAGCTGAAGTTAATGTCTAGAGCAAAGTGGTTTCTCTCAGCCAAAACCAAATCCTGAATAGATAGAAATATTTCCCAAAGCTAAAAGCTGTAATTTTTAACACGGCACTGTTAATTTTTTAAATTCATTTTTTAAAGCCTAGTTAACATGTTGACTGGCCCAAAAAACTAAAGCAGAAAGCTGCTCCCTCCTTACTGATCAGGCTTCACTTAATTTATCTGGTCATGCAGCCCTCCTGATTTTGGTCACCCTTCTATCAGACAGATATTTTCCTGATATATAACATGAAATTATGACATTCCATAACATTCTAAACATCATATCTTAGGTATTGATAGATAATACAAAATAAAATCTCACAGGATACAAATAATCTGTCTACAATGAGAGAGACAACCAAAAAAGATCTACTGTGAAAATGTGACTATAAATTGTAATGATTTGGCATTAGAATTTTTATTTTTTTCACTGTTCTATATAGCTAGAAAAATATAAAAATGAATAATCTCAAGGCCTTTCTGGTGTTTACTGCAGCTTAACAGTCTCCAAAGAATTGGGAAGTAATACAGCAAAAGAGTTTAAGCAAGGGCTCCAGAATCAAACAGGAATGGATTTGAATCTAGGCTGTGTGCTCTTGAGCAGACACAGAACTTCTCTGAATCCCACTCTGCTTGCCTACAAATTGGGTAGAAGCAAGGGAATTACCAAGGGATGGGGCAGTACCGAGGGACTAGCTATGTCCCTCTAGCCTGAAGGAACAATCAGAGGGGCTCCAGTGGGATATGGAGCTATCCAAGAACTCAGGGACTGCCCAAGCCATGGCCAGGCAGGGAAGGAGCAGGAGGAAGAAATACTCCTTCCTCTCTCTCTTCCCACCACCCAGTCCTGCTGATGCTTCCCATTCATCAACCCAACTGGAAAGCCAAAGGGCAAGAGGGTTGGGCTGGTATACTCTGTAGAGGTAATTTCCCTTGGCCCAGCTCAAGACATAGAAGGGTGGAGAATGTATGAGAAGGAGACAAACAGAAATGCTCAGCACAGAGCAATAAAGAAATAGTCCCAAGGTGATAGGGATCCGAAGTTAGAACCAAAGTCTATCTCCAATGCCCATACTTAATTCAACCTCCCTGCCATATTGATACCATATTTTTTTAAAAACTCCATTAATTGTTCTACCTTATATAAAAACTGAACTTTTTTAACTACGAAGAAAGAAAAGTTCAGGTGGAAAAAAAGCCCCATTTACTTTAACACAATTTCTCTCAGCACAGAGAAATGGTACTTCTTAATGATGCATGGGGGACTAACCCTAGCTCAGGGATTATAATTATGAATCTTGGGCAGACACCACTGGAAAATAAACAAATCAAAACCCTATGTCGGGAGAAGTGATGAAGATAGCACACTTCAAGTGAATGTCTCATTGCCAGACCCAGGAATCCTGTTTTTTCTTTCTTTTTTTTTCTTTTTGAGACTGAGTTTTGCTCTTGTCACCCAGTCTGGAGTGCAATGGCACAATCTTGGCTCACTGTAACCTCTGCCTCCCAAGTTCAAGTAATTCTCCCGCCTCAGCCTCCCAAGAAGCTGGGATTACAGGGGCCCACGACCATGAGCAGCTCATTTTTGTATATTTAGTACAGACGGGATTTCGCCACATTAGCCAGGCTGGTCTCGAACTCCCGACCTCAGGCAAACTGCCCGCCTAGGCCTCCCAAAGTGCTGGGATTACAGGCATGAGCCACCGTGCCTGGCCACCAGACCCAAGAATTCTTGACCTACTATCACCAAGCAGATTAACAGTGCTATTTTGCTTTCCCTGTCTGTGCCTGCCTATTATTCCTTTGTCTTCAAGCCTAAACTGCCTCATTCAACTCATTTCAACTATTCAAATTTCTATGGAGTTCAGGGGATGGATGTAAATAAGCCTATAGGGTGAGGTTTTATGTTTATCTGTCTGAGAGTTAGACTGTGTTTATTGTTTGTTGTAGCTGTAGGTGATAGAAAGTAAAATTTTCTTCGTTGTCTTTATTTTGTCTTCCTTGTTGTTTTTCACTTTTTGTCTGGTAAAATTATTGTCTGGTAAAACCCCTGTGGGTTAGTCTCTGGTAAAATAGTTTCTCTTGAGTACAGATCTCTTTAAGTAGAACAGAACACTCTGGGCATATTTCAAAATGGCTATTTTTCCCCTCCCCCTTCTAGAAACACAAGAGGATTTTTCTCTAATTTTTACTGTTGAAATCTCATTGGGCTCTTGGAGGTAAAACTCATAATAGCACGGAGACCCCCTTAAGACTGCTTCCTCACCAAATTTTTGACTCTCACGCTAGTTCATACTTAGGTTCTAGCAGTTTTTTCAATTACAATTTAAGTTTTCCTACTCTTGTACTAACTCTAGTGGCTCCTGGGCTTCTTCTCAGGTAAGCCGTGATTTTCTGTATTCACCTGTCTCTCTCTCAAATGTTGGGAGCAATAGTTTGCCCTGTGACCTCAGCTCTCTGCAGGATCTAAGAAGAGTGGTTGATTTTCAATTTGTTCAGATTTTTGTTGTTGTTGTGAGGATGAAAGTGATGACTTCAGACTCTTTATATGCTGGACAGAAAATTGGAATTCCCCTGTGTGTTTTTCATATATATATTTTTTTTTTTTGCACAAATATTTGTTATAAGTGCCATTATCTTCAGCTCTGAGGGGCAAAAATAGGTCCAAGACCTTTTTTTTCTACTAGGGTTTTAAAATTTATAATACAAATTCACATTTTAAGTCATAAAAACTGTCATTGTGTCAGAGGCATTCAAACCAGAGCAACTGCATCTTGAGTGAGGGCGAGGAAAAATGAGGTTGGAACTTGCTGGGCTGCATTCCCAGAAAGTTAGGTAGTCCTGGCCTCTAGATGTTTACGGTTAAGAAAACAGATTGATGACATTTACTAAACAGACCCAGACTTGGGAGTGGCCTGATATCCCAATACCTTAAGAATAGAAGCATTCTTAATTTTGCTTTAAAGATAATAATATAAATTCTTGCAAAATACAGTACTTAAGAAAATTAATCCTTTATTGCAAACGCTTGTAGCAGAGACATCTCCCCATGATTTTTTTTCTTTTTTTCTTTCTTTTTTTTTTTTTTTTTTGATAGAATCTTACTCTGTCGCCAGGCTGGAGTGCAGTGGCACGATCTTGGCTCACTGCAACCTCCACCTCCTGGGTTCAAGCAATTCTCCTGCCTCAGCCTCCCAAGTAGCTGGAACTACAGGCATATGCCACCACGCCCAGTTAATTTTTGTATTGTTAGTAGAGATGGGATTTCACCATGTTGTCCAGGATGATCTTGATCTCTTGACCTCATAATCCGCCCGCCACGGCTTCCCAAAGTGCTTATCCTATATATAAATAAGTATTGTACCTAGGGTAGATGTGTTCCTTCTCTTACTTTTGGGAACACCCTACTCTGTCTATAGAGTAGCTATTCTTTCACCACTTTACTTTCTTAATAAACTTGCTTTTGCTTTGCACTGTTGTCTTGCCCTGAATTATTTCCTATGCGAGACCCAAGAACCCTCTCTTGGGGTCTGGATCAGGACCCTTTTTGGTAACAACACTCTGGCAAACCCTGAAAAGACAATACTGAAGAAACCCCCCAACCGAAAGGAAATGTACTACAGCACTGATTGGCCCACTTAAGGTAAATGGTAGGGTACCTGGGTAAAGGAGTGGATTGGGTTAGAGGCCCAACTTAGGGGAGTTAGAGTTTCTCCTAAGAGAAGGTTAAAGGCTCCTCTCAATAAAAGGCTAGGATGCTTGACTAACCTTGGTTTGAGGTCCAACTTAGGAAGGTTAGAGTCGTTCCTAAGATTTAGGGGGTTAGATGTCCCTCTCATTAAAATCCCTCTCAGCGAAAAACGAGTTTGGCACCATGGGATGTTAACGGCTATGCTCTTTGTATTAATCTTGCTTGTCCTGTTTGCTGCCTGAATAAATTTCTTGGTCACTGTCTCAGTTTCACTGTCATTTTCAGGAGACTTCATTTAACTGGTCTTTGGGATTTTAACTTACTCTTCTCCAGTGGGCCTCCCAATTTCCATCTGTTTGCTTGTGAAACATTGTGAACAAAAAGCATTGAAGGCTCTGTCTCTAAAATTGCTGATTGAGATTTGGTATTTAACAACTATGAGCAATAAGTTTAGATATATGTGGTTACGTTTTGTTGCAGATGTGATCTAGAAGCATTAGGATGGAAATCAGGGGAATTTTCTTCTTGCTGTTTTGTTTCATTTAGACACTTCTTTCCTTTCTTGGATTTAGGCAAATTGGCTTTGCTTGTCCAATCCACACTGCCACTATTGCCCAGAACCTGCTTGCCCTGGTCGTTCCCATCTACACCCTCTTCATTTCCTTTGCCTTATTCAACGTTTATTTTGTTGGATTCCATGTTATGATATATCTAAGACTCATGGCTCAGCTCATTTATATTATTCAGATACTGTGAATAAAATAATTCAATTTTTGGCAGGAATCCCCTCATTAATGCAGCTGGCCTTAAAAATCTCTCTTATCTTTTCTATTG
Source organism: Homo sapiens (assembly GCF_000001405.40). Classification (NCBI taxonomy): domain Eukaryota; kingdom Metazoa; phylum Chordata; class Mammalia; order Primates; family Hominidae; genus Homo; species Homo sapiens. The sequence goes on along the minus strand of NC_000007.14, from coordinate 41,557,938 downwards.
GAGCTCAGCCAATGGCAATACGATTTCACAGGTTTGGAACTTTTCTTTCAACATTACCTGCCTCCTTTATGGAAACCACAGCATTGATTTGAAAGGACTCACCACTAGGATATATTATTGAACATTGGGACCAGTTTAAATTAAATGGGTTTAAGAAGAGAAAACTGGTGTTTCTATGTAATACTGTTTGGCCTCGGTATTATTTGGGAAAACAAGAAAAATAGTCTCCTGCTGGACCCATGACCTTTAATACTATACTTCAACTAGATTTGTTTTGTAAGTGGGAGGGAAAATGGGATGAAATACCATATGTTCAACCGTTTTTGCTGCTCAGTCAAGATAAAACCCTGCAGCAGGTGTGTGCATGTTTGATGAGAAGAAAGAAAGAAAAAGAACTAGACATACTAGATGATCCCTTGGTGCAAGCCTCCCCCTCCCCATCTCCCCAGATCAGAGGGCATTTTTGTGTGGAGAAGAACTTCCTTCTTTCAGCTCTGAAAGTTCAGATGTATCAGCCCTTTCTCCTTCTAGTCTACATGAAAGTTCTACTGAGAACCCTTTGTCCCTACTCCTAACCCCACTCTATACCTAGCCTTGTGAGTACTACTTGTAGTGGAGCCTCTTATAAACTTCCAAAAGGAAATCTTTGTCCACTTAGAGAGGTGGCAAAAAGGGAAGAAGACACTGTAAGAGTACAAGTCCCCTTTACTATGTCTGATTTGGCTGAATGTAAAGAGTTTGGTCATTTCTCTGAAGGTCCAGGAAAATTTATAAATCGGGTTGAGAAATGAACTCTGACCTATAGTTTCACTTGGCAGGATCTGCATGTTTTGTTGTCTCTGTGTTGTACAGTACAAGAGAAACAACACATTTTGGGAACAGCTAGGACCCATGCAGAAGAAGTATTGGCTTATAAGCCTAACCATAATATATATCAGGCAGGAGATGTAGCAGTTCCAGATCAAGATAGAAGATGGAACTATCAAAGGGGCAGTGAGAACTTGGGGAAGAGAGATCATATGGTCACTTGTTAGAAGATATGAAGAAATGTATGAAAAAGCCTGTTAATTATGAAAAGTTTAAGTAGGTTTCTCAGGGTAAAGGTGTGAATCCAGCTTTGTTTCAAGGGTGTTTAGTTGAGGCCATCAGGAAATATACTAAAACTGAAACTGTCTCAAGGGAAGGACAAATCCTTTTGGGAGTACATTTTATAACCCAGTCTGCCCCTGATATCATTAGGAAACTACAAAAAGCAGCTATGGGTCCTCAGATGCCTATGGGACAGCTTTTCAATGTGGCATTTTTAGTTTTTAATAACAGGGACAAACAGAGGAAGCAGAAAGAGCAAGATGGACCTCCCACAAGGTGCAGCTGTTGGCTGCAGCCTTCAGCTCACCTCCCACATGGGGTTGCCCTTCTGGCTCTTGGCCTGACCAAGGGAAGGAGAAAGGTTGGAAAGCCCAAAGCTGGGCATCCCAGTCACCATGCCTTGGGCATAAATCAGTGTGCATACTGTAATAAAACTGGCCATTGGAAGAGGGACTCTCCAGAGCCCTGAAGGGCATCATCAGCACCTAAACCAATGATGACCAAAATGTCCAAATAAGCCCAAGAGTGATGGGGCCCAAGACCTTCTGCCACAGCTCCCATTGGACAACTAGCCATATCTCTGGAGGGTGCTTGAGTAACCCTTGATGTGGCAGTAAAAATATTAACATCCTTCTGGATACAGGAGCTGCTTACTCTGTTTTGACCCATTATAAAGGGCCTCTGTCACCCCAAAACTGTATGATCATGCAGATAGATGAACAAGCTCAAAGACATCATCTTACCTGTCCTTTAAGCTGCTCTTCAGGGATCTTGGTTTTTCTCACATGCCTTTGTTATCATGCCCAAATGCCCCACCACCTGTTGGGAAGGCATTTGTTGACCCAGATGCAGTGTTATCTTTTGAAAATCAAAAGGCAGATGAGGGATTGCTCTTCTTCTTTCCTACGATAAGGGAAGAAAGTCAATAGGGGACTTGCCTAGTTTACTTATTGAAGTAGCCTCCCAAGTAAATTCTACAGTATGGGATATTGAGATTCTAGGCAAAGCATTAAACGTTCCTCCAGTTTACATCCAATTTAAGCCTGGTGCCCCATCCCTTGAAAAAGACAACCATTAATGGCTAAGTTTTTGCAATTCAGGTTGTTAAGGCCCTGTGAGTCTCCTTGTAATATGCCAGTCTTGCCAGTGAAGAAGTTGAATGGAGACTACAGATTTGTTCAAGATCTTCAAGCTGTCATTGAAGCTGTCATTCTCATACATCCTATAGTGCCCAATCCCTACATACTGTTAGCCCAGGTCTCTGGGGATGCTGATTGGTTTACAGTCTTAGATCTTAAGGATGCCTCTTTTTGCATTCCAGTAGACACTGATTCACAATTCGTGTTTGTGTTTAAATGGACTGATTCTGACAGTCATTTGGTTTCTCAATTAACTTGGACAATTCTTCCCCAGGGGTTTAGGGACAGTCCTCATCTGTTTGGAAATAAATTGGCTAGAGAATTAAGGATGTTACAATTAAATAAGCGTGCTATTACCCAATATGTGGCTGACTTGTTGGTTGCTAATACAACCAAAAGAGACTCAGCCAAAAATACCATTAAATTGCTAAATTTTCTGGGAGCTAATGGGTATAGGGTCTCACCACATAAGGCCCAGATTTCAACTCAAGAGGTTAAATACTTAAGATATGTCCTAACCCCTGGTACCCAGGAAATAGCACCAGAATGAAGGGAAGCTATCTTGAACATTCCAGAACCCCAAACTAGAAAGCAGCTGCAGGATTTCCTAGGAATGGCAGGATTTTGCCATTTGTGAGTGCCTGTACTTGGGCACATAGCAAAGCCTTTATACGAGGCCCTGAAAGGAGCAGACATAGATCCTTTTGAATGGGATAGCAATTGTAAACAAGCTTTTAATGCTCTCAAAGAAATTGGGATCAGCTCCAGCCCTAGGGATCCCTAATCTTGATAAGCCATTTTTTCTTTATGTGGCTGAAAAACTAGGAAATGCCCTACACATCCTTGTCCAGAAACTGGAAGATATCTCCCAACCACTGGCATAGTTTTTTAAACTATGTTTTTTAAACAAGTGAAAAACCATGTCACTTCAGGATGGCCTTGATGCCTTAGTGCAGTTGCAGCAACTGCTCTTTTATTAGATGAAACCAATAAAATGGCTTTAGGACAACAGCTGGAGGTTTTAACCCCACACCATGTACAAGCACTCCTAGAAGCTAAAGGATGCCAGTGGATGACAGGGGGACATTTATTGAAATATCACACTTTGTTGCTAGAAACTCTTGATGCAACTCTTAAAGTATGCCAGATTTTGAATCCAGCTACTTATTTTCCTGAACCCACAGGCACCCTAGATCATTCTTGTATACAAGTTATGGAGCAAGTTTACTCCAGAAGTCTGGATTTAAAGGATGAGCCTCTAGATAATCCTGAGGTAGAATGATTTACAGATGGAGGTAGCTTTGTGCACCAGGGAAAAAGGAAAGCTGGGTATGCTGTTGTCAGTCAACACAAGGCCTTATCAGCTTCTACCTCAGCTCCAAAGGCAGAATTAATAGCTCTTATTAGAGCCCTGCAATTGGGAAAGGACTTCATTGTCAACATTTACACTTATTCTAAGTATGCCTTTCTGGTGTTTCGTGCACATGCAGCTATCAAAAAGGAGCAGGGACCCCTACCTGCTAAGGGTTCCCCTGTAAAACATCATTTGGAAATTCTGAATCTATTGGATGCTGTTTTGCTGCCCAAGGAAGTAGCTGTAAACCATTGCAGAGGGCATCACAAAGGATAATTTAGTGTGGCTAAGGGAAACTCCTTTGCAGATGCAGCGGCTAAGGCAGCTGCATTAAAGGAACCAGTTGGACTTGTAGGCATGTTAGTGCCCTCTGCCATGGTGATGACAAAACCAAGATATACTAAAGAGGAACAAGAATGGGTTAAAGGTCAGGGGTTAATTCAAGATACTTCTGGCAGTCTTATCAATGACAACAAACTGTTGGTACCAGGGGATAATCAGTGGAAAACAGTTAAGCATTTACATGACTCTACTTATTTGGGAAGAGATTCCCTGTTTCAACTGATGTCTCAGCTTTTTATAGGAAGAGGCTTATTTAAAACAGTAAAGCAGGTTACTGTGAATAACCCAAATAACCAATTTTTACCTCCTCCTTTATTAAGGCATATTCAGCACAGGGGAATGTACCCTGGTGAAGACTGGCAAATTGAATATACTCAGATGCCCCCATGTGAAGGGTTTAAATACTTATTAGAATTCATCAACACCTTTACCAGTTGGATCAAGGCTTTTCCTACCCAGTCTGAAGAGACAATTGAGTTTTCTAAACTCCTATTAAAGGAAATAGTTCCTAGATTTGGGCTGCCTAAGAGCTTGCAGAGTGATAATGGCCCATCTTTCACAGTGAAAATTATCCAAAATGTATCTTCAGCCCTAAAATTTCAGTACCAACTTCAATCTGCATGAAGGCTACAGTCTTCAGGTAAAGTATTATAGAAAGACCCAATCAAACCCTAAAAAGGACTCTGGGTAAACTATGCCAGGAAACTTAAAAATCCTGGCTGCCTTGGTCTCCATCCCAAGATGGCCAAATAGGAACAGCTCCGGTCTGCAGCTCCCAGCGTGATGGACACAGAAGATGGGTGATTTCTGCATTTCCAACTGAGGTACCTGGTTCATCTCATTGTGACTGGTTGGACAGTGGGTGCAGCCCACGGAGGGTGAGCCAAAGCAGAGTGGGGTGTTGCCTTACCTGGGAAGCACAAGGGATTGGGGGATTTCCCTTTCCTAGCTAAGGGAAGCTGTGACAGACTGTACCTGGAAAAATGAGACACTTCCGCCCAAATACTATGCTTTTCCCACAGTCTTAGCAACCAGCAGGCCAGGAGATTCTCTCCCGTGCCTGGCTTGGTGGGTCCCACACCCACAGAGCCTTGTTCACTGCTAGTGCAGCAGTCTGGGATTGATCTGCAAGGCAGCAGCTGGCAGGGAGAGGGGCATCCACCATTGCTGAGTTATGAGTAGGTAAACAAAGTGGCTGGGAAGCTCAAACTGGGTGGAGACCACCGCAACTCAGCAAGGCCTACTGTCTCTACAGACCCCACCTCTGTGGGCAGGGCATAGCTGAACAAAAGGCAGCAGAAGCTTCTGTAGACTTAAACGTCTCTGTCTGACAGCTCTGAAGAGAGCAGTGGTTCTCCCAGCATGCATTCGGGCTCTGAGAACTGATGGACTGCATCCTCAAGTGGGTCCCTGACCCCCATGTAGCCTAACTGGGAGACATCTCACAGTAGGGGTTGACAGACACCTCATACAAGTGGGTGCCCCTTTGGGACGAAGCTTCCAGAGGAAGGATCAGGCAGCAATATTTGCTGCTCTGCAATATTATTTGCAGTTCTGCAGCTTCTGCTGGTGATACCCAGGCAAACAGGGTCTGGAGTGGACCTCCAGCAAACTCCAACAGACCTGCAGCTGAGGGACCTGACTGTTAGAAGGAAAACTAGCAATCAGAAAGGAATAGCATCAACATCAACAAAAAGGACATCCACACCAAAATCCCATCTGTAGGTCACCAACATGGAAGACCAAAGGTAGATAAAACCACAAAGATTGGGAGAAACCAGAGAAGAAAAGCTGAAATTTCCAGGACCAGACAGATTCATAGCTGAATTCTAGCAGAGGTACAAAGAGGAGGTGGTACCATTCCTTCTGAAATTATTCCAATCAATAGAAAAAGAGGGAATCCTGCCAAACTCATTTTATGAGGCCAGCATCATCCTGATACCAGAGCCTGGCAGAGACACAACAAAAAAAGAGAATTTTAGATCAACACCCCGATGAACATCGAGGCAAAAATCCTCAATAAAATACCGGCAAACCAAATCCAGCAGCACATCAAAAAGCTTATCCACCATGATCAAGTGGGTTTCATCCCTGGGATGCAAGGCTGGTTCAACATATGCAAATCAAGAAACACAATCCATCACATAAACAGAACCAATGACAAAAACCACATGATTATCTCAATAGCTGCAGAAAAAGCCTTCAACAAAATTCAACAACACTTCATGTTAAAAACTCTCAATAAACTAGATATTGATGGTAGGTATCTCAAAATAATAAGAGCTATTTATGACAAATCCACAGCCAATATCATACTGAATGGGCATAAACTGGAAGCATTCCCTTTGAAAACCGGCACAAGACAAGGATGCCCTTTCTCACCACTCCTATTCAACACAGTGTTGGGAGTTCTGTCCAGGGCAATCAGGCAAGAGAAAGAAATAAAGGGTATTCAGTTAGGAAAAGAGGAAGTCAAATTGTCCCTGTTTGCAGATGACATGATTGTATGTTTAGAAAACCCCATGGCCTCAGCCCAAAATCTCCTTAAGCTGATAAGCAACTTCAGCAAAGTCTCACGATACAAAATCAATATGCATAAATCACGAGCATTCCTATACACCAATAATAGACAAACAGAGAGCCAAATCATGAGTGAACTCCCATTCACAATTGCTTCAAAGAGAATAAAATAGCTAGGAATTCAACTTACAAGGGATGTGAAGGACCTCTTCAAGGAGAACTACAAACCACTGCTCAACGAAATAAAAGAGGATACAAACAAATGGAAGAACATTCCATGCTCATGGATAGGAAGAATCAATATTGTGAAAATAGCCATACTGCCTAAGGTAATTTATAGATTCAATGCCATCCCCATCAATCTACCAATGACTTTCTCCACAGAATTGGAAAAAACTACTTCAAAGTTCATATGGAACCAAAAAAGAGCCCACATTGCCAAGACAATCCGAAGCAAAAAGAATAAAGCTGGAGGCATCATGCTACCTGACTTCAAACTATACTACAAGGCTACAGTAACCAAAACAGCATGGTACTGGTACCAGAACAGAGATATAGACCAATGGAACAGAACGGAGGCCTCAGAAATAACACCACACACCATCAACCATCTGATCTTTGACAAACCTGGCAAAAACAAGAAATGAGAAAAGGATTCCCTATTTAATAAATTGTGCTGGGAAAACTGGTTAGCCGTATGTAGAAAGTTGAAACTGGATCCCTTCCTTACACCTTGTACAAAAATTAATTCAAGATGGATTAAAGATTTTAACGTTAGACCTAAAACCATAAAAACCCTAGAAGAAAACCTAGGCAATGCCATTCCGGACATAGGCATGGGCAAGGACTTCATGACTAAAACACCAAAAGCAATGGCAACAAAAGCCGAAATAGGCAAATAGGATCTAATTACACTAAAGAGTTTCTGCACGGCAAAAGAAACTACCTTCAGCGTGAACAGGCAGCCTACAGAATGGGAGAAAATTTTTGCATCTACCCATCTGGCAGAGGGCTAATATTCAGAATCTACAAAGAACTTAAACAAATTTACAAGAAAAAATCAAACAACCCCATCAAAAAGTGTGCAAAGGCTATGAACAGACACTTCTCAAAAGAAGACATTTATGCAGCCAACAGACATGTGAAAAAATGCTCATCATCATTGGTCATCAGAGAAATGCAAATCAAAACCACAATGAGATACCAACTCATGCCAGTCAGGATGACAATCATTAAAAAGTCAGGAAACCACAGATGCTGGAGAGGATGTGGAGAAATAGGAATGCTTGTACACTGCTGGTAGGAGTATAAACTAGTTCAACCATTGTGGAAGACAGTGTGATGATTCCTCAAAGATCTAGAACTAGAAATACCATTTGACCCAGCAATCCCATTACTGGGTATATACCCAAAGGATTATAAATCATTCTACTATAAAGACATATGCACACGTATGTTTATTGCGGCACTATTCACAATAGCAAAGACTTGGAACCAACCCAAATGTCCATCAATGATAGACTGGATAAAGAAAATGTAGCACATATATGCCATGGAATACTATGCAGCCATAAAAAAGGATGAGTTGATGTCCTTTGCAGGGACATGGATGAAGCTGGAAACCATCATTCTTGGCAAACTATCACAAGGACAGAAAACCAAACACCATCTGTTCTCACTCATAGGTGGGAATTGAACAATGAGAACACTTGGTCACAGTGGAGGGAACATCACACACCGGGGTCTGTTGGGGGCTGGGGTGCTGGAGGAGGGATAGCATTAGGAGAAATACCTAATGTAAATGAGGAGTTGGGGTGCAGCAAATCAACATGGCACATGTATACCTATGTAACAAACCTGCACGTTGTGTGCATGTACCCTAGAACTTAAAGTATAATAATAATAATAATAATAATAATAATAATAATAATAAACCTGGCTGTCTTTATTGCCTATAGCCTTATTATGGGTTCAAGTCATCCCCAAGGGGAATCTACTGCTCAGCCCTTTTGAAATAATGTATGGAAGGCCTTTCTTTCTCAACTACAGATTTCCTGATAGACACAGATACTTTCGAGCTACAAAATTATGTAATCAACTTAGGACAAATGCAAAATGCACTCCTTGAATATGGAAATCAAAGAATCCCTTCCTCCACTAAGGAAGAGAATCTTGTTAGCTCAGATGGGAGATTGGGTCCTATTAAAAACTTGGAAGGAATGATCCCCAGCACGTAAACATTTCCCAAAATGGAAGGGATCCTATGAAGTTCTCCTTAGTACCCCAACTGCAATTCCACTTATCTAAAATCAAACCTGTCTCTTATGAAGTTTCACAGGCAGATGGAACATGAGAGACTGGTCCCACCTGTTCCTGTGAGCCAACCAGTGATCTAAGGCTTCTGTTCAGAAGAAATGAAAGGGACGGGTAACATAAAGATATAGATTGGCTTTCTACTTTTGGTTATAAGTTGAAATCATACCAAGAATAACTTATTTGCTGAGTGGGCACAGACTTTAGCCTCTCTACATAATCAGACAAACTGTTGGGTATGTGGAGAATTGCCACTTTCTTCCACTTCCTGATTGCCATGGCATATTCAACTGGCCAACCTAAATTTATAGGGATTTTGTTATGATTGGGAAACCGACCATTATAAACATAGTCCCTCTTTTCCTATGTATCATAGCCACACAGACCTTAGCCCCTTCCTCTCCTATGGAGAGACAGGAAGGTACCTTTTAAATCGAATTAAGGAACAGCTAAATTCTATCTCAGCTTTAGGTTATGCTGTAGATGTTGGACTTGGGTGTATGACAGCTGTTCAAGTACAGGTGTCAGGCAAAGTGCCTCTATGTTTCGAAAGGCGCAATAATAGTCACCACCAGACTGGAACTCGTGATGTGGGATGGTTGCCACCTCAACAATGCAATCAGACCCTTCTTTTAACAGAGCAGATGTGGATGGGATAACAACATAATTTGCCAAAAATGGGTACCTAACCTTCTCCTTGGGGATGATTATGGGCTTGTGGAACTCATGGCTGGCCGTACTTACCTTATAACTTGCCTGGAAGGAGTATGTGGGGTCGTCCTTATCTACTGGAACATATCCTCACCAAACCAAATTGGACTCTATCCCATCTAACTGGGAAATTGTAAAGGCTCACCATAGGTGATAAAAACGGGCCACATTGCGATTCTACCCAATGGCTATTTTTTCCCCACAGGCACCTACAATCAGTATCAAGTTACAAGTTGAAGCCTTAGCCAAGCACAGGCTGCAGCTTTCAGTAATACATACCATTCCCTTACCCTCCTAACTGAGGAAACTTCTCAGATGAGCCTTACAAAACTGTATGGCTTTAGACATTTTAACAGTGGCCCAAAGAGGAACTTCTGCTTTGATCAAAACCAAATGTTGTGTGTGTGTTCCATACTATTCACATGTTACCCTGGCTATGAAAGCTTTAGACACTCCTATCTCTGCCATTGATGTGCTGTCAGTTGACCCTATATCAGCTTAGTTCCAACAACTGCTCAGTTCTTGGAAAGCCTTCCTGTTTAGTTTACTTGGAATGATTTTACTTATTTTGCTTTGCTGTTGTGGAATATATTGTGCTTGTACTCTGTGTAGGAATGCAAGACAAGCTTTCTCAATGCTTTCTTAAATTGGACACTTATTAATCTTCCAGATATCACCTTTTGTTGGAACTCAGAGTTATGAATGACCCTTACCATACCAATGCTTTCTGACTGAGCTCCTCTCTACCTTGGATGCAAGAGATCCAATAGTTATGAGGGAATGTCATCATCCCATTCCGCCTGAAGAAGCTACAGAAGATGGATCCCCATCCCTCTGCACCATGAGGATTAAGGGTCCTCTTGTAAAGGGACGGAGGAGATATGTCAGAGGCGTTTGAACCAGAGTGACTCCATCTTGAGTGAGGGCTAGGAAAATGAAGCTGGGGCTTGATGGGCTACATTCCTAGAAAGTTAGGTATTCCTAGCTTCTAGATGTTTACAGCTAAGGGAACAGATTGATAGCATTTACTAAACAGACCCAGACTTGGGAGTGTCCTGATATCCCAATATCTTGAGAACAGAAGCATTCCTAATTTTGTTTTGAAGATAATACTATCAATTCTTGCAAAATATGGTACTTAAGAAAATCCACCCTTTATCACAAACCCTTGTAGCAGAGCATATCTCCCCATGATCTTATTTTATCCTATATATAAACAAGTTTCGTACTTAGGGTGATGTGTTCCTTCTCTTCAGGGAATGCTCTACTCTGTCTATGGAGTATCTATTCTTTCACCACTTAATTTTCTTAATAAACTTGCTTTTGCTTTGCACCGTGGACTCGCCCTGAATTCTTTCTTGTGTGAGATCCAAGAACCCCCTCTTGGGGTCTGGATCAGGACCCATTTCCAGTTACAACTGCAATAATGTGTTATCTGACCACTTCAAGTTCACACTAATTACATGAGGTTGCCCAATACCTTGTATTTTTAACAGAAATGAGAGTTGGTAGCTCACATCATAACAAGCATTCAATATAGCTTACACTATTTGAGCCATAGTTTATACACAACCACTGCAGTAGTTCAGATAAATTAGAATTAGGATGTTGTGTGGGCTATGAATATACAATTTCCCCTGAATAGATGGATTCATTCATTCAAATAGAGGGGCTAATCTTTGCAAACAACCCACTTGATTACTATTTCTAGTGAGCTGATGGAGTGTTTCACACTTGAATGCAGTAGAATCTTCACACTAAAGTAAAGCAATGGTCACCAGGTTGTTGCTTGTGGGCCTGGAAAAAAATTTTCAAAAATTACGTAGCCTTATACATTTCAAAGTTGATGTCTAATTTCAAATTAGATAACTTTTATCAAGTTTTAAATAATTGAAAATAATGTAATTTCTGGAATATAAATATCAAATTGTTTAAATGAAAGCATTCTTTAAAATTATCTAATAAAATATCATAACAATTTGATAACCATTATCTTCCACTTAAGAATAAATGAAAATAGCTCTTCTTTTAAATTTCAGAATTCTCCACCTTTCCTTTTTCTCTTTATGTGTATATTTCTGTTCCACTTCCCCCAGAGATTTTATTATAATATATACGTTTTCATGTTTGAACATTTTATTCATCATCTATCAAATATATCTGCAAAAAACCCATTAGTGATACTGTACCAGTGTTAATTTCCTGGTTCTTGGTTCTGATAAATGTGCTATGATTATATAACATGTTCAAATTGGAGAAAGTTGAAGGAGGAATATATGGAAACTCTTTGTACTATTTTTCAACTTTTTTTTCAACTTTTCTACAAGTCTAAAAATAGTTCGAATAGAGTTAAAAAAATAAACGCAGTGCCAGGATTTTCTCAGAATGATAATGAAGATTTCTTTAACCTGATTTAAAAAATAGTATAGAAATCACAAACCAAAGGCCGATCTTATGCTTAGTGTGAAATACCAAAGACATTCTTATTAAAAGGCAGAAAAGTATGCTTCCCATTAGCACTATTACTTATGATTTTTATAAAAAGTCTGGTCATTGAAAAACCAATAAAAATTCATAAGAAGTATAATATTTGGGAAGGAGGAAATAAATTTTTTATAAATATAGTTTGCAATCTATAAAGCCTAAGTGAATCAACTGAAAAGTATTAGTAATAATTTTTAAAGGTACTGAGTTATAAAATAAACATACAAAAATCAATTATTTTTCTATTTCACAGTTCAGAATAATATTGATTAAAATATACTTGATAATATCAACTAAAATATAAACCATATGTCAATAAGAATAATAAAGTTATTTAGTACCTAGTTCAGAAAAACTAAAACCCTACTTAGTGGCATAAACCAAAATTTGATTAAATGAAAAAATATATTTTTCTTTTTAGGAAAACCAGTTATTGAAAAAAAGCAATTTCTCTTTAAATTTTGTATAAACTTAATGCAATTCCAATTAAAACTGAAATCAAAATATATTTAAAACTTGTTGAAGTGATTCTAAGTGAGAAAAATTTAAGAAATAAGACCAATGAGGGGTGAGTTGCATTTTCTATACTAAAATGTAGTATGAAGCTACAATTATTAAAAAGCACGATATTAGTGCTAGAAGACAATCAGTAGAACAGAATAGAAAATAATGAGAAAGACTCCTCTATATCTAAACATCCTGTTATATAATTTTGATATTTTAAATTAGAGGGGTTAAAAATGAATTATTTATTAAAGTGTTATTGGAAAAGTTGATAAACCATTTGGAAAGAAATAAACCATACCTTGTACTTCAAATCATACATGAAAATAGATTCCAGATGGATTATAGAATTAATCTATAGAAGACCTGAAAAAAAGAGATTATTTAAATGCAAGAGGAGGATAGTCATAAAGAAGAAATATGAAGAATAGTAGTGTTACATTTGATTACATATAGTCTGTACTTCTTCATATCAAAACAACAAATAAAATTAAAGGGCAAAAGAAAGAGAATAATTAATACATATCACAATAATATAAGAAAAAATAAATATTATGTCCTTAAAAATACAGAGATCTTACAAATTAATAAGAAAAGAGACGAACTCCTCAATAGAATGAAAGGTTGGAAAACATAAATGGTCAATAAACACAGAGAAATTATATAACCTACTAGAAAACAAAGCAAAGTAATTTAATACATGATTAAAATTGTTATTCATTTATTGGATTGACAAGGTTTGTTTCTATTTTAAAAGTATATAGAAGTTAATAGGACAGGCTTTCTCACACACTGTTAAACTTTAAGTTGTGGAAAACCTTTGGAGTACAGTAAATCACTTTAGCTTTAAAAACGCAAAATCCTGGGACCTAGTAAATCCAATAACCCAAAAGGCTAGCAATAGGGAAGTGGTTAAATTCTCTGCATCCATCCATGGAATACTATGTCATTATTAGACATGGTTTCTAACAGTGTTTCTTAAAATGAGAAAATGGGTTACACATCAAAGTTACCCAAGACGATCTTTGAATCCACAGCTTCATGACTCACTGCTTCTATCCCCCACAAGCTCTTTCTGATTTTTTTGATTTGGTACAGGACTTAGGAGTCAGTTTTTACGTAAATCTCCAGTGGAATCTGATGCAAATCCTCCATTGCAAAACGCTGTTCCAAAATAATATTCAACATCATTGGAAATTATTCTCAGCCTAATGGGAAATATAAAATACAATATTTACGTGTTATGATCCCCAATTTAGAGTATATAGAGTATAATATTATGTATGCAACTTTATTTTTATAAAGAATATTCTCATTTTTACTTTTTTTGCTACTTCTAATTTTTTAAAAAATGAACATTACTTAGGGGTAATCACTAATACTGATAATTAGTTTGGAAAAAAAATCTTTTAAAGGAGTTACTGTCCTCTCTTTCCCCGTCTCTCTTGCTGCCAGAGATACCTATCCACCCTCTGCCAGTGTTTTCTGAAATATGCCAGGTCCTCGGAGAGCACCTCAAATTTATCCCTAGACAACTATGGCATTATTTCCATGTGAATAGTGGAGAGAGAAAGGGAGAAAGAAAAAAGTAAAACATTGTGCACAAGTGAAATGTAGAGTTTAGCTATTATCTAATGAATTTGATCACAGTTAGCAGCCAATCTTGATAATTATTTTAAAAGATTTTTCCTCAATTGCAGCGTATGGGGTGGGATGGAGGTTGGGGTAGATAGTGTAAGACAAAGGTGGCAGTGTCAGGGGATCTAAAACAAAGAAACCTTCAAAACAATAATAACAACACACACACAAAACAAAAAAGTAAATGTCTCCTGGGCTCTGCCTCAAAGGTAAATAAATGGTCCTGAGTATTGAGAAAATTCTTCCGAGTCTTGCACACGCGGATTTGTTCAGTATATTCTGAATCTGTACTTGTTTCTTTATTCTTTTTTTAATTATACTTTAAGTTTTAGGGTACATGTGTACAACGTGCAGGTTAGTTACATATGTATACATGTGACCCAAGGCATTTGAAAAACAGAGCTTGAAATATTCATTGATAGTTGGGTGACATGTGTACATTCTACTTAAAGATGAGTGTCAGCCCCTCCCAGGAGGCTACTCTGGTGGCCTAGAAAATGAATTAACTGAAAAGTTATTAATTCTTTGATTAATTTTTCCCCATATTGCTGCTTTGTAGGAAGGTTGAAACTTGCCTGAATGTTCAAGGAATGGACCTGAGCTATCAGTATGGAGACCTTAAAATGTATCACCCAATCTGGGAACCTTTGGAGAATTCAACAGGGAACTAGTAACTATTCTACTGAATATGAACTGGAATTGTCATGGGAAAACAGAGACATCTGCTTGCTCTCGCTAGGAGTCCTTATTGCTCGAGCACACTGAAGGCCTGGTGAAATCAGGTTGACCTGGAGCCAGTCAGTGACACGTCTATATCAAAGGCAGTAACATGAAAAGGCTAGGTTGAAAAACCACAAAAAATGTCATCAATAAGCTCTTGTGCACTTGACTAATTCTCCTGATGTGTGAGAGCTAGCAGGAGGGATACAACAGTAAGCAGGACTAATGTGGTCTCAGCTGCAGAGTGATGGTTCAGTCTCACATGCAGATAATTAGGCTGGGAAAACACACAGTAGAGAACCAACAGTGGTAGGCTGGGATAAGTCAGGCCATGGAAGATGGGCTGGAACTGTGGCAGGATTGAAGGACTGCTACTGGTGTCAGGGTGTTTAAGCTGAAACTGACTAAGAGTTAGTCAACTGAAGGGGAAGGTGAGGGCGATGGAGAGAGGTGGAAAGTAGAACATGCAAGAGTATTCAGAGGACAGAGGATGGAAAGGATGGCCCAGCTGAGAGCCTGAAGGAAATTTGATTGATTTTTAGAATAGGAGACAAGGAGGGGTAAGAGATGAGGCTGGAAAGGCAAACGGGCAAGAAGGAGAAGCGCCTGCTAACACAGGTTTAGAAGTGTGAACTTCATCTTGAGGGCTCATGGAGAGTTTTGAGGAGTGGAAGGACATGGTTGGACTTCACCAGGATCATGGGCTAATGTGTGGGTTATGGAACAAGGAGTGAAGGGATTCTCAAGGCTAGATGGAAGGAGAACAGTAACTCCAGAGAGAGAAGGTGGTGGTCTTCTTGGTGAGATTGGAAATCCATTGATGGATTATGAAAAACACTAGGCAGTAATATCCATCTGCCTTGTCAGCTAAATAGCATTGAGGGAATCAGGTAGGTAAGAGACCCTATAAGGAGAGGGCATTCTCAGATTGCATATAATATGGATGGTATCGCCATATATATCTGGGAGGTTTCCATCTTTGGGGGAACCACTGTGCTAAATCAATGAGATTAGAGCTGTCTACTAGGCTCAAAAGTTCTCATGACATTAATTTTCATAATCGGGGTGATATGAGTTTCAGTGATCTACTACCCATCGATGTATAGAAGTGAGACGGAAGTTGTTTGACATAAAATTCTAAGCAAATGGTTTAAACCTGCAATATAGTGGTGTATTTATACATGCTTTTGATGTTGTGTTGACTCAGTCTCAGACTGGTTTTTAAATAATTTATTTTCCCAGACACTGATATCTCTGCCAGAACCATAACAAAATGAATGGGATTAGACAGGCCATAAAAACGTGTATATAGTAGGGGACTGGATAAGGGGGAGCTGACTTCCTTTTTATTTATCAAAGTGGTGTAGGTTAATTATGGAGATTGGCATACACACGAAGAAAACTTAATGCAGAAGAATCCTGAAGGAAATATTAATGAAGTATTTGCCAGGCAGAGGGTGTACATGGGGTTCAGCCTAACTCTTCTGCTAAAGCTAGAATTCAGTCTCTAGCCTTTTCACATGGCTCTTTATTCCAAGTTTAACTATTCAAGTTTAACTATTTGCTCTCATGTAATTAGGATATCTTTCAGTGGTTTGAAAGACTGGAAAAAACTCTATTCTCAGAGGTGTGAAGTTCAAGAAAAAATAAAATAGAGTATTACTGTAATATGTATCTTTGTAGAGAACAAGCCAAGAGTGTTTGCTGATAGGTTTGTCCAGAATGGGACAGTGTCCTAAAGCCAAAATCCTAGGCTGAATGGGCAGTGTGACCAGGTAGAACAGGAGGAAGTGGAGCCAAATTAGCTCCATTGAGAGTATGGTCCTGTGTTTTCAAGAAAATTTAGGATGTCAGGAGCATAGTCAGCATCACAGTCAGGTAGAACAATTGATTGGAAACCAAAGTCTCCAAAAAACTGTCTCCATTCCCCCTTTCGCGTCCATCTGATTCCCCTGGTGGGGCCCTGGGGAGTCACACAGTAAACTGACGCTGAAGGGAACTGGTCTTGCGGAGCCTGAGCCCTTTGATTGTGTCGCCCGGTTCCCTGCCCAGTTCCCACTCATATTACAGCCCTGCAGTCTGTATTGTCCAGACAAAGGAGCAGTGGCTCCTCTCTGAGGACTGCCTGGAGCACAGCCACCCTCCCGTTGTCTACCCAATCTCCAGCCTCCTCCTGTTTCTTCCTTCAGCACCCGCCTTCTGGGTTTCTTGAGTAAAAATATAAAAACCAGTTAAGCCCTGCGGTGGACTTCATGGTGCCAGGCAGACTTGGAGCACCAGCTTCCCTCCCCAAGCCTCTCCCTGCAGTAGGCTGACCTGGAATTTCCATTTCCACTTAAGTGCTTTCTGGGAAGGGTGTATCCCTGCTTTCTGGAGATATCTCAGGGGAGACAGGACAAAGGGAGTGGCCTGCATTTATAAGAAGAGTCTTGAGTACCTAGTAAAATTCAGGTTCTTTTTACTTATCACTATAACCCAGCTATCCACAATCTTAAACTTCTTTCTACTTTTTTTTTTCTTCAGAGACAGTGTCTAGCTCTGTTGCCCAGGCTGGAATGCAGTGGCACCATCATAGCTCACCGCAGCCTCAGAACTCCTGAGCTGAAGCAATCCTCTGGCCTCAGCCTCCTCGGAAGGTGGGACTAGAGTTGTGCATCACCACGTCTGGCTAATTTTTTTGAAATTTGTTTTAGAGAAGGGGGTCTTACTATTTTGGCCAGTCTGGTCTTGAACTCCTGGACTCAAGTGATCCTCCCACTTTGTCCTCCCAAAGCACTGGGATTACAGGCATGAACCACTATGCTCAGTCCACTATCTTAAGTTTCTAAACAAAGATTATTTGAGCCAACAAAAGTTGGGGAAAGCTAACAATTTTGCTGACTTGAAATTATAAAGCTCTTAGACTTTAATGCTAACAATTAGATTGTACTTACTATGTGTCAGGCACTATTCTAAAAACGTCACATCTATTTACACATACGATTCGTATGGCACCCCATGAGGTGGTGTGTTTTTCTCTTTATTTCACAGTTAAGAAATAAAGATACATGCAGAGAGGTAAAATGCTTTGCTCAATGTCACACAGCAAGCAGATGTCAGAGCTGAGATTTGAATCCAGGGCTTCTGGCCCTATAGCCAGTGATTGGCACCACTACACTACACTATGTAGTTGTATGTGTGTGTAGTGTGAACACACATACAACTATCACCGATTGATAGATTGGAAAGAATGCTTTTCCAGTTGATTTCTTCTTTTTCAGCCATTAATTATTGATTTTTTGACAAATTGTAAGAACTCTTTCTTTCCCTTCTGCCAAGGCTGCTCCCCATGTGAGCTGTAGAAGCTCTAGTCTTAGGGATTTAGAAGGTAGTGGGTGAAGGATAAAGGGGAGGGAGAAAGGGAGAGGGTCAAAAGCAGGAGCCCTAATTTCCTGGTCTAGGTTAGAGGTCCCAAAGTTAAGTTACAATGTAGATTGCTGATCCCACCCTGAGTAGTTCCCTTAATAAGTCTGGGATGGAGTCCAAGAATTTTCATTTCTAACAAGCATCCAAGTGATGCTGATGCTGTTTGTCAAGGGTCGGCACTTTGGGAAGCACTGGCCTAAGAGGTCACTTGAGTTGGCACTCTCACACCTAGATCAAGCAAGCTGTGGAAAAGAATCTCTGGGTAGATCCCCTTCCAGAAGCTACTGTTTCTCATTTGGCCTCTGAAGGCCTAGATTCGAAAAGTTTTGCTTCTTGTTAAAATGCAAATTGAGGATCTCTGGGAAAGATGAGGCTTGAGTGTGATGACCTGGGAGTGATTGATGGTCCTGGAGCCTCTCCAAGATCCACTTCAACAATTGGCTCTGAATTGTGCCCTTTTCGTATTTGAATTTGCACACCAACACCAGGATAGATAATTGTTTTCATAAAGATCTCTATTATTTCTTTGCCCTTCCTGAGGCTTCCGATTTTTTTTTTTTTTTTCACATTTTGAACTGAGATTCACTTGCAGGATTCTCTGCTACTGCAAGTGAGAGAATGTTGCAATCTAGCTCCCCTGTCTTGTTTATCTTGGCACTAAATAGGGGGTTTCAGCTTTCCCAAAATACTGACAAAAGTCTTTTCAACTTCGTTTTTCTTCCATAACCTTAACTGTAGAATGTCACAGTAGGAAGGAATGAGAGAGGAAAACAAAGCCATTGAAAGAGGCTCGAAGGTGAAATCTCCATCACACTCTCCTTACCGCGCATACCTAAGACCAGCTCCTGCAAAGGAGCCTTGCTAGTCAAAGTCAAGGCTTAGTTCATTTCTAGTTTTAACCACATTGAATTCCAGACATTAAGGAGCCTATAATGCAAACTATCTCTCTCTCTCTCTCTCTTTTTTTTTTTTTTGGCAGTCTCACTTCGTCACCTAGGCTGGAGTTCAGTGGCCTAATCTCAGGTTACAGTAACCTCTGCCTCCTGGGGTCAAGCGATTCTCCTGCCTCAGTCTCCTGTGTAGCTGAGACTACAGGCACACACCACCATGCCTAGCTAATTTTTTTTTTTTTTTTTGGGAGAAACAGGGATTCACAATGTTGTCCAGGCTGGTCTTGAACTCCTGACTTCAAGTGATCCACCCCCCCCCCTCGGCCTCCCAAGTACAAACTACGTCTTTTGAAAAATGTCCCATACAGATATTTCACTGCTCTCTACCTGGGCCAAGTTTGGGAACCAGGTGCCAATCACAGCTTGGTATCGAGCACGTTCCAAAGGCCCTGCTTCCCTCTAGCCTCATGTTGGTCCTGATTTTCCCTAGGAATGGACCTACAGCTTACCTGAAGATGCCAGTTTAGGGGTGGAAACTATTCCTCCAAAGAAAAGTTAGGAGCAATATTGCTCCCCAAGAGTGATGGTGATGGTAGGGAATGAAAGACAAAAATGAATACTTTGGTTTTACAAAATGGCTACTTTCTCCTGCAAAAAAGAAACTCCAGGATACTGGGAGGCACAGTTCAAAGCAGGTAACATTGGTCTTCAGGTGTCCTCTGCTATTTCTTTCCAGTTGCCCCTCTTAAATGTTCAAGAGGTAGTTAATAAGATTTAACTTCTTATAAGGGTTTTCTCATTCTATAGCGAAATTTGGAACACAGAAAACACCACCATCCAATACAGCATTCTGTGAAAATGGAGCTATTTGGTAATGGCTACCCTATTAGGTCACTGTCTTCATAGCACAGCATTAAAGACTTCATGATTTGAATGAATGAATCTGCAAAAGTGGCAGATGGTGGAATTGGTGTTTTGTAATGGAAGTACCTTGGAGCATACCTTGGGCAATTACCAACACCTTAGATCACATTCAATAGATAAGTCCAAATAGTCCCAGTCTAACATGTAAATATCTGCCGTGCAATCCATGCTTTGCTGGATGCTTTTAGGATACAGAGAAATAAAACTCTTGTTTGTTGTTTTTAGAAATGTTGTAATTTGTATTTAAAAATTCTCAAATAATTAAGAAAATAATAATAATGTAATAAATGAATAGGCCCTAAGGCTAGAATGGGTTCCAAACTATAAGGGAAGAGAATGAAGCAGAGAAGCTTTATTTCAATTTCCATGTTGGCATAGTGTCTGTCTTGGCAGGGAGGAGGGAAATGGGATTGAAAGCAGAGAAACTGGAAAAAATGTATGCATGGTAGTCAAAACGTGCGTGGCTTGTGTTGTGACAGCGAGAGTCCTGGCCTGGCGCGAACAAAATGTATGGGAGATGAATGAAAGAGAAAGCCAGGCAGATAAGATGGTGTTAATTAATGGAGCCTGAATAATTGAGCCTGAATACAGGCTCAACATCTGAATTTCCATAGGCAAGAGGGAGCTACTGCAGGTTTTTCAGCCAGGAGATGACAAGATGAAAACAGTATTTTAGAAAATTAATTAGGGAGTGGTAGTGGTGTGGGCTGGAGATGGAGAGATTGGAGTCAGAGAAAGCAGAAACCTTTTGCAGGCCTCTCCATTCCTGAGAGCTGAGGCTGGCAAGAGAGTGTGGAAGATGGAGCGACCCTCCTCTGCCTGTAGCATTGCACACTTCTGACGATGTGCTCCTCCCTCCAGCTCTTGGCCTCTGTGATGTTTCAGTCTCTGCTTCTCCTTCATCTCGTCTCCTCTTTGGCCTCCTTCACTGGTTTCTTTTCTCTGACTCACCATTAATGTAGGTGTTCCCTGAGATTCTTTCCATCTTCTTTCTCATCCTCCACTCTCTTGGCTTCAGCCGTAATCTACATAAACATTTATCCCAAATTTATGTCTCTATTCTTGATCTCTATCCAGCAATCTTTGCCTGTATTTCCAAGTGCCTCTTGAACATTCCCACCTGAGTATCTCACCAGCATTGCAAAATTAATGTCTAAAACAATACACATCATTGCTGAAGTCCAAACCAGCCTCTGCCTCAGATTCTCCTCTTTCTGTAATGAAAACAAGATTCACCAAGTTACAGAAGCTCAAAATCTCAGACACCCATCCAAAGCAACTTTTCCTCTTCCTGGCTCTGAGGCCATAGATGCAAAATAACTTGGCTACTTTTCCTTTGCTCTCAATAGTAATCAAGTGCTATAGATCCCAGCTCTTCTCCCATTTTTATGTCTACATAGCATTATAATTCTGACCTTCAGTCCTTCTCACTTACGCCTTTGACATTGCCACCCCACTCTGATCACAGCCCTGCTTGGCCCAAAAACTTCCCCCATGATATATGATCTCAGGGCAGTCTTTTCAGATGTTTAGGCCTTATCTCTCCTGGCTTTGTACTGTACTCCAGCCACAACTGGCCACGAAATATGCATTATTTATGCCCCAAATCTCCATGCAACCACACCCTTGCCTCATCATGTCTCTTGAGCATGAAACTCCCCATTTCTCCCTCACAATATGCATCTATAGAAATTCTTTCCACCTTTTGCGATCCATTTCAAATCCTACTTTCTCTGTAAGGATTTTCTGCATGTCCCCAACACAGGAGCCTCCTTCTTTTTTGACTCCCATCCCAGTGACATTTTTCTGCTTTATGTCCTGGTTCACTGTATTCCCACTACAGCATCTCTATGAGATGACATGTTTCTCATGGCCCAGGAAGGTGTCTTAATCATTCCTATTTTTCTTACAACTACAGGATGCCCTGCACACAGTGAACACTTTATCAATATGACAGAAAATAAATAAATCCAAATAAATGTAGGAAAGGAAACTTGACAAAATGTCGTGACAATTCACAGAATCAAAGAAATTGCAGGGTCAAGAGACATTGGTGCCATCCAGCAGAGATGGTCATTCCTTGGAACAGATGCGAAGGATTCATAGTGCCTTTCAGCTCTGCTTCAGGGAATAATTAATAGGTAAGTTGTGAGGACACAGATATAATTTGTGTTAGGTAAGAAAATAGTTCTAGCTATAATCTTTAATATTACTCTGTACTTCTAGTCTGAGGAACATATTTATTCCTTTGCCATAGGCAGCTTACTGGAATTCTGCTTTTTCTATAACAAACTCCAACAGAAGATTTGAGTTCATTCTTTCCTTAAGACCTTTTGCTTGTTTGTTTTATTTTGTGTAGGAGGAAATAATGTTAGCATAAGTGGGCTTATTTCAAAACATGTGAGTTGAACAGTAATTCTCTCCTTCATCCCACCACTCTGGCTGACTGGAACCAAGGAAAATTTACAGCCCAAAGCAATCCTAAGTCTGGTTTGTGTATTAGTAACGCTCTCTGACTATACAGGGCAAGCGAAGGCAGAGCTCATGCTCCACAGCTTTGCAAAGCCCTGTGTAATTTTCAAATCTTCCTGTGTTTTTTGTAATGATCTGGCAATCCAAACTCTTTGGTTTAAAAGCTGTCCTAACTCATTTACCCCCTCTGGCATTGTATAATGGAAACCAAAAAACTGCATTATGAATATTATAAAGACCATTCAGATATGAATGTAAATATATAAGACATGTATTTTTTTACAGCAGTGGCTTCAGGAATTCACGAAATTATAAATTTTGGTGTTCTGGACAGAGTTACCACCTCCCTGATTTTTAGTGGAGCCCTCTTAAAATAAAGCATAATGCCAACAGCAACCAAATCATAAGACAGGTTATTTTAAAGCATGGTGACAATAATTAGCTAAGTAATCAAACATCTTTCCAAAGATAAAATAATACTTCCTTAAATTTAGCCTTGAAACCCTCTCTAATCCCCTGGCTCTATTTTTTTCTTAATCCCAATAGGGCTGGCAAATAGAATATTATTTATAACTCAATTTTAGAGGATAAACATGTTTTACTATTAAAAATCATAGAGGCTGGGTATGGTGGCTCACACCTGTAATCCCAGCATTTTGGGAGGCTGAGCCAGGAGGATCACTTGCATCTCGGAGGTTGAGACTACAATGAGGCATGGTTGCGTCACTGCACTCCAGCCTAGGCCACAAAGCAAGATCCTATCTCAAATAAATAAATAAATAAATAAAGCAAAAATCATAGAGTGTAAGAACTACTGCAGATCCTTGGGGAAAGAATACAGGGTAACAATACTGTTCAGAGATTTTGTCACTTGAGTATGAGGTAATGATGGAGAACATTAGAAGAATGATTAGAAATAGATGACTCAGTTTTCACCAAACAAGAATCAACCCAAACATGATGATTAATTGACCCAGAGATCCACATCTTTTGAGGATCAAGTATATTTTGTTGTTGTTCTTTTTGTGAGTAAATGCTAGTTCTCTCTTTTTAAATGTTTTTATTTGGTGGGGAGAATCAGTAAAATAGTGAGTGAAGAGTTTAATAAATGAATGACAAGAGTAGAAATCCTTAAAATGAATTGAGGAGTTGGAAGCAGGTACAACCAAACAAAGCAGATATGGGAAATGGCATGTGACACGGGAGAGTAACCCCAAAGAACAGGCGTTCACAGGCTATGCTAAGCTCAAAGTCAACCTGGAAGTGATAATAAGACGTAGCTCCTACAGATCCCCTTCTCCAGTCTTGGCTTAGGGCAGAAATTCTTCTACCTATGAATGGCAAGCAAAAGGATCTTGAAATTGTAAGGCAAGGGTGGGACCCCTGAAAAAAGTAAATGGAGGTGATTTTTACATAGAATAAACATTGCTTTCTGCACTTAGAAAAAATCCTTGAACCTCAAAATAAAAGCACAACTGAGAGTAGATTTCGATAACAGGAAGGGAAGGCAGCCCCATGTACAGTGACGGGAACAAAGCACTGAGGGTTGAGAGTCCCGAGCTCTCTCCTGGGCCCTACTGCTGCTTTCTGCTAAGCCTGGTTAAATCACTTGGCCTCGGAGTGCTTGCCTTTCTTCCCTGGGAAATCAGAAAATGAAGTGACCTCTTCTTTGGTCAAAACAAAGAAACAACTGGCCACCCCTCTGGTGTTGCCTATATCAGTAAATGGCAATATTTTGTACCCAGTTGTCCAAGCTGGAATCTTGGTTGTCATTCTTGGCTTTTTCTTTCCCTTTAACTCTCACATTCAAATTGGACCAAATTCTGCTCATTCCCTTTCCTACATATCTGTCAAAGAAGCCCACACAGCTCTAGTTCCATTGATTCCACAGTAATCTAGCCCACCAAAATTTGTCCCCGAAATACTGCAATCATCTACAACAGATCTCCCCAAATCTTCTCTTGACTCCTGCCAAACAAGTCTCCCCACACTGCAGCTAGAACAAGACTTTAAGAACACAATCTAGTTTTTTCATTTCCCATATTAAAATGTTTCATTCAACTTACATTGCTCTTGGGAAAATTGTAGCAGCTACTTGCTCTGTTCTTACTATTCCATCTATGGCAGATTCATCTAAAGTCCTTTGTCCCTCCACAACTCTGTCCTCCAGCCTGTGCCCATTATCCTCCTTAACCCTGGAATGCTCCTTATGCCACCTACCTCTACCTAGAGTCCTTCAGGTCTTGATCAACATGACCTCAGGAAAGCCTTCCTTAATCCCCAACTCCAGGCCAGCCACCATCTGAGATGGCTCCATGCTCCATACTCCACCCCAGCACTTCTCACACCTGCACTTCTTTCTTTCAAGGTAAGTGTAGTGGGCTGAGTGGTGGCCCTCCCAAAAAGTTATGTCCACATTCCAACCCCCAGAACAGAACCTGAGAATGTGCCCTTCTCTGGAATAAAAGTTTTTGCAGATGCAATTAAGTTAAAAATCTCAAGATGAGATCATCCTGGAGTCAGGGTGCCTCTAACTCCAATGACAAGTGTTCTTCTCAGAGAAAGGCAGAGGAAGGTTTGAGCCACAAACACAGGTAAGACGATCATCTGAAGGCATATGCAGAGATTACAGTTACGCAGCTCCAAGCCAAGAAACACCAAACCCTGGAAGAGGCAAGAAAGGACTCTTCCCTGGAGCCACAGGAGAGAGTCCAGCCCTACAGACAACTTGATTTCACACCTCTAGCCTCCAAATTTGTGGCAAAATAAATTCCTGTTGTCTTAAGCCAGTGAGTGACAACTTGTTACAGCAGCCCTGGGAAGTAAATACAGCAAGAAAGAATATCTCTCCCCTGCTATATTGTAAACCCCAAGAGGAAAGACCTCTGCCTGCTTACCCCTGAGCTTGGCATATCACAGGCCACTTGTAACTGATAGACCCATTAGATGGCTAATTCTCAGCTTTGTGTAAACAGCCCTGAGGTCAAAATAACCTATGTTAACTGGAGAAATGGCCATCCAGGCTGCCATCTTGAAGAAGGAGTTATGGAAGAAGAGATGATTCTTCTTTACTCCTGAAGTTCAGATCCTCTATACAGCCTCCAGTAAACCAATAATTTAGCTCAAGGCTGTGGGTTAGGCTGGTGCTCTGCTTGGAAAACCACTGCTACCCATCACTCTGAACAGCAGTGATATTCAAAATACTTAACAGTATATCGTGAGTTCCAACCCAAGAGGATAACTGCGGTCATAGAGGAGGGCAGGATCTTGGAAACCCCTACCATGCTGAAAATTATCTCTTCAGATGTGTGTTTTGGGGCACTGTCCCTGGAAAGGATCTGCACTGGGGGAGGGGCAATGGGAATATTTCAATAATTCCACACCTGGCACAGTTCTTCTATTGTATGCAGACTGTATATATACATTCTGCCCCTATCATCCCAGTCACCTGCCCTGTAAGAATCTATTCATTTCTCTATTTTTCCATAAAACAGCTCCAATGACTCTAGCTTTTCTGAGCTATGAACTTCTTCACTCTGATATTCAGAATCACATTTGTAGCAGCCTGCATTAGCCTCTCATGATGGTACCTCACAGACGCATACTATATTGATGCCGTTTCTCAACTGTCATTTCAGATTCTTGACTGTAAAGGGTCATGTTTTATTTTTCTTCCTATTTCCTGGAGTTTGCTCAGAGTTTTTTGCGTTTATTTTAAAAGTTTGATGCTTTGTAATTTGTTTCCATGCTTGATTTGCAGACAATTGATATCATGAATTGTTCCCTGAAATCAAAGCCAGTTTTTGTGACAGCCATAGCTAGTGGAACTGTTCATAAAGAATACTGTTACTTGGAGTCAGTGCCATTCGATAAACTGGTGTGGATTTGTAACAGAGGTTGGCCATCTTTGTAACTTAATATCAACTTACTTCAACAATTGGTATAAAATATAATTTGTATTTGGGTGGAAATCAACTTCTTAAGCACTTTCATATCTTTTAGAGCATTAAGCCATTACAAAAATCTTTTCAGATAAAATAATTCTTTGAGATAAAAATAATGAAATTATGTGTTCAAATTTATAAGGAATCTATATATTATAAATATTTCTCCAAATATATTTGGCTCCTGGGTTTAGAGGGTGAAGATTTTATTTTATTTTATTATTTTATTTATTTTTTGAGATGGGGTCTTGCTCAGTTGCCCAGGCTGGAGTGCAGTGGTGCAATCTCGGCTCACTGCAGCCTCTGCCTCCAGGGTTCAAGCAATTCTCCTGCCCCAGCATCCTGAGTAGCTGAGTTTACAGGCATGTGCCACCGTGCCCAGCTAATTTTTTTGTATTTTTAGTAGAGACGAGGTTTCACCAGGCTGGTCTCAAACTCCTGACCTGGTGATCTGCCTGTCTCTGCCTCTCAAATTGCTGGGATTACAGGCGTGAGCCACAATGCCTAGCCTGAGAGTGAAGACTTTAATAGTGAGGAATAACTGTGTTATCTCATCTAGTTTTCACTAATACCTTGCCGAGTTCATATCATAGGATGAATAAATTCAGAATAACAGACAGTGACCTTCCCCAGGTCTCACCTTCATGAAATGGAAGTCTCAGGGTTGGAGCAATTCTTCTGACTCCATGTTCAGTTTTCTGATCATTTATTCCTGTTGAAGTTTATAATCTCATTTTGCTCACAAGGAAATAATCCCAGATAGACAATCCATAACATGGAAATTCAAAGGATAAGTAAACTGGAAACAGTATTAGTGCATAAAGGATACCTGAAGATCAGTTTGTCCTGCACATAGGCTTATGTGAAACCCCTTCTAGTGCTTACCAAGGTACACTGGAACCACTGGAGTGGATGGGACTCTGTGTTCTCCCAATTTCATGCAAAGCTACATTGATTTTATATAGTTTGTATCAATGAATCTTCTTAAAATCTTAGTTTTGGAAAGGATTCAACTCCTAAAAAAGCAAAACAAAACAAAACAAAACAAACAAAAAACCCATAATCACACAATATAAAAACCACATAAATATGGAATCCCTAACATCAAGGATGCAGACACATTACATCCTGGCAAAGCCAGGGCTAGAACTCAAGTCTCTGGCCTCCCAACCCTCACTATATGCTATACCAGGCCCATTTCCCCGTTCATGGCCTCAGGGAATGGGCCCTCCACGTCACAGGAAAAGGCCTTAGTTTTCCTTCCACACAGTCTGGAAGCATGAAACGTGGCTGAGAGGGAGAATGTCATGGTGGCCACTGAAGTCTGCACGTTCCGGCCCAGGCTGCAATTTCAGGCTCAGTTGTGTCTTCCCGGGAAAAGTAGACACTGAGGTCTGTGAGAGGAATCTGTGGAGCTTTTCATCCATTGCCCTAAGCCAGGCTCTTTTGTAAGTGTGATTCACACAGACCTAACAATAGACTGTAACAGCTGAGACAAGACCAAAGCTTGTCTTCCTCAGTTATGAGAATTATTTAGATAGGCCACATGTAAGCTGCTCACCTGGAATTTGACTGAGTTGCTCTAACCCTTCTAAGACATGCTGAAAGATCTTTAAAATGACCTCTTACGTGATCCTCGGAACATCCTTAGACCAATCTATATTGATAATACACATAGACTTTTCCCTTAGATCTTGGATGTTTGCCCAGGTTCCTATTGCAATTATCTGGATTCTGCCAGCGGAAGGCTCCACTAGTTACCAAAATCTCAAACAAATGAAGATAGAACCTTATTAGAAATTTGTAAGAATATTCTGCAGTTATATCTGTTATTGGAAGCAGAAGTGTGTTGGCCTTAAATAGATGAAGAACATTTGTCTACTCCAATGACAAGTGGTAGGAAGGCAAAAACAGGGTTTATAGCAAGTCGTTTTGGGAACAATGTACTTTTTGATACTGTACGCTTTCTATTAAATTTCGTATTATTAGCCTGTCTATATCAGACCAGATATCTTTTTACTCTTTTATTGAACTCCGCATTTTTACATCTGACTGTACTAAAGCCCTCCACAGGAAGTAATTCCTTGCCAACATTTAGGAATGACTGGATTGGATGGCTAATGAGAAATCCTAGAAAAGTAAAGACAAATGAACAAATTGAAAAGGTCTTCCACTTGATAGATGTGATAGAAACTTTTCTTCTTCGTTTTCCTGTCAGAAATGCAGTGTTCTTTTTGCCTGCTCCACCAAGGAGGGGCAACCGTTCTTAAACAAGATCTAACATTTACTTGAAACCAATAGTTTCCAGTAAAGGGTTTTTAGGATAAATGCAGGCTTACTGGTAAATATTGGTCTAATCTTCAGGGAAAATTAAAAGCTTGTGGTTTGGGGACTGACAGCAGAAGGCAGATGTATAAGGACTAGGGACTAAAGGGTTGGTAAATCCCCAAATAATGTCCCTTTTCCAGCTCCAGGCTAAAGAACCAGAGCATACCCTCTCATTTTCTCTTAAAGGAAAGAATTATCCCAAACTTAGGAGCCTTGAGTAAAACTCAATCACTCTTTTTCAATGCTTTGCTTAGTAGTGCCATATATTAAGCTCTCCTCATAACTTAGCCACCCAAGGGCCTGGTAGAATAGAAATCATGGTAATTTGTGCTACTTTTTGAGGAGACTCTGTCTTATAAACCGAGCATAATAGTATGTTGTGCAATGCCATTTATTGTCGAATTATAGTTCACGTGGGCATGTTTAGCTGAGCAGTGTTAAGTTGCTTTCTTTCACATACAGTCTTGCAGGAACTTTTGGAAAACATTTTTCCTGATCTTAACTTACTATAATAGTTGTGCATGTCTTATTTAACTCATTCATCCTACACGAAAGAGTTGCCTCATTTCCCATGAGCTCCTGGCTTCTGCTACTGTTTTTTGTTTCCTTTTCTCTTTCATGGTACGGTATTAGCCCTTTCAGAAAGAGTGCAGAATAGGACACCAGCAAGCATTCAGCCCCACTATCTGTGTATGTTTTGAAGTGAGGTTCACCCCTGAGGAACCAGAGGCCAGGAATAGCCATTAACCCCAAAAGGACACTTCCTGACCCTTTGTGTCCAACTCCCTGCCCCACCTCAGAGGATAAGAACATCACAACCCACTCCCAAGATGAGCACACATACAACCAAGGGAACCAGGCGTGGTTCAGCTAGCCACTTGCCCAGAAAAGGTTTTCTCTAAAACGTATCTGTTAAAGAGGTCTTGAGGTCAAGAAAATGTAGGAGACAACAACGTTTCACAGGGAAGGATTTCATTATCACTGTTGGTGGTTCATTTCATGGTTTTTCCTTATTATGTGAAAGATACCACAAGTAAAATGGGTTAAATTTTATAATGGGGCTGAAAGAAAAAACAACAACAGCAAAAACTAACCCATGGACAATGTTAGGCAGAAATGCCCTTAGCAGGGACCTTCTCCCTTGCATAAAGCCTTGAGGTGTCTGTGTGTCATGGAGGCCGTTGGTTGGTGGACTGCCAGGGAATCCTGCAATCTCTTTGGGTGACAAGAGCATGCCAGCAACCTGTGTACTTCCACTGCTGGGGGCATTTTCCTCAAGATGTAGTTCTCAACAGTCATCAAACAGTGTGGTTCGTCACAGCTGCTCAGCATGGACAGGTATTTTCTTTTTTTTTTTTTGAGATGGAGTCTTGCTCTGTCACCCAGGCTGGAGTGCAGTGGCATGATCTCGGCTCACTGCAACCTCCACTCCCTGGTTCAAGCAGTTCTCCTGCCTCAGTCTTCTGAGTAGCTGGGATTACAGGTGGATACCACCAGGGCTGACTAATTTTTGTATTTTTTTTTAGTAGAGATGGGGTTTCACCATGTTGGCCAGGCTGGTCTTGAACTCTTGACTATATGATCTGCCCATCTCGGCCTCCCCAAAGTGCTGGGATTACAGGCGTGAGTCACCGCGCCCAGCCAGTATTTCCATTTTTGACTTGGCTATTGGTCTTCAGCATGAGAAAATAATGTTTTGGGATACAGAGTAAGCAGAACACAACTCCCAGTGAAACAGGCTTGTTAGCCCAACAGAGACACAGAACACACAGAGTCCTTTATTATTGAATAATTATTAGATTGGTGCAAAAGTAATTGCGCTATTTTTTTTTCTGTCTGCCATCTTCCTCTCTCCTACCCAGTACTTCAGCCTGAAAGCTCAACTCCATTCTTATCTTTAAGACCAAACCTTAATTTCAGAAAAATGGTTTAGAGAAACCTCTCTAACCTCTAATGTACGGCTTCTGTATTAATAATAACTGAACTTTTGGCCTTGGTCTTGAAACCCAGACACTACATTCTTTCCCAGTCCTGGCAGTAAGTATCCTTATTTTCTCAATCAAGGCTGCCTTGGGTCCTCATGGCTATCCTAATCCTTCCTGCGTGGGAAACACTTTAGTCTTTACCATACGTCTTCCTAAGAGTGGAGTTCTGCCTCTGACCCTCCATTCCACATCCCCTAATCATAGAATATCCTGAGGCTGTTTATTTTTCTTAGTGTCACCTAATCCCAGACTCCTAATCTTTGTGTCCACTCCACCTGCAGGACACTCTTTCCCTTCAACAGGCATGTTAACACTGTCCACTGTTTGCCGTTGTTGGCCTTGCCCTTTAGAGATTCTCTTCTGCCTGCTAGACAGGACTTCTCCCAGCACCTGTGCTTCTACTCAGCTTCAGGACAACCCAACCCCAGGGACTGTGTCCTGCCTCTTCCTAGCCCACCCCACCTACTATGGTTGACCAGGTCAAGGTCTGAGATGCGGTACAGGGGTAGCATTACCTAGAAAGGAACATCACTGCAAACTGCTGAAGGGTGACGGTGCTTTAGACATAAACTGGAGAGGCAGGCAGGTATGAGATAGGCTGCTGTCCCTGGAGGCAGGCTGCCCCAGGACTGAGTGAGGATGGTGGTGAACGCTCCAACAGGAAGGGGCCATCAAGGCACACTCCAGGTTGGCAGGGCCCCTTCTCCTTCTTCCCTATGGAATATGCACCCTCACTTCAAAGGTAAATTGAGTAAATCCATTGAATCTGGAGAAAAGTGTCACCCTATGAAAGGTTGTTCATCAACCTAGGAAAAATTATGCCTATTTTTTATTCCTACATACCAAGGTCTTCATTGGAAAGTCTCTGGATAAAATTACATTGGTCAGTCTTAAAAATACGAGTGAATAGTAATTTTATGCTTACTATTATGTTGATACAAAAGTAATTGCGGTTTTTGGCACTACTTTTATATGTCAAAAACTGCAATTGTTTTTGCACCAACCCAGTATATACCAGGACCTAAGCTAAATGTTTTCTATATACCATATTATGTTATTTAATTTCCATGAACCTCTTCAAGATAGGTATTATTATACTCCTCATTTTGAGGAGAAAACCAAAATTTACAGAGATAAACATCCTTCCCAGGGACCCACAACTGGACGATGAAAATTTGGGGTTTGACCTCAGGTCTTTCTGCTCCAAAGCTGTATTTTTACCCATTACACAGATGCATTGCAAAGCCGGCACAAGAAGACATGATACTAGAACCTGTTGATTTCCCTTCTAGGTGTTTTAAGGAAACTTTAGCTTAGCACTTTCGAGATTCTGAGGTATGTTGTCAAGCTGAGTGCTCTGCCTGGCTCTGGATGCATCTAGATGTGCAGCAGAGAAAATGAGAAATTGGCAGGGTATGGTGGCTCACATCTGTAATCCCAGCACTTTGTGAGGCCGATGAGAACGGATCACTTGAGCCCTGGAGTTGGAGACAAGCTTGGGCACGTGGCAAATTCCTATCTCTACAAAAGATACAAAAAATTACCTGGGCTTGGTGGCACATGCCTGTAGTCCCAGCTACTAGGGAGGCTGAGGTGGGAGGATCACTTGAGCCCAGGAGGCGGAGGTTGCGGTGAGCTGAGATCACACCACTGCACTCCAGCCTGGGCAGTGGAAAGAGACACTGTCTCAAAAAAAAAAAAAAAAAAAAAGAGAGAGAGAGAGATAGGAATTAAGCACAGTCATCTAGGCCCAGGGTGAAAGATGGAGTGACAGAAACCATGAATAGGAAAAGCAAAAATTAATTGAAACAATCTTATAAGAAAACTTAATTATCTATTACCACCAAAAGGTAGGGGTAGGGTTAATCTTCTTCTAGAGCAAAAATAATTTTTGCATAATGTTTCCTGTGTACAAATTTTCTGAATGCAATG
Source organism: Homo sapiens (assembly GCF_000001405.40). Lineage (NCBI taxonomy): Eukaryota > Metazoa > Chordata > Mammalia > Primates > Hominidae > Homo > Homo sapiens. The sequence continues at coordinate 41,525,244 of NC_000007.14, read as the reverse complement.
TGCCTAGCTTTTCTATACTATCCTTTGTTCTTTTGATGTTGTTATTTTTGTATATAAATAAAACCCTTTGTTTACATTACTGCTTCAGAGGCTTTGGGTAGAAAAAAAGAATGATTTCTTAAATTGGTCTACCCTCAAACGATGCCGTAGTTAAAACAATACAATGGAGAGAGCAGGGTGGCCCACTCTGTCAAGCGCAATTTTGACAACTGGAAACAAGTGTGGGGGTGGAAGCTGAGACTGTCACACAAATCCTCATAGGAAGCATCTTGGTTTTGGTTAAAGCAGTGTCAGTGGGAGAGTATGCCTGTGGCACTGGAGCACAGAGATGGACAGGAGAGCAGCCACCAAAACGTTGCATTTCCACAGCACAAGCTGTTCAAGTCAATTTTTTTTTTTTTTGAGACAGAGTCTCACTCTCTCACCTAGACTGAAGTGCAGTGGCCCAATCTCAGCTCACCGCAACCTCCACTTCCCAGGATCAAGTGATTCTCCTGCCTGAGCCTCCCAAGTAGCTGGGATTACAAGCGCACACCACTACCACCTAGCCAATTTTTGTATTTTTAGTAGAGATGGTGTTTCACCATGTTGGCCAGGCTGGTCTCGAACTCCTGACCTCAAATGATCCACCCACCTCAGTCTCCGAAAGTGCTGGCATTTGTTCAAGTCAATTCTAAGAATGTTGGTGAGATGTTGCTACAGGCTCAACATTAACTAAGAGCAGGGTCCTAAGAGAGCTGTGGTCTCATACTTGGAGTACAAAGCCAAGAAAAATTAAATAAAAGAGTAGCACTGAGTCAAACCTTGATGCCCAGGAAGCGGGACCATGGGGCGGTGAGGGGTTTTCTGGTAGGGACAGATGTGTGAGGCTCTGAGAAGATGGGTGGTAATGGAAGTGGCAATTAACAAGCAACTTGGGGACAGCAGGCTCTATGTTAAGATCTTGCTCTCTGGCCTTGTGTAGTACTCAAGGCCAGCAGTTGTGGGAAGTCAGGGACCTGAACAGAGGGATCGGCTGAAGACATGGCAGAAGATCATAAACTGTGAAGATTTCATGGACATTTATTAGTTCCCCATGTTAGTACTTTTACAATTTCTTATGTCTGTCTTTACTGCAATCTCTGAACATAAATTGTGAAGATTTCATGGACACTTATCACTTCCCCAATCAATACCCTTGTGATTTCCTATTCCTGCCTTTACTTTAATCTCTTAATCCCATCATCTTTGTAAGCTGAGGAGGATGTATGTTACCTCAGGACCCTGTGATGATCACATTAACTGCACAAATTGTTTGTAGATCATGTGTGTTTGAACAATATGAAATCTGGGCACCTTGAAAAAGAACAGGATAACAGCAATATTCAGGGAACAAGAGAGATAACCTTAAACTCTGACCACCAGTGAGCTGGGTGGAACAGAGCCATATTTCTCTTCTTTGAAAAGCAAATGGGAAAAATATCGCTGAATTGTTTCTCTCAGCAAGGAACATCCCTGAGAAAGAGAATGCCTCCCTGAGGGTAGGCCTCTAAAGTGGCCACTTCGGGGGTGGCCGTCTTTTACGGTCGAAGCTGTAGGGATGAAATAAGCCCCAGTCTCCCGTAGCGCTCCCAGGCTTATTAGGATGAGGAAATTCCTGCCTAATAAATTTTGGTCAGACCAGTTGTCTGCTCTCAAATCCTGTCTCCTGATAAGATGCTATCAATGACTATGTGTGCCAGAAACTTCATTAGTAATTTTAATTTTGCCCCAGTCCTGTGGTCCTGTGATCTCGCCCTGCCTCCATTTGCCTTGTGATATTCTATTACCTTGTGAAGCCTGTGATCTCTGTGACCCACACCCTATTCGTACACTCCCTCCCCTCTTGAAAATCACTAATAAAAACTTGCTGGTTTTACGGCCCAGAGGGCATCACAGAACCTGCCGACATGTGATGTCTCCCCTGGACATCCAGCTTTAAAATTTCTCTCTTTGGTACTCTGTCCCTTTATTTCTCAGATCGGCCAACACTTAGGGAAAATAGAAAAGAACCCTTGTGAAATATCTGGGGTGAATTTTGCCTGATATCTGGCTGAATTTCCCCCAATAGCCAGCTCTATGAAAGGAGGACTGTTGGCACTTTAGCACTGCCATTTTACAGATGAGGACACAAAACATCAAGAAAGTATGAACTTGCCAGAACTCACGAAGCCGGTAGATTGCAAAGATGAAATTCAGGCTAAGCACTAAGCCACGGTCTTAGCTGCCCTCCTGTGCTATCTCTTTGGAGACATGGCCTTTCAACAGCACAGGAGGATAGGGAAGCAGGCCTTCAAAAGCAGTTACATCGTAGCTATGTACTGGGCATTGCTGTGGACCTGATACCACCCTCCATCACTCTGTAGGCTGTCCATGTGCACTCTCTTTGGAGAGAGGTTCTGGCTGAAAGACTCCGTAGCCAACAACCCTGCAGACCCTGTTTCAGGGCTTGTGCTTGGTGAGACTGCCCAGGCTTCAGAAGCTGGGATCTCTTAGGAAGCCCTCCACCCCTTCTCTCCTCTTGGTCTCTCCTTTAGCAAGTTCTCTGCCTTCCCGTCCTAGTCTCCTGGGCTTCTGTGTTGTTGTCTCCCTGTGCCTCACCAAGGATGGAAGGAAAGGAATATATGAAAAGGACCCTGCTAAGATATTAAATGGATATGGACAAACTAAGAAAGGTAATCAGAGAAGGGTGATGGAGGTACTAAAATGATCATTTGCTGAGATGGGAAATGTGATGAGAATTACATGTTTTCTTGGGGGAAAGAATCTGGTTTTGAACTTGCTGAATTCAAACTGTTTATCAGAGGCATCTCTTTCCTCCTATCAATCTGAGATACTTTTTACTTTTCTGACATCCCTCTTCCTCTGAAATGGAGAAACTCAGGATGTGGGGCAAATTAATTTTATTTTTATAGTAAGTTAAAGGGGCTTTATTACAGAATTTAGTCAATTTTCCTGCTATTCCCACTTCATTCCAGTATAAGCCTCTTTGTGAGATTTGCGTTTCCCTTTTAGAAAGCAGATCTCCGCTCCTTCCTTCTTTTCCTTCCTTCCTCCCTCCCTCCCTTCCTTCCTTTCTTCCCTCTTCCTCCCTTCCTTTTTTCTTTCCTTCCTTCCTTCTTTCCTCTCTCCCTTCCTTCCTCACTCCCTTCCTTCCTTCCCTCTTCCTCCATTCCTTTCTTTCTTCCTCCCTCTTTCCCTTCCTCCTTCTCTCCCTCCCTCCCTTCCTTCCTTCCTACCTTCCTTCTTCTTCTTCTTCTTCCCTTCCCTTCTTTCTTCCCTTGCTTGCTTCCTTCTTTTCCCCCTCCTCCTGCTTTGCTTTCTCCTCCTTCTTCTTTTCCTCTTTATCCCCTCTTAGCCCTTTTATCTCTTCCTCCTTGCCTAGAATCTTCCCTTTCTTCATTCCCTAGTCACACTTCACTGAGTGGATATCAAGAACCTGGCAGCCTGTGATGCTTTGAGCCCAGGGACATGAGAAAGCACTCAGGAGCTCAGGGGTTCAAGAAGAAGTTCCCAGTCAGGACCTTAAAGGCTCACGGATTTCTTCTTGGTAAAATTAGAGACCTTCTTTGGGAATAAGTTTTCTGGAAGGGAAATGTTCACTGGAAATCTGGCAACAGATTTTTCCCATTAATATGCAAAGGAAGACACCATTTTCTGTGGCTTATGAAGACAGGTATTTGTTCATCTGTTTAGGAGATTATAAAGGGGTTCATTGGGGAGACAGTTCCAGACCGAGGCTACACAAAGCCAAACCCTAACTTCTAGCAATAGCTGTGCTCTTGATTAGAATGTGAAGTCAGCCAGATGCCAATAAGCAGTCCAACTCCTGTCCTTCAGAGGCACCCAACTGAACAAGTTGGGTGCTAGAGGACAAGTTGGTGTCCTCTAGCCAGGCCACTCACAAGAAAAGATCAGAACACTCAAAGCAGAAGACCCAGTCTTTTAAAAAAGATAAGATTATTAGAGAAACTAGAACTTATTAGGTACCAATAAACTCTCATGTGATAAACGAGAAACACCCTTTTTATCTAAACTCATCTTCACAAGATTTAGATGTGGGCATTCTCATTTTATTCTAAACAGACAGGGAAGTTTCTGGCTGGAGAGACTAAATGCATGCCTGGGACAACATGCCAGAAAGGTGCAGGGCTGGGATCTGAATGTGGGTCTGCACTGCCTGGCCTCCTCCCAAAGTCAGCCATTATCTTGTCCAAGATGCTGCATGTGAGTGCAAAGAAATCCTCAGGATCATGAAGCCATGCATGGCAAGGTCCAAAATTGCCCAATACCTGGGATGTTAGTTACCCCTGCCCAGGAAGGCTCCTGTTTGTCGGACATGTATTCATGTCTGTGTGTGCATACATTGATATAATCACATCCCCCTGCACACTCACAATAATCATCCACCAAATAGCCTTATCCGAAATTTCCCCTTGAAAGCCCACTGACCTGCAGTGACAGGCTCCCCATCTAGGGAATGGCATGCCGCTCAGGGATCCCCATCCCGTAGGGGAGGTCACCTCCGGTTTCGTGGCTCTGACACAACCTGTGCAGAATTTAACAGCTGATAAGCAGGAGCTTCTCTCCAGGCTCTGCCATGTAGTCAGACCTTTTCCTCCTGATAACACCAACCATGATATGGCCCAATCACAAGAGTTCGGATCTCAGCAGTCTGTGATATTGTGATGTGTGCTATTAAAAAGGACTTAAGCGTGCTGATGGGGATGGAAGCCAGAGCCTAGACATCAGTTCACACCCAATGTCCTTAAAGGTGAAAAGGAGGGGACAGCAGCCCTGTAGTCAGGGTTCTTCCCCAGTGTGAGAAGGCCTTACTGGGTGTTGAGGCTGCCCCCACGAAGACCGTGGGGCCCTTATTTCTGCTCCCAACCAACAGCAATGTCACAAACGGGCCCAAGAGATGTAGTGTTTTCAATGCCTGCAAAATAAATAATTTCAAAGTACAATTATGGAAAAATATGAGTTTGACTTTTAGATAATGAATAATTTGGAACTGATGCAAAATGGTTCACAAAAATTCACTAGTGTATATTACTACTCAGAGTCTTGAAAATCCAAGTTCTGATCTGAGAAAGGAGAAAGAATTTATATGCTCTCAAAATAACAAAAAAGTAGAAAATCAATGTATTTAACTACATGAAATTAAAACCTTTTGCATGACAAAAATATGCATAAATACAGCTAAAAATAAAATTCAGGCTTAGAAAAAATATTGAAATTAATATGGCAAGAGCTGATATTTCTAATACATAAATATATCTTTAATAAATACAATGTTTATATAAATTCTTTTAAAATTGAGTAAGGGACATGAACAGTGTACCAAACAAAAAGTAGTAGAGTTTCACAAATGGGCCACAACTTCAAGGTCATTAATAACAATGAAAAAGGAAATAAAACTATAATAAAATGTCTCTGATACAATTATCTAGATTTTTTTTTTAAATGACACTTTCAGAGCTAGCAAAAGGGTCTTGTAATAGTTATTCTCATACCTAGTTGGTTGGAATTTAGTTTGGTATAAATTTTATGAAAAGCATTTTGGAAATTATAATACAAATCTTTAAAAGATATTCTTAAACTAAAATATTTCCTTTCTGGAAATCTCCTCTAAGAAATAACACAAGGAAAATTTACACACGAAGATATTCATTGAAAATTATTTATAATAGAAAAATTTGAAACAACTTTGAATTCCTACATAAAGAGAACAGTTAAAGAAATCATGGTCTATTGGCCTGGTGTGGTGGCTCATGCCTGTAATCCCAGCACTTTAGGAGTCTGAGGCTGGAGGATAGCTTGAGTGCAGGAGTTTGAGACCAGCCTGGGCAACATAGCCAGTCCCTGTCTCTCCAAAAAAAATAATAATAATAATAATGGTATATCCTTAAAATGACACATAGAGCACCTATTGAAGGTGGAATTTTTGAAGAACAATGACTGAGATGGGCAAAAACTTCATAATGTATTAACTAAAAATATTATAAATAGTATATATAAGCATCTTATTTTATGTTGAATATGGATAGTTCTAATATTATTTTTAGAAACATTCTGTAAAGTAAAAGATGACTGGAATTGCAGAATTTATTAGCTGCGTTTTTCTGGATTTGGTAACCCATCCTCTGTAGCGATGTAACAGACCCAGAAAGAATACAAATTATTGCATGCAGTGATTACTGTGATACTAAAAAAAGTAATGCTGGCAGATGAAATTTGCTCTTCCAGGATTTTCCAGGGTGGAAACTGGGCCCCCATAAGTTCCTGGCACACTGTGTGTGTATGTGGTGGGGGTCTGGAGTTGTAGGTGACTGTTGCCCATTGATGGGTTTGACATGAGCTGAGGGAGACGCCCCTTGTTTTTGGTGAAGCTAGAGAAAGGGTGTGTGATAAATATTGAGTGTCAACTTGATTGGATTGAAGGATGCAAAGTCTTGTTCCTGGGTGTATCTGTGAGGGTGTTGCCTAATGAGATTAACATTTTAGTCAGTGGATTAGGAGAGGCAGACCTACCCTCAATCTGGTTGGGCACCATCTAATCAGCTGTGAGTGTGGTTAGGATAAAAGCAGGCAGAGGAACAAGGAATCACTTGCCGTCTAAATCTTCTGGCCTCCACCTTTCTCCTGTACATCAGAATCCAAGTTCTTCAGCTATTGGACTCTTGGACCTACATCAGTGGTTTGTAGGGGACTCTTGGGCCTTTGGCCAGAGTAAAGGTTGCACTGTTGGCTTCTCTATTTTTGAGGTTTTGGAACTCTGACTGGCTTCCTTGTTCCTCAGCTTGCAGAAGGTCTATTGCGGGACTTCACCTCCTTGTGATCGTGTGAGTCAATACTCCTTAATAAACTCTCTTTCCTGTATATGTCTATCCTATTAGTTCTGTCCCTCCAGAGAACACTGACTAATACAAAGGGCAATGGAAGAAAGGAGATGTCTTCTATGTCCCCGTTCACATGCTCCTGAAGAGAAGGAGAAGAAATCACACTCTCAACATCTGTGTTGAACACTGGTTCAGGATGGTCCCAGGCCTGTGAGGATAATGTACACCTCACAGCTGCACCTTCCAGAGTAATCAGCAAACAATCCACAAGCATTGTTTTTTCTTTCTTCCAAAATATTTAACTACAAAATACATCTAATATATAATTCTAATACAAATTGCCCTACTGCTATCTCTTATGCCCAGCGGTCAGCTGCTCCTACTGCTTTCTATTTGAGGTTAAAAATAGAACAGCCGAAACAGTGTGTAATGACAAGACAAGTGAATGAGATGGACTATTTGAGGCAGAACAATATACTAGTGAACAGTGTGGGTGTTGGAGTCAAATTTCTTATTTGAATCTCAGGTCTACTTGATTCCCTTGGGCAAGGTGCTTAATTTCTCAGAGCCTCAGATTTCTTGTAACTGAAGGTAGTAACCTACTTCCTAGGGGTGTTGTGAGGATTTAATGAGATGACGTGTATAAATCATTTAGCACACAGCAAGAGCTCACTAAATATTAGCTGTTATTATTATGAATGCTATAAAATTTACATAATATAAAATATTTATTTGAGCACTTAATGTTTTCCAGGAACAATGCCAGGTGCCTAAGATACAAAGATGTGTTCATTTACTCAATGGAGATGTGTATTGAGCACTTACTATACACCACATACTGATCTAGACCATTGGGATGTATCACTGAATGAAAGGAACTGAGATCCCTGTTTTTGTGAGGAGGACAAACCATAAATATCAAACATAATACACAATAAAATTATATAGTATGTGAAAAGGTAAATATTAGAAAAGAAGGAGAAGAAGGTTGCAATGTTAAATAGGGTGGTCAGGTATAGGATTCTAAAACATGACTTGGTTTTAAAGAGCTCTTGTCCTAGTAGAGACACTGACAAGACTGGCAGGAAATGAAATGGGAACACAGGGAGAGCATGATCAACTTGCTTGGGAAAAGTGGAGGTAGCTTTGCAGAGCTGGCTCTTGATGGACAGATGGGAAGCACATGTGAATGGACAAGACAGGAAGAGTGAATAGCGGATATGGAGGCATGAGGATGAAAGATGACTCACACCTGTAGCATTACAAGTGGCTGGGGTGGTGGGAAGGCAGGCTGTAGGTGCAGGAGGTGTGAGGTGAGAAGGGCTTCCTGGGTGAGACTAAAGATTTCAAATGGATCATGTAGGCAACAAGGAGGTATTGAAGTTTGAGCTGGGGAATCGTAGTCCAGTATACATCTTAGAAGGCATATTCTAGTGTGGGAGATCTATGTGTTTGGCAGTAAGATCTTTTAAGAGGTAATGAATAATCCAGATGGACCAAAACAACTGCAGAGAAAAAATGGATTTCAGACACATTTAGAAAGTAAAATAGACAATATTAATCACTACTTGAATGTAGGGATGAACAGGACAGAGGAAACAAGGGTGATCTCTACAAACTTGGGTTTGATGATGAAACGGACAGTGAATTATGATATGTGGACTGGAAGATGAACATTGTGGGAGTAGGGCAGGAAGGTGGAAAGATAAGGAGTCTTGAAAGCCCCAGATTACAGTAAACTCTGCTTCTTAGGGAGGAAAATCAAGGGGATTAAAAATTCTTTTTTTCAGTTGAGAATGTATAATTGATGTAATAACACAAAAAAAGGGAGCATTACATTGAAATGTGCCAAAATCATGCCTCAGAAAGACTACAGGAAACCATGACTCTCCAGCATTTAAATCAACACCACTACAGCCAGATGTATGTGGTATCCACCTGGGCAAATGTGAGAGCATGTCTCTCCCGGGAGCTCCCAAAGCCCCATGTCAAGTGGGTTGTGCAGGACTCTACCAATACCAAGGGCCCTCATTGGGACCACCAAGGATGTCTCGTAAGCAATATTGTTGTCTCAACTCCCTATTTCTGATTCTTACCTTAAGAGCGTATACAGGGCTTTCATAATCTTATTAAGGAAACTTGCAGATCTCTGTCTCTGCCATTTTAAATATTAAGAAGTCATGGCCCAGAGAGGTTGTAGGAATCATTCAAGGTCATAGAATTACTTTGTGGTGGGGGACAGGACAAGAATCCAGGTGAGTTAAAGGGCTTTGAGTTGCAAGTAAAAAAAAAACCTGTTTTCAAATGTACTTAAACAAGAACATTTATCATCTCATCTCAAGAGAAGTCCTATATTAGTCCTTTTTTGCACTGTTCATAAAGACATACCTGAGACTGGGCAATTTACAAAAGAAAGAGGTTTAATGGTCTTACAGTTCCATGTGGCTGGGGAGGCCCCACAATCATGGTGGGAAGCAAGGAAGAGCAAGTCATGTCTTACACGGATGGCAGCAGGCAAAGAAGGAGCTTGTGCAGGGAAACTCTCATTTTAAAAACCATAAGATCTCATAAGACTTATTCACTATCATGAGAACAGCATGGGAAACATCTGCCCCATAATTCAATTACCTCCCACCAGGTTCCTCCCACAACATGTGGGAATTTAAGATGAAATTTGGGTGGGGACACAGTGAAACCATATCAAGTCTGGAAGTCAGACTGGCTTCTAGCATGGTGCTACAGGAATCCTACATCATTTTTCTTCCTCTCTTTTGCTCTGCCCTCCTCTGAGTGCCAGCTTGTTCTCAGGCTAACTTCCCTCATGGCCCCAAGTTGGCTGCCAGTAGGAAGAGGGACAAAATTTTTTCCTATTCCTATTCATCAGGACAGAGGAAAAACATTTGCTCCCAGATGAAAACTCTTTTCCTTCAGCCTGATTGGTCTAACATAGGTTCCTAATCACCTCTAGATAAATGGTTATAAACAGGGGGATAGCAAGCATTGGTTGCCCTTAGCTTGGGCTCTCCAACTAGTTCCTGACAGGAAGGCATGAAATTACTATCATCGGCTTCCTAATTAGGAAACTCTCTTGTGATCACCTTCCACTGAATAATGTGGGCAGTGAAGAAGGGGGGGAGCTATTTTATTTTATTTTTAATGAATAAATAATAATTGTCATGGTGAAACCCCATCTCTACTAAAAATATAAAAATTAGCTGGATGTGGTGGCACATGCCTGTAGTCCCAGTTACTCAGGAAGCTGAGGCAGAAGAATCTCTGGAACCTGGGAGGCGGAGGTTGTGGTGAGCCGAGATCGCGCCACTGCATTCCTGCCTGGTCACAGAGTGAGACTCCGTCTCAAATAATAATAATAATTGTATATATTTATGAGGTACAATATGTTGTTTCCAGACATGCATACTTTGTGGAATGATCAAATCAGGCTAATCAGCATATCCATCACCTCAAATATTTAGCATTTCTTTGTGATGCAAACATTTAAGTTCCTCTCTTTTAGCTATTTTGAAAAGAGGGGAACTATTAAAAAATAAGGGTTCAGTTAACACTGTGCAATAGGATTTCTGGCAATGAGGGAAATGTTCCATATTCTCACCATCCAATATGGTATCTAGAAGCCAGATTTGGCTACTGAGCACTTGAATGTGGTCAATATGAGTGGATAATTGAATGTTTTGTTTGATTTCATTTTAATTTTTTAAATTTAAGTAGCTGCAGAGTTAGAAAGATGAAAGGGGGTGTGGATGCTAGGAGGTGATCAAAGTGTCCCCCACCCCAGAACCCACTGTGTTGTCCTCTGTCCTGCCCTCCAGTGCTTAGTCTATCCCTATGCTCTCTCTCATGGTTGTTTCTCTCCACTCTCTGTTTTCACCTTCACACATTGTCATTCTACGACATGCAAAGCGAAACTCAGGATCTGATGAGGAGGTCAGAGTGGGAGGAGAATGACAACCCTTTAAGAAAATTAAGCCATAGGAGTTGGATCCCCTGAAAATCACAGAATCCTCCTGCACACTGAAGGCAGATACAAAATAATTTTTTTCAATAGCACAGATTTCCCCCAAATATAAAAGATCATTTGTAATCAAAGAAGAAAGGATAATCATAACGCATAAATCCATGGAAAAGCAATGTATCAACAGCATCTATTAAACTCAGGGAAAAAATGTGAGTGATTACTACAGAAACAGAATACTTTAAAGGAAATTACCCAGAGATGGAGAAAGAGCAATCTTTTTTATAAAAAGAAAAACTGAATAATCAAAAACGATTATTGTGATAAGAAGTAGCTCTTCCATGCTTATATCCAAGCAAAACACTGAGGAAAAGATGATCTTGACAGCATAAGGACAGGAGCAAAGCCCATGGGTGCAGTGACTACGCATTCCCATCTACTCAAGACAGCTCTGTGTGCACACTTGTTATTCTGAAAATTAGTAGTAGTGCCCACTTTTACTCATAGAAGTGTGTTAGTTTGGACAGTAAATTCTGTGATCATTCTACCAATGGAATGCAAAGAGCCAGAGTGGTCTTCCTCTCTGGTGGACAGAAGGGCACATCTTCATCTCCAGCACATGCGAGGTGTACACACAGATCAGGCACTCACTGGCTTGCAGGGAGAGGCTCTTAGCACCTCTGGAAACCATCCCACAATGTGGAAAACAGGCCTAATCTCAGCAGCACGTTCCATTGTCTTCACTCTACATCACAGCCCGGGGCCCTGAGCTACCCTTGAAAGCAATATGGTGGTGGGTGAGGGCCCAGAGAGAGCAGCAGACATGGTTTATGGTTCAACTCTGCCATTTAGAATTATGTGATCTTGTTTGAGGTCTTTGACATGTCTGTCCTTATTCCTCAGATACATGGAACAGTGACCACACCTAAAAACCAAGTCATTGCAATGTTATCTCATTTGTATTACCAAGGAGCATGGAGCATGCACAATAGGGAAAGAATTGGGATTTCTAGTTTACAGTATTTGGTAATGTAAACATACCAATATAAATGTAATGTAAAAGAAATAGAAGGTTGTGTTTTTTGGTTTTGTTTTGTTTTTTATTGTTGTTTGCTTTTGTTTTTGTGTTTTTTTGTTTGTTTGTTTGTTTTGACATAGTTTCACTCCTTTTACCCAGGCTGGAGTACAATGGTGTGATCTCGACTCACTGCAACCTCTGCCTCCCGGGTTCAAGGGATTCTCCTGCCTTAGCCTTCTGAGTAGCCGGGATTACAGGCATGTGCCACCATGCCCAGCTAATTTTTTTTGTATTTTTAGTAGAGACAGGGTTTCTCCATGTTGGTCAGGCTGGTCTCGAACTCCCGACCTCAGATAATCCAGCCACCTCTGCCTCCCAAAGTGCTGGGATTACAGGCGTGAGCCACCACTCCCGGTCAGTTGTGTTTTTAAATAGAGCTATTGTAAAGTGGCTGCACCAAATTATCTCTATCAATAATTGTCTTGCCTTGGCTTTCTAGTCTTTAAAAATACAACTGTGAGCATTCCTTACTAAGCTTTATAATGCATACAATGTATCTGGAAGAGTGTTTGTGCTTATAGTACCATGATAAGTATTGGTCTAGGATTCTCGTACCTACTGGCAAGTGCGCTGAGCAGGACCCTTGTGCAGAAACAGAACGAGTGTGCTTTTCTGTAATCTCATGGAAACAGACAACTAGCTCGGAAATGAAATCACCATTATTTCAGTGTGTAAGGAAAATGTATTGTGACAGTGACATTTTTTCTTTCTCTCTTTTGGTCAGCCCAGCTAAGCTAAATCTTGGCTAAAATGACTCCCCTTTTTTTTCTGTGCTGCTCTCCTGCAACTAAACTTTTCCCTGGAGTTGAGGATTATCTGAAAAACCTGAAGTTCTTTCAGAGTTTCAAAGTCAAGGCAGCACTTACAAAAGCTACCTATGATGATAAGAAGCAACTTTTGGTCAGCTATTCACAACTTTGCAAAGCTCTCTCTCTGAAGAAGAATTTGATTGATGGTAACTTAGTGTCCACTTAGCCTACCACAGTGTCTGCAGAAATCCTTCCTGAGATGTTGCTGGTGGACACCAATTCAATGTCCCCTTCCATCGCTCTGGTGATGGGGAACTCTCTGGCTCACATGATACATTCCAATACTGGCTAGCTCAAAATTTTATTTTTAAAATAATCTTCTTTATATTACTCTGGTAGTTATCTAGCTCCCTACAGCCCCTCTTTTTTGGCTCTGGCTCTGTCATTTGGACAAATACAGGGAGTCTAGTTTCTCTTCCTTATGGAAGATTTAAAGTCATCCTTGGCAGAAATTTACATTTGGCCATTTTCTATCTCCTTCCTCAACTGGTCCCTTTTTTAGGCCTCATCTGATGGTTTAACAGTTCCATCATCCTGCCTCTCTCTATCTATCACTTTGTGACTATTCCTAGGATCTATGAACTGGAATTGCAGACCTGACCAGTGCTGAGTCCAATGGAACCAGGGCCTCTCTCTGTATCTAATATATTCCAGTCAGTGCAGTGTACACGCATGTATTTTTTTTATCTTGGTAACTATCATGAGACTGCTGAGCAAAGTGGTCCTAGACACTCAAGCAATTTAAATGGCTGCCATCAATTAATTAGGGGTGCCTAATTTTGTCTGTGAAAACCAAAGTGACAAATCTGTCTAATGATAGAAAACTAAGAGAAAATAAAAACATCTAGAACCAATTTTAAAATTCTGTAGAAATAAATAACATTAAATATGATTTTGAGGTTCGACACAAGTGTTTCTCACATGATGTAATTCTATGAAAAGAAACATGGAAATTTACTTTGTCAAGGAAAGAGACTCCTACAAATGCCAGGGACTGGTGATTTGTGTCATCACTTGCTGTCATCCTGGTTGCTCTGTAGTCATTCAGAGGAAGAGGTAAACTTGGGCCACAATCATTTGCTCCATGCTTTCCAGCTTCCTGGTTTTCTTCTCTGAGGAGGTCAGAGGCCAGCAGAGTCATATTGAGTCAGGGAAAATTCTCTTGTTTTTTAGGACATACGAAAAGAACAGTTGAGGAAAGATGTGCATTTTTTTTTTTTTTCAGACACATGATTTCCAAGAGTGAAGAACCAAGTGCGGTGGGTGAGTGACATAGAAGCCTGAGGTTTAGCTGCTAAATCAAGGCCATATTTGTCAACAGGTCTGTTCCAGCAAAAGGGCCAGAGTGACCATAGGATGGGTCCTCTGAGAAACATTCCAGAACAGACATCCAGGATGCGGGAGCAGCTGGATACTTCATAAGCATTCTGCAATGGGACTGACTGTGTGTCAGCAACGAGCTCAAGACTACAGATATTTTGAGTCATTGCCATGTTGGTGGAATTGTTGGAGAGCTAGAATTAGCACTTTTCGAATTGTCGGACCCAGTGCTTGGGGCTGCCAAAATCCGCAGGCTGTTCCTTTCTCTGGTCTGAAAGGTGTTTTTGAAAAGGTTAAATTTAAGATGCAGGAATATACAAGGAATTCATTTACTAATTCTGCTGCCATGGCATAATCACCAAAAAGGTGAGTTGATTTGATATCTTAGAACCAAGATTGCTGCGAGAAAAGCTGAGCACTATATAGGATCTGGCATGAATCAATCAATATTTATTGATCATCTATATGGATGAAACATTATGGGAAACATCCATAATGTTTTCAGGAGCACTAAGCTAAGCTTTCGGACTATTCAAATTGAAGACATGATCTCCAAACTCAAGCAGGATTAACTATAGGTAGCGAGTTAGGACTAATACATTTGAATCAATGCCCAGGTTGATAAGATAGAACAATATTTAAATGTTAAATGGCAGAGTATAAATCATCAATATTATAGGCATTCACAGAAGGGAGCCATCGATGTGTAGCTGATGCAGGGCCTTGAAGGGAGGGAATATTTCAGAGTGCCCAGAGATGGGAAGCTATTCCAAACGAAGGAAGGACATGATGAAGAGAGCTCAGAAAGTAAGAATGACCTAGATGAGTAGACACGGGATAGACTGCATTTTTATTCCTTAAGTACCTTCAATTCTAAAAGGAAAATTAAATGAGGGCAAGGGGAGATGAGTGGAAGTCTATCTGAGTCTGCATTTGCAGAGTTCTATGACATGGCATTGAAGAGTCCATTCTCTTTTGCAATAGAGAATCTCTAGAAATGTGGCAAAGGTCTTTAGTCTAATTAGGGAGGAAATAGCAAACCAATGAGTTCCCCTGAGCAGAAGAGCAAGGTTTTGTAGTACATATTTAGAGAAGATTGGACCTGGGAAGTGGTATGAAGTGTGCACTGGAGAAGAGAGGCTGGTGTCAAGGAAGCCACTGGAGATCGGTATGAGCAGCCTAGCGCGTACTGTGAAGGTTCAATGGAGAGGGTAAGAGCGAAGAAATGAAGGACTTGAGGCACTGTGAAGGAAGCAGAATATCAGACTATGGTCACTTACTGGTCCCAGGGGATCAATGAGTAGAGTAAGTGAAGGCTAATTTAAAGCTTTTAAGGCTGAGGACCAGGCTGGGCATGGTGGCTCATGCCTGTAATCCTAGCACTTTGGGAGGCCGAGGAAGATGGATCACCTGAGGTCAGGAGTTCAAGACCAGCCTGGGCAACATGGTGAAAACCGTCTCTACTAAAAATTAACTGGGTACAGTGGCACGTGCCTGTAATCCCAGCTACTCTACTCAGGAGGCTGAGGCAGGAGAATTGCTTGTGCCCAGGAGGCAGAGGTTGCAGTGAGCCAAGATTGCACCATTGCACTCCAGCCTAGGCAACAGAGTGAGACTTCATCTCAAAAAAAAGAAAAAAAGACTGAGGATCAGTGCTTCTGTTAACAGGAAGTTGTAGGATAGGGAAGATGATGAATATGGCATCATAAGCTTAGGGACATCCAGTTTAAAAGGTGCAGTAAGTCACTGGAGATACAGAATTATATTTGGGGTAACAGTTCAAAGTGGTCCAGGTTTGTCATTACCTGCAAACAAATATAGAAAAACAGAATTCTTCCTTTGCAGTTGGGGGTCACTTTATTTTGCATAATGCTCTCTGTGTGTCTGTTGTTTAACA
Organism: Homo sapiens; assembly: GCF_000001405.40. NCBI lineage: Eukaryota > Metazoa > Chordata > Mammalia > Primates > Hominidae > Homo > Homo sapiens. Next base: position 41,509,307 of record NC_000007.14, on the reverse strand, counting down.
AACACACACACATGTACTTTTTTCTTTCTAGAGTTGAGCTTTAAAAAATGTATTGCAATGCACACAAATAGAGAAGACAGGGAAGAGTACTCCCAGCAGAGTGACTGACATTAGCAAAGATTTGAAAGTCACAAAACAAGAAGAGAAAATGTAAGATAACAGTGGAGCAAGACTGGAAATCCAGCTCAATAATGTAACTGCTGTTTACGATGTGTTCCCTGAGCATGCCAGGCCAGGAAGAGGTTCACTGCTCTGAGCTGTACAGCTCAAAGGGCACTGACAACTTTTTTCCTACTTGCGTAAACATTTAATTTCCACTTTTAGATTACGAGATTTTAGTAGACAAGAGTACGTCAAAGTCATCATGGTACTCCATAGAAATGCATGCTTGATAAAATATTCCTGATTTGTTAATGGTCTGTTGTTTTTATTTTCAGGTTGTGAGGTGGCATTCAAAAATGTAAACAGGAAACAACCCTGCTTCCTTTATGCAGCCATTACCATGTGAAGACAGGCTTGGGACATGTAGGGGATATTTGTCATCATTTCAGCTCTCCATCTGATTTTTGAGAGATTTCTTGTTTTATGAACCCACCTCCCACTATAGAAGCTGGAGAAGCAGCATGGCCCTTTCTCATTCCATCTTGCAGTTAGGATGTGGGGATGTAAATTAGGCACAGCTCACAGTATTTTAGATATGGAACTACAGATACAGTGAGGGAACAACAGGGCAGAAGTTGGTCTGATGATAGCAACCATTTGCAATGTCTAGGAGCAGAAGTGGTGTCTGGGGTCAGCTCTCTGGGCTAGGGGCAGTTTCCAGCTGCTTATGTAGAGAGGAAGCATCAGCAGGAGGTCCTAGACTGGCCAGTGGCCTCACTCTGGCTCTGGTCACAGTCCCTCACTGTCTTTTCTTTGTGTTCAGTTTTTGAGTCTGTTCTTCTGTCTTTCTAGTGCTTCTTGGAGGCACATAATATCTTTTCAGCAAAACTTTTTTCTTAAATTGTCCAGAGCCAGTTTCTCCATTCCCAGTGATTACTGGGGATGCCCCATCTCTAAATATTTTCTATAGTACTTAAAATAGGCAGGATCTATTCTCATTCTCTGTTTAAGATCTAGAGGACTTCACTCTGCCCACCCTGAAAAACATAGCTGAATTTGTGACCTTGGGATGTGTTCACACTGGCCAAGCCTTTGATCTTCAGCAGCTTCCCGTCAACATGACATAAATCTACCCTGCTACCTCCTGCCCTTGGGAATAAAGCAAGCTACCACAATGCTATGCATCAACAGCATGCTTGATGCCAAGGCGGTCATGACACCCCAGGTTTGCTCAGGGCAGGTCCAGCTGGAAACCCCTTGCCAGGACAGAACCACAGTGAAATCCTCTCCATGTCACATAAAGGAGGAGAACTGTGGGAGAAGGAAGAAAGCCTTCCCTATGCCTTCGAGGAATATCTGTTTATTCACTTGTTCAGTTTTTCAATAAATACTTATTGGACACTTGCCTACTAGGTAAATAGACACATTCCTGGGCTTAATGAGTATGTGGCCTGGCTAGGAAGATTTGAAGGCCGCCAAATGAGTACTGCACAGTAGGGTTATTGATGTAATAGAGCCACAAAGTGAAATTGGGAGGGAAGGAGGATCTAAGATCAGCAAGGTGTCTACCAAGGCTTCATAATAAAGGACTACTGCTTTGTCTTGCAGGATGAATAGGAACTGGAGGAACATTCCAGGAAGAAGGAAAGATATGTGCAAATGTCCAGGCATGTGAAACAAGCACACATGCCAATAACCCCCCGTGGTCAGAATGTAGTATATCTAGGAAGGGGAGGTAGGAGATGAGAATTTGGCTTTTATTCTGTGAACCCATTTAAGGATGTTAGCAGTCATCTGCAACTTCTTATGTACTCAGATATTACTTTTAATTTTTATTTGTGCAGGAAAGCAAAAATGTTAAATTCTACAGTGTATGCAATTGGACACTGCCTGGCACATCAGAAGAATACCACATTTAGTGCCTGTTAGGTCAGTTAGAATAAGGGCACCTGGGTTGCAGAGCTGTTCTAGGTTTTCTGGTAGGACATTGGCCTTTTTGAGAAGGCCAAAGCTTTGTCCCTCTTTCTGGTGTTGGCTCTGGCTCTAAGCTGTGCTTGAGCCTGGCCATCCATCCTACAGAGTCCCTTTGGGTTAGGCTTCATGGGGAGTTGAATGGAAGTATGTATCTTCTTCCTAAGTTGTCACTGGTATATTTCATAAGGCCTGCATTCATGGAGGACATCAGAGCCCTGCAATTTACTGATCTTAGTGTCTGGAGCTGGGAATGTTTCCTTTCATGTTTTGGGAGGATGGGTAAGGAGCTGTGTATTGCGGCGGTTGGGGGGCACAAAGGGGTGGCTAAGTGGTCAAGGAAAAATGAGAAAATTCAGTAACAGCAGGGAAGACACAAAGTCATTTGCTAAAGATAGGGGTGTTGTGCAAGTAAACACAGTTTACTTTTAAAGGGAATCGCTTTATGACAATACAGGAAAAAATCTCTAAAGTTTATTTGGAAAATGTGAAACAGCTAAATTTACTTACAAAGCTAGTACATCCTCTGATACTTTTGCTAAAACTGGACAATGATATGAGGAAAGATGAGGAAAGAAAAGAGACCAAAAGTGGGAGGGAGAAAATGGCACAGAGAGTAGGAGACGAGGTATGAGTTTGCTGGATGATCAATATTTGAAAAACTCGTCCAAATAACTCAATATAACTCACATCTTGTACCTTCAATCTTCTTAAAAGAGTGGCTTCGATGACACTGTCAGTTATCCCCAAGCATGACCAGACTTCAAAGAGCCCAGAGGTTCAGAAAACTTATTTCTAGCTCCAAGAAGACAAACAACAAAACCTTCAAAGGAAAAATTAAACTACTTTGCATAAATAAATATATATTTGCACATATATATGCATTCATTAAATCTCTCCACCAAAACTTTAAATGATACTCTAGACTTGAAAATGTCACTTTCAAAGTCTCAAAGGGGATAAAGACAATGAAATGTAGGGGACTCCTAGCAAGTCTTCATGGCTGAAGCACAGGTTGCAGCCCAGAGAGAGGCAGGGAGTGTCGGTAACATCTCAAGTTCAGTCCTCCGAACGAAGATCCTGTGGGGACAGGGTTCTCCTGAAGGAATTTCAGCAGCTAGGTCATATGATCAGATTCTCATTTTAGGATGATCATCCCATGAAGGGAACTCAGAATGCCGGGACGGAGTTGATCATGGAAATAGGGAGATCATTTATAGGGTTGCTGCAAGAGTCAGTGATAAATAACACAATCCTAACCAAGGCAGCAACAGTGGAGCGGATTTGAATGTGTTGAGCAAACAGAGGTTGGGATAGTGGTGGCTAAGAAAGCAGGTGTTGTCCAGATTGCCTCCCAGAAAAACTAGGCAAACTATGCCATCGGTCATGAAAATGGGAAAGGCGGGGAAGTGTAGATTTGCTAGTGGGAAACATGATGAATTTCTTTATGGAGAGGAACCTGTATCCTGTGTCTCTTAAGTGTCATGCATTTGGAAACCAAGCTTTGGTTGAAATCTTGTATATTGAATTAAGTCACCCAAAGAGAACCTATCAAGATTCAAGACAAAAGACAGAATTTTACAGGATGCTATGCTTTATGGTCACTAAGGAAAGAAAAGCCTATGCAGGGTCCTAAAAAGAAGAAGCAAAAGAGCTAGCAAGAGAACCCAAGGAGGGAGAACAATGTCCTGGAATTAAACAAAATCAGAGACCAGCTCACGAATGAAGAAGCCAAAGGGGTGAGTTGCTATAGAGAAGTCAAGTGAGATGAGTAAAATCCCTTTCAGATGTGACAGAAGTTATTTAGCAAACATATTTTACTCTAGTAAGGATAGAAATGAATGGGGACAGGTCTGTCATTGGAGCGGTAAAAGAAAGATAGCAAGAGGAATCTGTTCTTTCAAGGATGAGAGAGAGTGTCTGCAAGAGAAAAAGTAAACTTGGCACACTTGGAACAGACCAGCCCATGTCTGTCGGCTGACGAGAAAGGACAGATAGAGAACTGGATAGATTCAAGCCATAAGAAAGGGGATAATATTAATATAATTAATAGATTATGGTAGTAGCAGAGATGGGAAGCCCAGAGCACAGGTATAAGGAGGAGGTTTGATTGAGAGGTGGAGTACTTCCTTCCCTGAGGCAGCAAGGAAAGCATTAAGTGGGGCATTAGATTTGCTTATAATTTGTGGGGTCATAACGTTGATGGCATCCAGTTCTGAGAGGCAGTTTGGATGTTTGGGGACAGTGTTGGCCCCTTGGGAAGGCTGATGTTATGATGAAAGAGGAAGCTGATGGTGGAAGAAAATTGCTAGGAAGAACTGCAAATGCAGCTGAGGTTCTCAGTCCTGGAGCTACAGGGGCACCGATCTGCACGGGGTTGTGAATTCCTAAGACAACACTCAGCTGCTTCCCTATGAAAGCAGGGAAAGGAGGAATCTGGACCATTCCAAGCAGGGTGAAAAATCTCTCTGTATTAAAGAACTCTGAAGTTAGAGCACCTGGGACTGTCACTTAAATCAGCACAGTGAGCTCCCATTATTCATTTGGAGGGAACAGGGGTTTAAACGCACAGAAACATTAGGTGGAAGCGCATACCCTGGAAGTAGAGTTTAGTTTGCCTTTACCCTGTGTAAATCCTCACTGCCAAATTTATACTTCTTTTTTTTTTAAAAAAAACCACTAAATAACTTTAGCAGAAGGGTCTTGCTTTTCGGCTTTGTAGCACTTGTTAAAGTACAAAGATTACTTTAAGGAAGGGTTGGAGAGATGGTTAAGGGGATGACCACTGGTGTCTCAATTATCCTGAGGGATGGGGTCTGGAAAACTGATGACTCAGACTTGGTTTGGTAAGTCGGCAAGCTCAGGAGTCTGGCTGTGAAGTCTCAGGGCAGTGGTGTGTCTCTGTGTGTGTGCGCGCACATACGTGTAAAACAGCCAACAAGGAAGTTTCTCTGAGACATATCCCTTTCGTTGGCTTAAGAGATTCTGCAGGAATCAATTAAATCCTGCATATTTTTCACCAGAGATGGAAATCTGGCAAGTAATACCTTCTAGGTTTCTTTTAGAAAAAAAGTAATATTCAGAGCTATGGTTTCATTTGCTGGGTTTCATTCATATCAGACTTTCCCTTTGAGGTAAACACCGTCTATGCTGGCTATTGGGCATTACGAGCCAAAGAAAGAATAGACTTTGGTTGCCAGCATTGCCCTAGCAAGCCTGAAGAAAATGCTGGAATGAAGGAGTTCCTGGTCATTAGTGCCCCCAAGAATGTAGCGTTCATTCAATGGCCTGTGGTGGCTTCTTTTTTCTCTTGAGGACAATTACCTTTGAATTTGATAAGATGGCACATGGCTAGGTTTCTTGAAGTTGTATTAAAATTTTACAGATGGCCTGTTTGTTCATGAGCTGCCTAGCTTCTCATTTCACTTTCTTGTTTGTTATCTACCTTAAAATCTGACAGCAAGATCTCATTCCATAGCATTTGAATTTGAAAGATGGGAGTAGTATCTTAGACTTACAGTCATAAAATTAACAGCATGAAGGGAACTTTGAGATCTTCTAGATGAGTGTTTCTCCATCATAGTGACAAGCCTAATGGTTGAGTCATGACTGAAAGAGCAAACCAGGAATCCACAAAAGAAAAGATACACATAGTTATATATAAATAAAGTTTTAAATGGTGCAAAAGAAACCATAAACAAAATTAAAATATAAATCATAAACTCAGAAAAATATTTTCAACTTGTATGACAGATAAAGGATTTATTCCTATAATAAAGAAAGAACTCTTAGAAACAGCCCAAAAGAAAAGTGAGCAAAGGGTATGAATAAGCTCTTTACAAAGAGAGAATCCAAAAAGTCAATAAACATATGAAAAGATGCTTAACTTCACTACAGATCAGAAAAATGGAAATTAAAGTAACAATGAAGTATAAAACCCATCAAACTGGTAAATATGAAAAAAAGTGGGAACCAATACTACTGGCTGGGATGTGGAGAAAGGCATCCCCTCACACATTGTTGGTGGATAGGAGAACAATCTGGAAATATCTATTCACACAAAAAGAACACACATTCCTTGACTGGCAACCTCAGCCTTTGGAATCTATTCCCTGGAAAATAAAGCAGGTCTTTAAAATGCTGGCAAAAAGATGTTAATTGCAGCATTATGGCTAGTGCCAAAAAAACTGCAGAGTGAGTTCTCAAAAGTAGTCATATCATAGGAGAATTTCAAGACCTTAAAGAGAATTAATAATACCAATATGAGTTGATTTGGCAGCTTTCTGTGCATTAAGTGGGAAAAAAAGCAAAATGTTGGAAAGTGTGCCTAATACAACACTATTTAGAAAAATAAAGACAAAACCATTATTTACACGCATGTATATATTTGTTCTTTTGTCTATGATTATGTTAACATGGAGAATGATTTATAAAAGAGTATATATCAGGTTTATAACACTGCTGATACTCAGGTGGAAAGAGGAGAAATGAGTGAAAAAAACTCACAAATAATATTATAATAAAACCTCTTCAGTGGTATAATTTGTGTAGCAATGTAGGAAAGAGTGGCCACTGACTGTTGATGGTTGATGAGATTTCAGACAACTTTAACTTTCTTATGCTATTTCATATTTCATTTTTACAATTAACAGAAGAAAAATGCATATTCCTGGGGTCCACATCACCCCAGTGAAACGGAATTCATGAAGATGAGGACTGGTTGTTTCACGCTCTCCAATGGGTTCTATGCATCTTACAGTGGTTTGTTAGCCAATGATCCAACACGAACTGTCAGTGGCATCTCTGAGAGATGATCTTCCAGTCCTTGGCTTGAATGCTTTCACTGCCTATCAGCATAGCCTTTTCCCTTTTGGGTCAGGTTATATCAATAGAACTTTATCTAGATAATGAGCTGAAATCTGTTTTTCATGGACCTCTGAAGTGGTAAGACAGCATTCAGATGCTTGGGGAAACCTGTCATCATCACCCCATGTTGTCTTCCTCTTGTGATAACCTCTCCAGAACACAGAGATTTGAGTATCTGATAGAAAATCAGATAAAGAGGTGACTAAAGAGGGTGACCATATTATCTATCATCTAAATTGGGATACATTTGAGAGTGAAAGGAGGCTTCAGTTGCATATAATATTGGGTCACCAGGTAACAGCACCCTATGACAAGTTGAATTTGCTCTCTATGGGATATACAGGTATCCATCTGATCATGTATTGAGCATGTTCCCTGCTTCTACCGGCTGCATGTGTGTGCCTGAAGAAAACCATCACACTGAAGAGTACAACAATCAAAGAGAAATAAGCCAGTGGCAATCTTTGAACACAAAGTAAACTCAGTTGCAATAAGTTGCTCTTCTTTGTGGCTCTAAGAGTGGTTATTAGTTTCCAGGGCACCACCATTCTAAAGAATACTTTCATTATTACCATCTTTTTATGTTCATGTGCATAACTTTCTATTTAAAGGTCAAGGAATGTTTTTCCCTCTTCTTTCTAACGACATAGGAGAATTAGCCACAACCTTAGGCTTCTGTAACACAGGCCCCATTGTCAATGATAAGAAGTTCAGGGCAGAGAACCCTGGGGAATAAACCACATGTTTATAAGGCTTTAAGCTGTGTGACTATACTGGCAGCTGTGGAGGACCTTTGCGAGACCACGGGACACAAAGTAAGCATCATTTAATGAAAAGTCTCCACCAAAGTGTGGATCCTTGCTGCATAGTAGAGAGTTGAGACACACCCATACACACCCCTACCCCCAAATATCTAATCCATTCTTTGTCAATTAGGGTGCAGATGACTTTGCATTCCGTCTCATTTGTTTCAACAGGCATCACGCTATACTCCGTTATATGGATAGAGCCAAGTAATGGGTGGAAATAAGGTTAGAAAAGATGTTTAGACCCCAGGGGGACATTGACATCACTACTTGATTGTTTCCATTCTAAAACTTGGTCAGATTCTGAAAAACAGCCAGTCACCAGCAACAACCAAGGTTTTTGTTTACACTTGCAAGAAGCTTCTGAGCACAGCAGTGTCACTTCTTGTACTCTCTGGCTGTCCGTTTTATGGTATAAATTAATGGCCTTCTTGGTTTGGCCGAGAATGCTGAATTCCTCTTCACAGAGTCACTTTTCCATAGCGAGACAGTCATTTTCAACACAACTTTACTCCTACGTTGGCAAGAAATAAAGCAAAGAACATGAAACTTTAGACGTTTGGAGAAGAATCTCATTTGGAGCTTTGGCCCCACCACCCATGGAGAGGAGATGTAATCAATACAGCAAGTGGGAAGCCAGGGCTGCTTTTGCAGACAGGCTTCTTTGAGAGTAACCAGTACGAGGGACTGAATGTGACAACGTGGGTTTCAGGCTTACCAGGTTCTCTTTTTTCTCTTCATGTCTCTGGAGTCTCTTTAGTTTGGGTTTATTGTGACCACCCGTCTTGCATTCCATGGACTAGTCCTCAAAGTCAGTAATTGGACTGTCATGTTCCAATATGCTGCTCCCTTTTATTTCAGCTTCACCCACTTGCATCATCTTCTCCCAACACGAGCCTCGCCCTGATGTCCATGCCCAGCCCTGGAACTCCAACACTCCCCTTCCACCATGGCACTCCCTGCTGGGATATCCTATGAGAATTTTGCAGCAGGTATAACCAGCACTCCTCTGTCTTGCCAACAGCCACCATGCTGGACCACATGTCTGCTCATTCTCCACTTGCCTTTTGTGGAGGCCCTTTCTCCAGGCCTTTTCTCACCAGCAGTGTGGTAGACCTTGAAGGGGTCTGAGCACTGCTCTTTCCCACCCACCAGTCCTTCCTCCCATCCCACTCTACCCCATAGATCACTTCTTATTTTTAGTTACAACTTTTAAAAGACGCTTCCTTTTGCCACCAAGAAATCTAACCTGTGACTTGTTTCTGCTCAGATGTTTGACACAATTTGTTGCAGAAAATTGTATTAAGACAGAAGAACTGAACTGAGGTCTTTGGATTTTTGGAATAATTTAATCGAGAATATTACTCCTTCAATATATATTTCAAAAAGTACCTCTACTTTCAGCCTTGCTGCTTCTTGACACTCAATAGGCTTTGAGGTGGTGAAGAAATATAGGCTAATTTTCACATGGGAGCAAAGAAATGGGATAATCACTAAAGTATTCAAAATCAGATAGAAGTGATTTTTTTGAAATAAATTTTCTGTTTAAAGATTTGTGCCACTATTCTTTCCTGTTGCCTAAAAACACAAAGTTGACTCTGCTAAATCTTTAGCCTCTGTAATAAACATTATTTTCCTGTTTGGCTGGAAATGAAATGAGGTGAACTAACCATATTAGTAGTCATAACTGTGGGATATTCAGCAACATGGTCAATGTGCCTGATATGTTTAATGTGAACAAAAAAGTTCTCTTTACAAAGTCTGCATATTGTACATCTCCGCCTTAAGTTTTTGGACATATTTATCTCTCCCTCTCCACTTACCATTGTCTTTAGCAATACTTGGGCAAGTTTCTATTTATCCAAAGTAAGAAAGTTACTAGGACTTTGACAAGCAAAAGAAGGCAAAAGAGACTATCCCTTTAATTATTCATTTTCTTCCTCAGCAAAGTGTTTGTGGACAAGTGACTAACTTTCAGAACATTAGGTGTTTAAGATAGAAATACAGGACTTGGTTCTTGCCCTGAAGAAGCTCACCGTTTTTCAGTTTGCAGTATATGCTTAAATTCTCTTTTATGAACCAACACAGGGCAAGTCCCATCTCTTCAGGTACTTTTTCTATTTACTTTCACTACAGTAGGCCCTAGGTAGTTTCTGACAGGTCAGTATGAGAGAATTACAGTTTTATGGTGATAGGCCAAGTTCAAGAATGAAAGAAAGCCCTTGGGAGATGCTCATCTGCCCTCTGAGTCCAGGCACAGTTCTTTTGCTCCCCCACTTTGTGCATGAGTATTTCAAACCTTTCCTGCTCTGATAGAACTCCTTCAACATGTTCCCAAACTAAAGCCTGCCAAGGTCTTCTCCAGCCTCCATTTTGTCCTTCCTGTTATGGCAGATGAGAGCATGTCTTGTTTTATCTAAGGTCATTTACTCTCTGCTTAGATACTATCAATAACGTCTGCTCTGTCCTGTTCATCCCACTGCCCTTCTCAACTGGATTATTTCCATTGGTATTAAACATGCTCAGAAGTTTCTCATACTAATGACTTAATTAATGAATTCTCCCTTGGCTGAAATTGTGGGCTACACTTTGTCACCTCCCACACACTCCTTAACTCACCCTAATCTGGCGTTAGCCCCAATACTGGTGAGACAGCTCTTGCTAAGGACATCTGTGGCATCTATGCTCCTAATTTTGATACATTTAATATAATTCTTCAATATGATTCACTATAAATTCCAAGATAATTGTTTCAATTTACTTAACATAAAGAAAATTTCTCCAAGCAATTCATTTTTGTGTCTAGTTTAAAATGTCAAGTTGTGCTACAAAGCACCACCCATTTATTCAGCATTTATAAGGCATGGACTCAATGCTTTCCAGCTTCCACTGAGACTGCGTGCAAGGCTAGCATCATCTCGATCCCCGATCATTTGCGTGTGATCTGTGTTTCCTATTCTTCTTCCTTCTGCCCTGCCACCCTTTCCCCATTTCTAGAATCTTTACAATCTTCTTGTAGTCCCTGGTGTTTTAAACTTTCCCAGGTCTTAGTGTGGCTCTGTTTTCTTTTGCTGGACACTTTCTGGTTCTTCAAATTTACAGATGCATGTTTGGTTTCTAGCCATTTTTCTTATAGTATTTTTTAATGATTTTCTTCTTTCTTTTTTCTATATTCTTTCTTTTTGAAATTCTTTTTATTGAGATAATACAGATTTGGATGTTTTTCTTTTTAAAAATCTTCTAATTTCTATCTTTTGTTCTAATTTCTCAAAGAGTTTCTCAATTTTATATTGTATACTTCCTTTGGGTATTTTTTAATGTCTACCATCACATGTTTAAGTTCCAAGAGCTGTTTTTTGTTTTCTGAATCTTCTTTTCTTTCTTTTAAAAAATAAATCCCATTCTTGTTTCATGAGTTCAGTATCTTGTATGATATTGATTAGTGTTTTTAAAAAGTTTTTTATTTTGCAATTTATCAACAAGTTTCATTCTTTTTGGCTTCAGATATCTTAAAAAGTTCTATCTAATTTATCTTTATGATCCCAGCTAGCACCCCAGTCCAAGCCACCACTGCCTCTCACCTGGACCTCCAGTATCATTATCAAGACATCTCTGCCTTGGTCCATCCAGGCCTGCTCTAACAAAGCACAATAGACTGGTCGGCTTATAAACAACAGAAATTTATTTCTCACAGTTCTGGAGGCTGGAAAGTCCAAGACAAAGACACAGCAGATTCAGTGGCTGGTGAGGGCCCCTCTCTTGGTTCATAGAGGGCTGTCTTCTGGCTGAGCCCTTACATCATGGAAATGGTGAGGAGCTCTCTGGGGCCTCTTTTGTAAGGGAATTAATACCTTCCATGATGGTTCCACTATCTTGGCCTAATAACCTCCCAAAACCCCACCTGCAAATCCCATCGCATTGGGCATTAGGTTTCAACCATGAATTTGGGGAGGACACAGAGACTCAGTCTATAGCAATCTCTTTATTGTGCCTCCCATTGACCCTTTATACCACAGCAGAGTGATCTTTTCTCAAGGCAAATATGGTGTTCCCAACTTCCTGTGTCAAATCCTTAGATAGTTTTTCTTATAAGGCCTTGAAATGCCCCCATCCTATACTACTGTTGTCTATTCTTTATTTCATCTGTAGCTATATACGTATAAGAATATACACATATATTACATATAAATATTTACTTATTATATTATATATAAGTATAAATATATATATATATTTCCAGTTTCTTAGATTTGCCATTCTGTCTCTTCCATATAAGATTCTTTTTCACATACCCGTCTTTCTTTTTCTGGAAAGTTCTTTCCACATACATATACATACACCCCCACACACTTTGTCATATGTGAAACTTTACTAACTTTTTAGACTTCAACTCATTTGTTCCTCCATGGAGATGTGTCTTAACACTCCACACTGAAGGAGGCTGCTTATTATGTACATAGGGCCATATTCTTTCTCTGGGACAGTTACTTCAGTCTATTATTCTGTATTAACTAATGTGCTTAGTTTTCCCCCAGTAGCTGTAAACCCCTTGAAGACAAGGTCATGCCTGTACTAGCATCCCATTATATCCCCACACTTAATGAATGAGTGAATTCTTGGGTCTCATAGATTATCTTAGTTGTCTACTAAATATCTGTCGATGTCTTGATTTTTAGTAACAGAAATTCAACTTTATTTGGATAGTAAATATGCCCAAATAAAATATCACTTCCCCAGCCTGGGCAACATCATGAGACCCTATCTCTACAACAAAATTTAAAAAATTAGCTGGGCACGGCCAGGCATGGTGGCTCACACCTGTAATCCCAGCACTTTGGGAGGCCAAGGTGGAACCAGGTCAGGAGTTCGAAAACCAGCCTGTACAACACAGCAAAACCGTGTCTCTAATAAAAATAAAAAAATTAGCCAGATGGTAGTGGCACGAGCCTGTAATTCCAGCTACTCAGGAGGCTGAGGGAGGAGAATCGCTTGAACCCGGGGGGCGGAGGTTGCAGTGAGCCGAGATCACGCCACTGCACTCCAGCCTGGGTGACAGGGTGAGACTCCGTCTCAAACAAACAAACAAAAAATTAACTGGGCACAATGATATGCACCTGTAGTCCTAGCTACCTGGGAGGCTGAGGTGGGAGGATGGCTTGAGCTCAGGAGTTTGTGGCTGCAGTGAGCTATAATCATGGGTGACAGAGTGAGAACCTGTCTAAAAAAAGAGAATCACTTCCTAAAGTCCAGTGAGGCAAGGGTGTCCATCTCACACAGATTTGGCTAAACAGACATAAGCTAATATCTGATGGGGTCCTGGGAAAGCTATTGCTTTCTTGAAAAAAGTCACCTATTCCTTGTTTTGTCTCATTTTCAGCACTGATATGGAGATGGGTATGAAGCAATTATCATGCAAAAGTGGGCCAGCAGAATGCGGATGAAAACCATGTGCCAAGGACAAGGGGGCAGGATGACAGAGGGAGCTGGGGCGGTGGGGGGGGGGTTCCTGGTGACATCATAAGGCTGCTGCTCCAGTCCTGGAACGCTGACCTCCAGATGGCTTGTTTTGCGAGAACAGCATCTATGTGGTCAAATCACTCTCATCAAGTTTTGTGCCACAGAGATGAACCCAATTACTACCTGTCCAAGCCTATCCTGCCATAGCTCATGATTAAATTCATGTATAAAGAGACTTGTGTAAACTTAACGTTATATTCCTTTGAACAAATTTAGAGTATGGGGACCTGAATTGTGTGGGCTTTGGCCAAAGACTGAATTTGGTGAGAGATGCATGGTCCAGCTGCCAGGGTCCACCCTGGCCCTGCTGCTCGGTGGCCTTTGCTGCTAACTCTGTGATTATGCATGATGGTTTGATTAACTCGGACTGGCACCTGAGTTTCCATCCTCGGAACACTGACCTCATTACTTCCGTCTGAACCTTTGCTGAGTTGATCTCCCACACTAGTTTCCTCAAGGGATACTTACTGATGGCCAACTATGTAACAGACACTCAGCTAGCTCCTAGTTGTCATTGTGGATAACATATTTCTGACCTTCAGATTTTTTGCAGCTACCTTAACATGAGTGTATGTTAAAATGAGTTTATCAGCCTCTTGGCAGGGCAGCTGATAATGTTAAAACAGTTAAATAAATGAAATCTGTCTGCTTTTCCTATAGATTCTCCATCAAAGAATAGGTACTCACAGTGGCCTCGGCTCCTGAAGGTAGTCAGGGTAGACTAATTGCTGTGATAAATCAACAACTTCATATCGCAATGCTTAGCTCAATAACAGGTTCGGTCTTTGCTCATGTCACAACCCAGTTGTGTATCCCAAGAGTGATCTCCCATATGGCCAACAAAGGGGCTTCCTCTTCATGGTTCCATGATCCCAGGGGCACCTAGGAGTCTCCATAGGATCCTTTGCACCTGTCAGGAAAATGATGAGGGAAGCCCGTATGTGGAATGTCCTAGATGAGGCTTGGAAGTGTTTTATATCACTTTTGCCTGTACTTCATTGACTAAAATTTGCTCACATTGCCCCATTTAGTGGTAACGTGGGCTGGGGAATAAAGCCCAGCTATGAGCTTAGGAGGAAAATGAAACAGTTTGGCAAATGTGTAACATTGTCTTTGCCACATTCTCAAAACATACTTGGAAATATTTGTCTCTATGTCTTTGCTTACATTATTTTCTCAGCACAGACTGTCTTTAGCCTTGATTTCCACTGGCCAAATTTACCTGTTTTCCAGAAACAACTGAATGGGCCACTTCCATCAGAGTCTTCTTAATAATGTAGTCACCCCATCAGCTACAGGGAAACCACAGCTTCAGTCTGTCCTAAAGATGTGTGCAATCTGGTTGAGAAAAACAGGTGCACATAAAACATTTTAAATAATAATTTAAGGCAACACTCTCTTATGACTGCAGCTGAAAGGCACAGATAATAAGTTTAGGTATCAACTCTGACGTCTCCATCACAAACTTTTTTGCTTTTAAATGATATATATTTAGGTATTTATTTATTTAGAGACAGGATCTTGCTCTGTTATTCAGGCTGGAGTGTGGTGGCCCAACCATAGTCCACTGCAGCCTTGAACTCCTGGGATCGAGTGACCCTTTTCAACTATTTTGCTTTAATTTTTTGTAGAGATGGGGTCTCACTATGTTTCCCAGGCTGGTCTTGAACTCCTGGCCTCAAGCAATCCTCCCACCTCAGTCTCCCAAAGTGCTGAGATTATTGGCATGGGCCACTGTGCCAGCCTAGGCATTTATTAAATGTTTAATTTTTGGTCTACCCCTAGTAGATCATAGGATGGTGAACTTATTGAGGACAGAGATCATGCCTAGTTTGCTCAACAACATGCTCCTAATGCCTGAACACAAAGGGGGCACTCAGTATATATTTGATGAGGCAATGAATCATTGTTTTAATTAATTAATGGAAGAGTTGTTCAGAAAAGGGAGATGTAATTAGGAAAAAATAATGAAAGAGTAGGGCTTCAGCATAAAGGGCACGACACTTTTTGTAGAAGAGAACAAGGATGTCTATCTGTTTAGAACTTTAAGACTAGACTCACACATCTATTAAGTCAGTGGTTCTAAGTAAATATGCTATTTGAAAAAGGCAGTCATGTTCCAATGAGTGAATGGATTTTCACTAAAGAAGATATTTGTGTACAGTTAATATAGTGCATGTTTTAAGGCAAGTATAATGTTTTCAAATAGTTATTCCTGTAGTTTGAGGAGATATTGAATACAGTGTTGTGGGAAATACTGTTAGGGTACAAAGATAAATAAAGCATAGAGCCGCTCAAAGATCTCTTTCCCTTCCTCTCTCTTTCTCTTTCCCTTACTCTCTCTTTCTCTTTGTTCTTCCTCTTTCTCTTTTCTTTCTCTCCTTAAAAAAGATCTGGCTGTTTGACTCATTGATTCCTAATCAAATTATCAGCCTCATCTCATTTCAAGGATTTGTGAGACTTACCTACATTTCAATTCACTTCAACATATCTTTTCTTTTAGTGGCTACATTGTACATGGCATTGTGGGAAATACTATGAGTATAAAGATGAATACTACATAGAGTTTCTCTCAATGTTCTCTCTCTCTTTCTCACTTCATCTTAATTGTTCAATCATAGGCATTTAATCAAGCCTCTGTCACGTTCCATAAGCTGTGCTAGGTTCTGGAGATATCAAAGTCAATGACATACTCCCTGCTCCCAAGGAAATCAGAGCCTGGTTGAAGGAGAGTGGATTTGTCAAGCAGAGTGAGATAAGTACAATGGCAGAGCCTAGGGAAGGGTGTCTTGGGAACAGAGAAAGGCAGGACTAGGCTGGGGTGGGAAAGACAATAGGGAATAGCTCCCTAGAGGAAGCAGTCACTGATCTAATGTCAAGGTTAAGTGGATGGGTTCTAGAGTTCATCCACTGGAACTTGAATAAGGGCTCCATCATTTACTATCTGTCTGATCTCAGCCATGTTAGTTAACTTTTTTGTGCTGTTTTCTTTCAGTAAATTCAGAACAATAATATTAAACTCAACAATTATGAAGGTTAAATAAGATGTGTGTCACATAATGATTTGCATCCAGTAAGCATTCATTAAATGCTACCTATTATTATCATTATTATCATTGGGTAAGAAGAGAAAGCCTGGATAAAAATTGTACAAAACACCATTTCAGTTTAAGGGAATGACATGTGAGGAAGCAGAGAAGCATGTGAGGAAGCTCTAGGGAGCTTCAGCCAGACAGTTCGGAGTGCACTGTGGGGCTGGAGGAAGGGCTGTACCTTAAGGGCCCTGGAAGCCGAAGGAGGCTTCTGACATCAGCCTGCAGGAGCCTCTCTTTTTGCAAGGGTGTGATGTGAACAGATTTCCACCTAGAAAGGCCACTTTGATAACAAGGGGTGAGACAAAAAATGGTCGGGACATAGATGCTTTTTCTGTGCGCCCTTCTCCAGCCCTCTCTATCCAGGGGAATTGCCTAAGTCACCCTGAAGCTCCCCTCTGCTGAATCCAAAGAAAGGCTTTCCTGTTTTGCTTTGCTGAACATACTCGCGGTCCCCCCTCCTTCCCACCACTCCCTGTGAGGAGGGTCTGATTCTGTGACTTCTGCACTCCTGCTCTCGCGGAGTTCCCCTCACTGTCTAACCAGCCCTTTCTGGACTCTTCTATAGATTTAAATGCCCTTCTTAAGGGCTTTCAATCATTGGCTCGCTTCAGAATGACCCACTTGGATAGATTGAGGGGTGAGAACAAAGACATGGAGAGTAATTGAGAGATCACTGTGAACATGCACTGTGTCATAATGAGGCATTAATGAGCAGCAAAGGAGGCTGATTTAAGAGTTGTTACAGAAATAGAATCAAGAGGTCTTGAGATGATTGGCTGTGAGAATGACAGACTCCAGGCTTGGGTCATAAGGTCATAGGGTGATGATCATTGAGTGACTGCCAAGGCATCATTAAGAGTTAGGAGTAACAAGAGCAACAGAGCTGGGTTTTTGTTTGCATATGTGTATGTGTTTTTATTACACTTATTTTGGTTGTTTGGCTTGAGAGGCAATGAGATCAGTTTGAGTTGTTAAACTGCAGTATCTTGTGTAACATCCATTTAGAGATATCATGCAGGAAGTTGCAACTATAAACCCAGAGAGAGAGAGAAGGAAGGGAGGATGGAGGAGAGAGAGATACAGAAACATACAGAGAGACAGAAAGAGAGGGAGAAGGGAGGAGAGAGAGAGAAAAAGAGAGAGAGAGCAACAGAGAGAGAAGAGAAAGAAGCAGAGAGAGAAACAATGAGAGGGAAAGAGAAAGAAATATACAGAGACAAGGAAACACAGAGAGAGAGAAAGAGGGAGGGAGCTGAGTTAGAAAAAAAGTCTGGGGAGACAGCAGTGGGTAGGTGGGAGTTGAAGTCACGGTGGGCATAAAGGGGGTTCCCTTAGGAGCACTGAGGGCTACAGATGAAGCCTGAGGAGTATTCGTTTTCAGGCAGAGTTTGTCGAAGTGTGGCCCTCAGGTCACCAGCACCACAATCAACTGGAGTGCTTGTTTAAAAAAGCAAGTTCCTGGGCAAACCTCCAAAATTGTGTAGGAGTATTTATTCTTTCCAAATATACATCTGACTGTATATATAATGCTTAGCCCCAAATCTATCGAGTCTGAGGAGTGAGCGGGAAGCTGCACATTTCACAAGCACTCAGGTGATTCTGAAGTTTGTGGATGATTGAACACCCTTTGTGGGGGAATTCAGATCCATAGAACGGACCACAAAGGAGTGGCTAGACAGTGAGAGGAACACTAGGAGAGCAGGAGTACAGAAGTCAGAGTCAGACCCTCCTCACAGGGAATGGTGGGAAGGAGAAGGGGCTGTGAGGACTTCCAGCAAGGTGAGACAGGAAAGCCTTCCTTTGGATTCAGGAGGAGGGAGCTTCAGTGTGACTTGGGCAATGCAGATTCCACTGGGTAGAGAGTGCTGGGGGAAGAAGGCGCAGAAAAAGCAGCTATGTCCTGACCATTTCAAGAATCATGACTGAAAGAAAGGGCAAGAGTAAGAGTAGCCAGGGGAGGGAAAAGTTGAGATAAATGACTTTTGTTGCTTCTCAATGAAAGGAGGTGAGGAACAAAGGGTTTGAGCAAAGTCCCAAGAAGTTTGAAGCTTGAGAATGCCCAGTGCAGGAAAGGAGGGTTAGGCTGCATGGAGAAACAAGGTCTTTCATAAAGACACAAAGTGAAGAGGGAAGGATGAGTGTCAGCAAGAGGCTGGGGAGCGGGATGCGGCAAGAAGAGGAGCAATTTCCTCTCATCTTCTGAAACTTTTCCCGGAAGGGTTTCATATCCAAGACTCAAATGAGACAAGAAAGTGAAGATGTGGCAGCAATTCTTGCTAATTATTGCTATGTAAAGCAGGTTTCTTGTTGCTCCTAGACCTGAGCTACAAGGCCAGTAGAAATAAGGGAAAGCCTGCACTTGGCTCATCCCTGAAGTAGGACGTGTTTTACTGAGAATGCTCCATTTTATTACTGACTCTGTGCATGGCCCAGAGTAAAAGGGAAAACAATAGAACAGTCTTAACGGGGTGCACCGGTGGCAGGCACCAGAAGCCATGCATCCAGCTCACTCTTTTGTTCATCACAGGGCCCTGAAGTGGTTAACAGAGCTTCCAATAGTGCCTTGCTTCTAACTTGGGAATAGCTTTTACTCCAGGAGATTCTGACGCAAGGGTAAGTTCATGGAACATGTTGGTTTTCATACCACTTCAAATGGAGCCTAAATCAGCTGTCAGATATTTACAGGCAATTTTCCTTATTGCACAAAACTCTCTGTAATTATTATCCTTGGGCAGTGCTTGAATTTATTTGCACATAAGCATGTCAAGGTGGGGGAAAGGCTCCCTAAGCTGTGCCAGGAATATGTCAAAGCGCCCCAGTATTACTTAAGATTGGATGGGATGAAATGTTTGGCTCCTCTGCAGAGCTTGTCATCACCCTTGCTCAGGTATCTAGGCTTACCATTTTCTCTCTACAGACTTCCCTTTATACACCCCATGCTGAAAAGGCAGAATTCTGCCTGTGCTATTTAATAACCACCATGAGGTCTTGCGACTGACTCTTGGGACTTTTTTCAAGGGACTCTGGCAAGTTCTGTGTTCAGGTGACAGGAATGCAAAATGAAATGAACTGAAAAAGACACCTCCCAATCCAAACATGGGTGACCAGGGACACCAGACAGATGACTAAGAGTCACAGAAAATATGCCTCTTTAAAAGCGCTGTGAGAGTCCACTTGGAGGTCTTGGCAAATGAGTTAAATGGAAACAAAATATAAAAATGTTTGCGACAGCTCATCTTTTGTTTTGTGAATTGTGAAACAGGCTAGCAAAAGGGAAGGTATGTTTACCAACCCATTCTGTGTTGAATTCATGTTTTTAGAGAGTAAAATTAATACATTTGAAGATGATTTGTGTACAGGATACAGGACAGCATAATGTAGTGGGAAAAGAGGCCTAGATGTATAGCAGGGCAGACTACGGTTACCATCTTGGCTCTGCCACCCACTAGCTATGTGACTTTGAGCAAGTTTCTTAACTTCTGAATCTTAGCTTCTTCATCTAAAAATTGGAAAGTAATATACCCAACTCATCGGTGGTTGTGAGGATTATGAGAAAATATAAGTATCCTAACTAAAAGTGAACTAGTACAGTGGCTGGCTTAATGCAGTCAACTCAATATGTGATGCGAGGGTGGCAGTCCCGTGTATCGTGCTGGTTAAGAGCGCATGTTCCCTGCTCTTATGGCCACGGCCGGTCCACACAGAGTAGCTTTGCCAGCCTTCTAATCTTTAAAATTGGAAAAATAGAGTGTTTGTAAGAATCCAATGAGACGATACTTATAAAAGTACTTAGTACAGTATCCAGTAACTTAGTCCACAGCTCCTATTCAATAACTGTTAGCTCTTCTCTCTCTCTCTTTTTTTTTTTTTTTTTTTTTTCTGAGACGGAGTCTTGCTCTGTCGCCCGGGCTGGAGAGCAGTGGCACGATCTCGGCTCACTGCAAGCTCCACCTCCCAGGTTACGCCATTCTCCTGCCTCAGGCTCCCGAGGAGATGGGACTACAGGCGCCCGCCACCACTCCCAGCTAATTTTTTTTTTTTTTTTTTTTTTTTTTGTATTTTTAGTACAGACGGGGTTTCACCGTGTTAGCCAGGGTGGTCTCCATCTCCTGACCTCGTGATCCGCCCGCCTCAGCCTCCCAAAGTGCTGGGATTACAGGCTTGAGCCACTGCGCCCGGCCAACTGTTAGCTCTTCTTACATGGGGGCACCGCCCTCTAGTTTTTCCCTCACACCATAGCTGTCAGGAACTCCATCCATTTCACCGGCTCAGGGCACGCTGAGGCCTTTCATCCAGCTCATCTCGCTATTCCCACCTATCACAGGGCCTACCTCGCTGGGGTTTAATGGGTCCTTAATAAAATCTTGTTGAATAGTGAATGAATAAATACATAAAGTGCTTGTCGCTTAGGAGATAGTAACATAAGTGCTTTCTCCTTTCTGACATCAGCTTCCCTTTCACTGATTTGAATGGCAGAAAATACCATCTCAGCTTGTCATACTGTATATTTTTGGAGAAAGGAAAAATGAACCATTTCCATGAACAGTGAAAGAGTTTAGTGAAAGAGAATTTAAAACCAACAATCTGGTCGATTCTAAGGGTATAAATTAAGCTAGTTAAGCAGTCTTAACCCAGGATATTGGCAAGACAACTATCAGGCTCTGGCAGTTATATATCTTCATTCTTCTCTAAGGTTAGGGCATAAAATTTTAACCCAAAACGTCAGAGGTTAAAAAAAACATGGTAACAACAAAATAATTCTAAATAGTTCAGTGTGGATTGGAACCAAAGAATCAGGGCAATGACTGTCAGCCACATCTAGGTCCTATATTGCTAACAGATGGTGAACATTTTCATGGGCTTGGGACTAGTTTAGATCAGAGTGAGAATCCTCCACCCCCTCCCCCCACGAGGCTCTAATTAGTACATAGGACATTAGAGCAAGTTAAAAATCTGGGCTGACATCTTATTTGTTAGTTTTAGATTGAACTCATGCCTTAGGGTGACTGAATTTGCTCACTGAAACACACACATGTGCTCACACACACTAAAAGAGTAACTTTTTCTTTTCTATGGGGATCAAAATAAAGATTTTCAAAGTCCTCGAGAAAAGGGCTCCAAAGATTTGTTGGATATCAAATAGCTCCTTCAAGACAACATTTTGATGAGTTAAGTGTAAATGAATCAGAAACATATGGATTAAGTTTCCCTTGAAATACACAGGGGCTTAAAAATCAAAGAGGAAACAGTGCCTGGCCCAGGGTCTTGCAGGTTGTGCCAAACCCAACACATTTGAGCAGCAGTTCAAGATATTTGAGGGATCCAAGGACGAGGCTGGCCTGACCCACGCCTAGTTCCTACCGTATTGAAATAGAGAACATAAGTAATGCCATTTATATTGCATTATTACTAAAAATTCCTCCTTCCTTGTGGTTTGAAGATTAACTAAACTGAGACTTACAAAAGAAAACCCTATCAATGGTGTCTGCAGCACAGAAAGCTCTCCAAAGGTTAAATGAACAAGTTCAAAATGTTCTCAGACAGCGTAGTTGTTATTGTCTGACAATGCAACAGAACTTGGGCAACGGCACAGCCCCAAGACTGTTTAAAAGTGGCGTAACTTTAGACTTGCTCTTCAGAAGTTCTTCATGATATTGCCAGAAACATACATTGAAATATAGAATAATTATTTCTTAAGATAAGTCATACATTAATTAGCATTTCCAATCACCCCTCTTATTTGCTATAGATAATGGATTTTAAAAACTTCTAATTGGTTAATCAGTAAATTGACTATGTAGGAAACTTACATTTGAATCTCATCACAGGAGACACAAGCCTCAAATAGATTTGAACAGTTAAATACATAAATGCTAAGTCTAATTTTAATTAAGTAGCTTTTATAATTAGCCTGCTTTTATCACTTGTGACAAATAATTAATCTTGGCATAACCTACTTTGAAGATTTACCAATCTGGTGTTGACCAGCCACATAACTAAATCCAGAAGTAAGCAAAGGAATATTGATTTATGGATCAACTTGGAAATTAGAAACACAGTTTATTTTATTATATTTACATTATTTTTTATATTTATATTACATTAATTTATAATTTTTGTATTATTATATGCAGGGTTTGTTTTAAATGTGTAAAGTTTATGATAAGTAATACATGTCAAGAGAAAACCTTTAAAACACAGAGAATGCAAAATATTGGGTGCAGGGGAAATGTCACCAGGAATCATGCCATCAAGAAATAACAACTTTAAACATTATGGTGTCTTTGTCTATTGACAAACTATATGTATTAGAAATACTCCTGAGTGCTCTGAGTTTTTCAGTTAATACATTGCAAGCATATGTCCAAGTCATTAAACATATTTCTTACCACATCACTGATAATAGCATGAAATTTCATAGATCTATTCTAAATTATTTAACCAGCTACCAGCTGTTAGGTGGTTCCCAATATTTAGTTAACAAACTGAGATGAACATGTTTTATGGCTAGTTGTGATTTTTGCCTTATGATAAGTTCCTAGAGATGGAATTTCTGGGTAAAAGTGTTTGGATGTTTTCAGTTTTTGTTCATCATAAAGGCAAAAAAGCATATCTCCTTGATTTAATATGCTGCTTCTTGACACTAGTGGATTTAAATGTGAATACTGTTTATTAGGTCCTTATATATCTTCTTTTGTGATTTACTTGTACATGGCTTATGTTTATCTTTCAATTGGTGTGTTTCCTTCTAATTGATTGGTAGACATCTTTTATATTTTAAGATATTAATACTTTGTCACATAGCTTACAGTATTGTTTTTGATATATAGAGACATTTAATATTATTTAAATCTATCCACCAGTCTTTTCATTCTGTATCCAATTTTGTGTTCATGTTTAATAGACTTTCCAAACTGAAAATTATATAAATATTTTGTTATACACTTGTCAGTTCTTTAACGCTTTTTTATATTTAACTTTAAAAAATCATTTGTTATCTCTGTCTTAGTGAATAGTACATTGAGGATACATTTTAAATTGATGAATTTGGCAAATACTTGTCAATATGTTTGGCATTTTGTTAGGCCCTGGGTATACATTAATAACTCCTGAAGCTCAGTAGGTGTTGTGGACAGACTCAATGAAAGTAGCCCCATGAACCCCACCTCCTGTGGTTCATGCCTTTTTGCAATCCTGTTCCCTTAAGTGTGGTGGAACATGTGACTTATTTCTAAACAATAGCATATGGCAAAGATGACATGCTGTTATTCCCATGACTACATTATTTTACGTTATTTAAGACTCTGGCATGACACCAGACTTATCTGAGACTCTTGCTGGCCTGGTGAAAGGAGAAGCCATGCTGGAGAAACTCATGTATCAGTGAACTTCAGGCACCTCTAGTTGCTGGGGCAGCCTCCAGTAGATAAACAGCAACAAGCTACCCTCAATCATAAAGCTGCAAGAAAATGAATTCTGCCAACAACTTGAGTGTGCTTGGAAGAGAATTATTCCCCAGTTGAGCCTCTAGATGAGAACAAAGCCCAAAAAAACCTCGATTGAAACTTTCTAAGACTTTGACAGAGGATCCAGCTAAACTGTGTTCAGACTTGCTCAAAGCCATAGAATGCACAACATCAAGAGTGAACACTAATGTAAGCTATGGATTTGGGTGATAATGATGTGTCAGTGTAGGTTCATTGTACCAGATGTACCACTCTGGTGGGGTATATTGACAGTGGAGGACACTGTGGGTATGTGGGGGAAGAAGGTATATGAGAACTCTCTGTACTTTCCATTCAATTTTGCTGTGAACGTAGAACTGCTTTAATAATAAAGTATATTAAAAATGGCAAGAGAATAATAATTTATATACTTTTTTTATTTACTCAGAAGTACTTCTGAAAATAGACCAAAGAAAAAAGTGACATACGCTATTTTGAGGAAAAACAAGTGATAGCTGCTTGATCTTTCAACTTTGTATAATTTATTTAAAAATTAATTTTCCTTAGATTTATTTTCTTACTTCTACTTCCTGTCCATTCTTAAAAAAAAATAAGTGGAGTCTCACTGTTTCTCTCTGTCACCCAGGCTGGAGTGCAATGGTGTGATCACAGCCCACCGCAGCCTTTAACTCCTGGCCTCAAGCTATCTTCCCTCTTCAGCCTCCTGAGTAGATAGGACTACAGGCAGACGTCAGCAAACCAGGCTAATATTTTTTATTTTTTTTAGAGACAATGTCTCACTATATTGCCCAGACTGGTCTCAAATGCCTGGCCTCAAGCGATCCTCCTGACTCAGCCTCTTGTATTGTTAAGTTTTAAGAGTCCTTTGTATACTTTGGATAAGAGTTATTTATCAGATACGTCTTTGCAAATATTTTCTCCCAGTCTGTGGCTTGTCTTCACATTCTTTTGAGTGTCTTTTGCAGAGCAGAAGTCCCTAATTTTAATAAAGTCCAGCTTATCAATTATTTCTTTCATGGATCATGCCATCGATGTCATATCTAAAAAGTATCACCCATACTCAAAGTTATCTTAGTTTTCTCCTAATTTACCTTCTAGGAGATTATGGTTTTGCATTATTACATTTAGGTCCATTATCTATTTTGAGTTAATTTTAGGAAGGATGTAAGTCCTTGTCTAGAGTCTTTTTTTCCATGTGATTGTGCAGTTGTCCCAGCACTATTTGTTGAAAAGTCAATTTTTGCTCTATTGTATTGACTTTACTCTCTTGTCAAAGATCAATTGACTATATGTACATAGGTCTATTTCTAGGCGCTCTACTCTGTTCTCTGTTCCATTGAAAGGTTTGTTTATTCTTTTACAAATAGCCCACTGGCTTCATTGCTGTAGCTTTATATTAAGTCTTGAAGTTGGGTAGTGTCAGTTCCTGACATTATTTTTCTCCTTCAATATTGCATTGGCTATTCTGGGTCTTTTGCCTCTCGATATAACTTCATGTCAATGCCCACAAAATAACTTGCTGGGATTTTGATTGAGATTGCGTTGAATCTATAGATCAAGTTGGAAAGAAACAACATCGTGATAACATTGAGTCTTTCTATCCATGAACATGGAATATCTTTGCATTTACTTAGTTCTTTGATTTCTTTTATCAGAATTTTTTAGTTTTCCTTGTATAGATATTATGCATATTTTGTCAGATGTATACCTAAATATTTCATTTTTTAGCACTAAGGGTAAATCTTTTCCTAAACGTTGTAGTCTTTGTTAAGGTAGATAAACTTCAGGAATATTATTAAGTGAGGAAAAGACCAAACCCTAGATATTCTGGAGAAAGATTTTTGACATTTATATGTATGACAAATATATGGTATATATATGTGTATACGTGTGTGTGTGTGTGTGTCTCCAGAGAGAGAGACAGTTTGGTCTCTAGATTTTTAATTGTCTCCCACTTACGGCTTCTACAACCAAGGTTATAGGATTATAATATTTACAGTGTTACAATATGTTTTATTATATTTCACAGAGGAAATTGTATCCTATTCTAACAACATTCATTTCTGATTCTTTTTAGAGAGATCTTGGCTACTTTAGCATATTTATTTTTCCAGTTCAACTTCAAATCTTTTTGTCAAGACCCACCCTGCCCCCAAGCATCTCTTTGGGACTTTCACTTCAATTTTGTTAAATTTATTAAGTAACTTGGGAAGAATTGACATCTTTACAATACTAAGCCTTCCCTTCAAGGAGTGTGGTATAAATTTCTAGTTCTTCAAATATATTTTTATGTCTCTCATTAAATTTCTGTAAATATGCCATGTTCAGGCACATTTCTTCATAAATCCCTAGATACTTTATACTTTTTTTTTTTACAGTTGCCAAGAGGGTCTTATAGACAAAGTTATACACAGACACACAAAAACACATTCACACATATAAATACATTATTGTTGCTGGTATATAAGAAAGCTATTAGTTTTCACTTGTTTATTTGTAATGCAAGGCTATAATAAATTCTCATTCATTCTTATAGGATTTTAGACTAATATATGGTTGTATATTAGTAAAATATTTTTATGCAAATATTTTTATCTCTATCCTATTCCTTTACCTAATTCCTATTTTTTTCTGTCTCATCAACTTCACTTAAGCTCTTAGAAAATAAGAAAACAGAAGTGTTCATAAAGGGGATACTTTTGATATTCCTAATTTTAGTGGGGTATTTACTTTTGACCATTTCATATAAGATTGACTCCTAGGCAGGTTTGAGATAAGTATTATTCGTCATGTTTGGAAAATATTCTTCTCATTAAGTTTTATTTTTTGTGTTTGTTTTGTGCCCTCCTTTAAATAAAAAATGGATACTGAATTGTATTAAATATCTTTTGAAGCACATTAATAAGAATGATAATTACAATGGCCATCCTTCACTGTGGGAAGACGATTGTCTCTCTCCTTTCTTCTTTGTTTTCTTCCCTGTGGTGTGCTGGCCTAAGTCACTGTCCTAGCCACACACCGTGTGTTCTAGGCCTGTTCAACCTCAGGCATTGTGAGCAAATGCTTTCTTTCTTATCATGCCTCAATTTATTTTTTGATACTAGAAAAAATGGTCTTTAAATTGTTATTTCCCAGAACATAGAAAAAATTCTCTTACGTTTGCAAGACAACCAGAGAGAGACCCAAAAACAACCTCTAAAATATTGGTCCCCTATGTGGACTTTGGATGAAAATGTTTAATGATCAGCATTAGGGGCAACAAAACAAGGCTAAACTAAAGAAAGAGAAATTTTCCTATCTCTATTATTATTATTCCAGGACTTGTGAACTCATCTCTGTCATCCCCATCTTTTCCTCCTTTCATCTCCAGTTGATAATCTGACAAGACAGAGAACAAAACCTCTATTTGTCTATTTTTATTATATAGAGAAAATAATATCTGTGTTGGTGGGGTGGGGGCAAATAGTCAGAGCTATTGGATGTCTATGTGATAACTGCATTAAAAATGCCAAGCAAATCTTGGCCTCTCTTTCACTTCCTGGTTTCTTATGTTTAGGTGGGTCAATTGGTTGAGAGATTCTCTCTGTCTTTGTTCATTTGTCTCTTTCTTCCCCATGTCTTTCTCTCAGCACAGAGAAGAAGTTACACTTTTGCACTGTGATGAATCCAGTACTTGAGTCCCAAATTTTACAAGAAATAACTCTATTCAATAATAATGTTTAGTAATAGTGCTTTTACCATTTATTCCTGCTATGGTTCCCTCAAGAAAGACTCTAGGAATGAGTAGGTGCATGATTTATGGGAAATGATACATCTAATGTTTTTGCTTTCATTGTTATTTTTTCCAAGTAAAATCTGCTTTATACAGTAACACTATTGTGCAACCTCTGCTTTATTTAGTTTATACTTTCCAGGTTTTGAGATTTCTTAAGTCTTGCTTTTCATTTTTCTGAGATTTTTTGCTTATGGGTCACTTTTGAGCATAGCATAGAGTATATGTTGTCTCTCTCTCTCTCTCTCTCTCTCTGTGTGTGTGTGTGTGTGTGTGTGTGTGTGTGTGTATCTTTTGATAGGGAAGTTTAACCTACTTGCATTTATTCTCATAGCTGATTAGCTTGGTTGTCTGTCACCTTATTTTAGGCTCTGGTTTTAATATTTTTTCCCCCTTACTGTCTCCCATGAGGTCCATGTTTAGCTATAGTGGGAGAGCAGAAATATTATGGACAACTCATTGCACTCTATCAGGTGGTTCACAATTTCTATTTTCCTTATTACTGATTATCTTTACTCATTTGACTGAGGTGTTATTATTCAGCCTTCTCCACAGTAAAGTTGCACTTTTTCCATTTGTATTTAAGAAGTATTTTGTAGAGAAATACTTTGAAATTCTGTATAGATCATATTCTTCATAAAACTTTTTAAATATTTCTGTCAACTAATCATTTTCCATATCATTCCATGGATTATAATCTATTAACACTGTTATTTATTTTAATGCTCAAATTGCCCCCTCAATTAGGCAGTGGGAGTTCCTTTAAAATGGCACCTGCATCGTTTTGCTGTATCACCATAATTTCTTGCACAGTAAAATGCTCAATATTTACCTTGTATTTTTCCTGCTCCAGTCCTGAATCAGCCACTTCTCCAAGAAACCCTTTTAGTGGAGAATGGTATTTAGAAACCAAAATCTGGGTGCCAGGTGTGCTCATTACTATTGAGGTATTGCTGCTTTCCAGCATTCTCATTGGACAGAGCTAGCAAATATATGTAAACACACATACACACAAGCGCACACACATTTTTAAAGGTCAGAATCCGATGGCAATGCCAGCATCCAGGTGTCCACCCACTGCATGCAACAGAAGGACTTTGGCAGAATTACTTTGGGAGGGCAGGAGGCAGGAGAGAAGCCAGTAACTTTCCTTGGCATAGTGAGGAATATTCCTTGAAACAGAGCCAGCTTGATTTGGGAAGTAACTGTTCTGGGAGCCTTGAAGTCTGAAAAGGTGAATCTGGAATCCATTTAGAGTGTCTGTGGCATTGAAAAATGTGATTAGTGATGTGGAGAGCCAGGTTGAGAAACAGAATGTTGAGCAAAGGAAAATAATCAGAAAAAAAATGTTGACCGCTTAAAAGTAAAGGCAACAGAGATCCATTGAAGAACAAACCATATGAAGTAGAACAGAAATAATACAGAGAGGCATAAAAGCACACTATTTTGTCCTAAAAAAGATCTGAATTTGGGTACTTAAAGAAGTCCAGGGCTATCCGCAAAACAGTAAATATAGACCAATGCATACAAATAAAATTTTCAACTACCAGTACTACAACTACTATGATTACTGCTAGCTGTACATATACATTTCTGAATATACGTGTTACTCTCTGATACCAACACCCGCCTTAGGCCTTTAGACTAGGGAATGTTCCTGGCGTTTATTATCTCCTCTGTTGTTTTCTTATGAAGTCACATTGTTTTCTTGGCTTTCTGGGGAGAAATTTTGTAGGAGCCCTGGGTGTCCTTTTAAAACTTGATTTCATCTGTAAAACATCTAGTGGAAATTCTTGGACTTTTCCATCATTTGCAAGGCAATCTTTCCTAATTTATAACACTAGGACAAGTTTTATAATGATGATGATGATGATTTTGCTTTTCCTTCATTGTAAAAGTTATTTGGTAAATTCCCTCTTTTGAAATTGGAAAGGAAGGGGTCAAATATCTCCTCTCATGCCACTAAATTTTGCAGACATCTATTTGATCTTTGTACATTTCCTTTTATTATTATTATTATTATTATACTTTAAGTTCTAGGGTACATGTGCACAACGTGCAGGTTTGTTACATATGTATATATGTGCCATGTTGGTGTGCTGCACCCATTAACTCGTCATTTGTCATTTACATTAGGTATATTTCCTAATGCTATCCCTCCCCACTCCCCTCACCCCACAACGTTTCCTTTTAACTACTCTGATAAGATGAAGAAAATGTCACAGCCAAGACAGGAAAGTAGATTAATGTAAAGTTAGCTTCTCCTGTAATATCTTTCTCTCAGAATGAATTGGCACAGACCGTTGACCACTCAGAAAGCCTTACTCCTTGATGACAAGTGGAAAGTAAATGCTGGTCATTGGTTATTTGGCTCAAGTTTCCCCAGAGGTGAGCTCTGGACAGTGTACTAGGCTTACAAATAAGGACCCTCTTGTTTATCTCTTGTCCATTTAGAATGGTAGATTTAAAAAATTCCCAAGCAGTCTATGGCAGTCTCACTTAACACAATGTTTCTGGCCTTTTAAAAGCTCTGAAAAGTTTTGCTTTGTTTTGTTTCAGTGCCACTGTTGTGGTTAATGGAATATTGTTAGGAATTAAAAACAGAACTTGACTTCAAGGCCAAAAGCTGAAATTCTGATAACAAAAGTCCACCAGAAGATCAAATCTCTTAAAAACTGTGGTGCATTCCTGTGAAAATCCAGATTCTGAAAAGGTAAAAAAAGATCTGACCTTCAAAAAAGAGAATGTTCTCTGAAGATAATATTTTCTCAGCAAAAAACTTGAGCTCTAGCTTCTCTTCCAAAGATAAGTATATTAAAAAGATTTCTAGAGTTCTCAGCTATTACTGCAAGATTGACCACTTAAGGTTACATGGTTATAGAAAATTCATTACACCAAAACTTCCAAAACTGAGTTTTGGAAACAAAACACTACTTAACTCTTGATTATGTGACATATATGTTTCTATGTCTCAGTTTACTCATTTGAATAATGAAATAATTTTATCTGTCCTGCCTTCTTCACAGGATTGTTTTCAGAATCAGATACAGTAATGGAAATTAAGATCCTTTGTAAAGAAAAAAGAAAAAAAAAACACTACACAGATGAATAGTATTATTTCACTACGATTACTGTCCTAGCATCTTCCTAAATTGATTCTGAGTCCTATAACTAATTTCAGCATGTGGGCCTAGAACTCAGTTCTGCAATTTCTTGAAATGGGCAGTTTATCCCGAAGCATTTGCTTTGATTTCAGAAATAGAAAATGAAAAGAAAAAATGATTCATAGGGGAAGTTAAGAAATGATAAGATTAGAGTCAGTCATGCAACATAAAATTACAGAAATCTAAGAATTGAACTTGATTTTGGATGTGATCTAAGCTAGTGGTTGAAATCTTTTTAACTGTGTAAACGTTTATACAAATGAAATTTACTCAGAGGCCCTATGTGTGAATCAGGAAGCATCAAAGCTGCTCTGCTGAAGCAGTCGGCCCTGGGCCCCTCTTCCTGGTTTTCTGTGCTCTGTTGAAGGGCTCAGTTTAGAAGCCATCGATTTTCTTCAAAATGCTTTATTTAGCTACAGGATCCTTGTTCAAGTATGCCTTACTTGAAGTTAGAGGCCCAGTGCCAACAACAGATAAAGGAGTCATTGCTCTGTGGAAGCATTTGGGAGTTTTGGGGCTCATTTCTCCTGCCACACAGTTTTAAGTGGCCCTGAGAGAAGGGGTTCCATCTAGCACAGTTAGGAAAGCTTTGATCTCATTCACTCTTTCATCCAATCAAAAAATAACTTGGATAGCATCTTTGGCTAGCGGTCATCCATTGACTGCTGTTCTCTCTCACTCCTTAAAGAGGCAGCATACTCTGACATTCCACGGTTCTAGCTGTTTAAAAAATCATCCTGGGGTGGGGCTGAAAGCACAGTGCCTGCAGTGCAAACACACTGCCCCTGGCTGTGTCACTCAGAGCCTCTCAGACTCAGTTACACTTTCTTCTCTATGGTTGCTCCCCATGTTTTTGGAGTCTTTACATCTTCTCTCCAGTGCAAACATTTCTCGTTTCCTCCATTTTCTCCAACCTCCTCATTATGCTTGCTACTTGCCATGGGGCTAAGTGTTCATCAATATCCTTCTTAACATGTGGGACTCTGACATGCACCCAACACTCCAGAGCTGGTCTCCTCTACACATGTTCACTAGAAGCATTGCTACCTGCAAACTGCACATTGTACATCATCTTTTAAGGTAACTATAGCTCAGAGTCCATTTATTGAAGAGTTGTTGTTTATTGAACCCCTTTCAAGTTCAATAAACAGTACACTGGGCTGTGATTTGTTATGAAGTGTGAGAAGTCTACCACTGTCATTAATGCATGCTAGCAGGAGATGATGTTGTAAAATTTTATCCTACACACTTTGCTTTTTTCGCTGAGTTTTCTTTACTCCTTTAATGCTTTCTTCTTATTTAAGTTGCTATTGAACTGCCTATCAGCTAGTTATCAAGGCGGCCCAATAACATTGTTAGATCTTAGCAATCTTCTCTTGTGTAGTCATCAGGTAGGGGCTAGAGGTCATCACTGAGATTTTTCACTGACCAATGAATGGGCCTCACCTGGGCCCAAACACTTAACCAGCCAGAATTGTGGAAAAGTCTTGAACCTGTTTAAGAAAGTTTTAGCTTCTTCACAGTTGTACAGTCCATCAAAAATAAATAAATCAGTATATTTTAGAATTTTCAGATTAGGAGTTTTTGACTTTCACAATAGTCACCCAATGCCCTTTTAGCACCCCAGATGGAGACATTTTGAACTAATCCAATATTGGAATTACATTAAACAGTTTAGGAGAGTCTGTGAGTATAGTAGCAGCGGAGCAGGGTGTTACTGCTTTTTAAAAATATCTCAAAGGTCCACATGTGTAATAATATTTACTCTTGTTTTAAGCATTCTTTCCTGGGTCTCTGTGGAGTTGTGAGCTTTGAGACACAAAAGAAGGAAAAGAGAAGTAAACAGTTTCTACAGCAAGTAGAAGACTAATAATTCTGAAACCATCTTCCTCCCTAGGGTGAAAATTGGGGTCTTCTACTGAGAACCTGTAGTGGAAAAAACAGCAGTTAAACCATCTCCCTTTTGCAATTGTCTCTCATTTCTGAGATCACACTGTGTGGTAATTCTAAAACCTCTGAATGGAAATTGCTGCCATCATTATGTAATCCCTCTAAGCCATCAGTAGCACCTTTGGCTCCCCGTTTTGTTTTCATAATTCTAAATACACAATTTAATGAGTGACAGAGCTAGATGAGAAGTCCCCAAATAATGAAATCCAAGAAGGGAACGGCTGGCTGCAACCTTGGCTAATGCCAGTCTTTTTGTTGATCCAGATATTGTCCTCCATGTCTCCCCCTCCTGTTAGTCCAGGAACTAACCCATTGACACAGAAGTTACTTTGTGACTTTATCTATAACAAGCAGCATAATGCAGCTTGTGAGCATAAAGCAGCATAGTGAGCATTTAGAATGCACATCTAGTTTTCAATATGTCAAATCTAAAACTTTTCACCACAAAGTTAAAAAAGGAAGCAAATCAGTGAAAAACAAATGTTGGGGGTCAAAATATTGAAAAGGTTTCTGCAGTTATGTAGAAACATTTTTTGCTCGGTCAGTTATCAGCAGATGGATGCATATCTTGAGTCATTTAAGCAAAGCCAGACTGTACTTGTCCAATACATGACTATTTCCTGTTTTGGGGTCTAGCTTAGATGACCCTGTCTTCTGCTTTCTAGTTCTGATTTTCATAAAATCAAATTCCTCATTTTATCTTTGGACTTTCTTCTTTGGGAGCCAATGCTGGTTGCCTTCCTTCTGGGTAAACTGATATTTTAGGGGTGAGGGGATGCAGGGATAATGTGTTGGTAGAAAGGATTTTTAAATAGCGATGCCTAGGGGCCACTTCCAAAGACAGAGAACTTGAGCTCTTCAGGTGGAAAGGAAGCTCGGTGAGGAAGGTAGAGGTCTGTCTCTACTCATGCCCCAAGTTCATTGAACCCTTATCTTTTCTGGATAAACCTAGAGTTGTCACCCGATCCCCCGATCGTAGGAGCTCCCTGAGAACCACAGGGCTATCGGAGCCAGGAGGCTGGGAATTAACAATGAGGTTAAGTAAATAGATAAAGCGCTGACATTGGTTTTATGATTATTATGTTAAAGTTTTTACATGCATTAGCCTCTCTAATGCTTACCACAACATCATGTTATTACTGAAGGACAGAGGAGTACAATAGATATAAACCCACATGTTCTAGAGCAGGGCTGCCTTGAATAAGCTGAGTGACCCCGGGGGAGTTGCTTTACCCCTCAATGGCACAGATTTCTCATCTGTGAAATAAAAGTAAAAACATCAGCCCTAAGTGTTCATACCCAATTTACAGACAAGGCAACAGAAGTTTAAGACCTTACTCATGATCTCATGATAAGTAAGCACTGAGATTTGAGCCCAGGGAGTCGAAGTCTTTATAGTTGACCATGATTCTATCTGGCCTGTGGCAGTTACATTTATAAATTGTTTTCTCCTTTTTAATTTTCTCACCCTGAAATAGTATCTAAGGCTGTGCTTCTACCACTGGGATATAATAAGATGGTTCTAGTGGAATTAAGCAGCTGTCTATGCATTTTGGTCAGCTATTCCCAAAGTTTTTCAGCTCCTAAGCCCCTTCCCAGAATAGATCCCATAGATTTCTTGGGTATGATGTGTGAAAGGCTTCTTGCTCACATCTGGGATGTGGTATTTCTTTAGCCACTGCTGCATAATAAGTTACAACAAAACTTAGTAACTAAAACAATAATATGCATTTATTACTCACATGTCATTTGAGTATATGAACCCAGGCGCAGTTTAGCTTGGTGCTTCTGGTTCAGTGTCTCTCCTGAGGCTGCAGCCAGGATGTCAGCCTGAGCTGCAGGCACCTGAAGGTGACAGGGGCTGGAGAAGCCACTTTCCAGATGGCTTGCTCATGTGGCTGTGGGCAGGAGGCCTCAGTTTCCCACCACATGGACCGCTCTGTAGAGTTGCATGACTATTTTCATGATTTGGCCGCTGACTTTTTCCAGAGCAAGTGATCTGAGAGAGAAAGAGAGGGCAAGGCAGAAGACACAACGTCGCATGCTGTCACTTCGGCTGTATTCCACTAGTCCCACAGACCAGCCCTGGTATCATGTGTGGAGACAGGGGGTGGGGGCCTATAGCATGGATTACACCGGAGGTGGGGCTTATTGGGGTCCATCTTAGAAGCTGACCTTCTGTCTTATCCTTGTGGGTCTAGTCATCGATTGCAAGTGAAAGATAATTGACTTACATAACCCCATATTTTCCTAAAAATTGTTGTGATTCTTCGTGGTACATAGCATATTGTGGGTCAGTTTTCTCCCCTGGAAGTGGAGAGGATGTCATTTAAACAGTTGATGACCCTTCTTCACACGCCTCTTCTTTCTCAGATTGAGACAATCGAGGAAGGAGATCACCTGAAGTGAGTAAGCTTTCATGGCAAGGGAGGTGGAGCAGATGTAGGAGGGCACAGCACATGTGGTGTCTGGAGAAAAAAAGACTGGCATGCTTAGGGTAGCTCCTTATTACCAAAGACAAATAAAGATGGCATTGCACCCACGGAGTGTCCACAAAGTCTGGGAACATAGGTGAATATGCATAATAGTATCAAAGGCATATTCACTTTGTAGAAGAAACTATGTTTCCAGGATTTACGGCCACACACTTTTTTTTTTTTTTTTTTTAGACAAAGTCTTGCTCTGTCACCCAGGCTGGAGTGCAGCAGCTCTTTCTCAGCTCACTGCAACCTCTGCCTCCCAGGTTCAAGTGATTCTCCCACCTCAGCCTCCCAAGTAGCTGGGATTACAGGTGCTCACCACCATGCCTGGCTAATTTTTGTGTTTTCAGTAGAGACGGGGTTTCGCCATGTTGGCTAGGCTGGTCTCGAACTCCTAACCTCAGGTGATCCACCCTCCTCGGCCTACCAAAGTGCTGGAATTACAGGCATGAGCCACCACACTCAGCCTCTTTTTTTTTTTTTTTTTTTTTTTTTTGAGACAGGGTCTCTCTCTGTTGCCCAGGTTGGAGTGCAGTGGAGCGATCATGGCTCACCTCAGCCTCAACCTCCTGGGCTCAAGTGATCCTCCTGCCTCAGCATCCAGAGAGCTGGGACTACAGACGCATGTCACCATGCCCTGCTATTTGATTATCTTTTTGTAGAGAAGGGGGATCTAGCTATGTTGCCCAGGCTGGTCTTGAACTCCTGGCCTCAAGTGATCCTTCTGCCGTGGCTACCAACACACACATTTTAAAAATGCATTAAATAGAAGTTTCAGGAGGCTTTGACTCTCAAATAAGATGCATTTAACATGGACATCTTATTTGTTTTGAGAGTCAAAGGCTCCTAAAACTTCTATTTAATGCAGTTTTTAAATGGATTGATATCAAAGTTAACTGGGGAAGACTCTCTTCCACAATTTTTAATTATTTAGCCTACACTTTATGTTTTCTTTTTTTTAACTAGGTTCTAATTGCTTGAAATTTAATGCATTTTAGACTTGTAGTCTCCTTCGTTTCATGTCTGCTTGTCTTGGAAAAATGTTTGCATATAAAGTGAATTCTGTCTTAGGGATCTGCTTTGCTGTGTCTAGTCTTCCCTGCATATGTTCAGAGGGCAGAGCCTACCTCATTCTCTCCTCCCTTCTCTAACCCTCTGTCTGCCCACAGGCCCACTGCAAGGAGGAATGTAGTGAGGGTTCCTTTTGATTAAAGGGACTGGACTGCATTCCATAGAGAGCACACAATATCAAATTGCTAGACTGCAGCATGCTAGGGAAAACCAATATTGGTGGAGGACTAACTATATTGCAATTTCAAGAGACAGTCCCAGCCCCTTGTTGCCCATGGTCTTCATGCTGCACAATAAGAATCTCTAGGACAAAATCCTGGAAGATCCTATTAGATTCTACTACCCTCCGCTGAATGACTAGGACTTCTTGAACTGATCATGCTAGGTTTGTAAACCTTGCTTTCTTAATATTTTTGCTTTGGGTGCCCTTTTAAAAATGAGTCATCAAGAGTCTAAAATATAACCAGCTGTTTGGAATGTAAGAACATGGGTTATTATATTAACTCCAAAGTGTAGAGAGGCAAATTGTAGGTACGTAGTTTCATTTCAAGATCTGGTTCCTTCGGGTCTTTCTTTCCTTCTTCCTGTCTCCAGTTTCCCTTCCTAATACTAACTCAATTATTTCCCAGGGCCAAACTAAATTGTTCTCTTTGTCAGCCCATTTACGTCTAAAGAAGCCTGTCTGTTTTTCTTAGCCTGTGAACTTCAGGTTTCATTCAAATCTACTCTTAGAAGCTTCTGGACATCCTTGTCAGCAAAGCCCACTGATTTTCCTGGACCAGAAATTTCCCTAACTGTCTCTGTAAGTAGAGTGACTTGTTCTCCTGGGACGATTCCAGTTTCTGTGTGTTGTTTTGGCGTGATTATTAAGAGTGGACTTCTTCGGTCACAAAGGTGTTTTGGTTTTGACAATAAATTATACAGTCACTTTACTTATAAGGCACCTTTCTTATTAGTTCACAGGATAAAATACTGGGCAGGCAACTGTGGGAGATGCTTACTGAGATCCTATTTCCTAGCAAAATAGAACAATACATCTCATGTAAAATTTTAATCAGTCCATGCTTTGGGGTTAATATCATCTCCATTTTTCTAATGAGGAAGTGAAAGCTCAGAGAGGTTAAGTAACTTGCCTAAGGACACCAAGACAGCTCATTGCAGAGATCATGACCTGGACCCAAACTTTCCTTCCTTCATAGACCACTTTTTCCATATGTCCTCCATCACCACTGTCATCCTAGTCAACATGGACGCAAAGCCAGACTTTTCCTTTCTTTCTTTTTTGAGACAAGAGTCTCACTCTGTCGCCCAGGCTGGAGTGCGGCGGAGCGAACTCGGCTCACTGCAACCCCCGCCTCCTGGGTTCAAGTGATTCTCCCTGCCTCAGCCTCCTGAGTAGCTCAGATTACAGGCACCAGCCACCATGCCCGGCTAATTTTCTATTTTTAGTAGAGACAGGGTTTTGCCATGTTGGCCAGACTGATCTCAAACTCCTGACCTCAGGTGATCCGCGTGCCTCAGCCTCCCTAAGTACTGGGAGTACAGGCATGAGCCACCGCGCCTGGCCCAGACTTTTTCTTTCTCTGTGACGTCCTTTGTTGTTGTTGTTGTTGTTACTCTCACTTTTGTTTTTCCTATAACTCCTGAAGACAATCATCGAGATATTCCTCATCTTCCACCGACCTCTGTAACATGTGGCACGCAGCATACAACAATGCATGTAAAATGAGTTCTGCCTGCCTGCCATGATCTAGAGAATGTGCTCAAGGAAATCGTAGTTGTAAACAAGGTTGCCCTACACTCCTCTGCAGCTGCTTTCCTCTTCAGAACCAAGGGAGGTCTATAGAGGGAATCCTGAACCCTCAGCAATTTCATCGACAGTAATTTGCAACAGGGATGGGCAAAGGTTTGTAACAGGTGAGACATTATATTAAATAGTGGGAAAGTAATTTAAGTCATTTTTCCCTACCTGCCTCATCTGTGAACCAGGAGTCAAGAGTTCCTTAGCTCACAGAGCTGTAACTGACATTATATGCTCAGCACACAGTCTGATGCAAAGTAAGGGCTCATGAAATGTGATTGCCTTTCTTCTTTACCCTCCGAATGTTTGCTACTGCATTTTCATGTACCCTGAGAGGTTTTGGGGAAAGGAGAGAAATAAATATAAGTTGTGAAATTTACAAACAAAATTAGAAAAAAATTATTTTTTCATTCAAAGAAAATAGCTCTTGGCCTTGTACAGCAAATATGTGGGCCAAGACCCTTTTTTGGCCCCCTCAAGCCCTGGAAAAATTTAGTTTACTCAATACGGAGACAACTTCCTTGCGGAATACAGGGTTAGTGGGGGCTCCCTGGGCACTGCCTGCTATCAGGTGAGGTCCACCCAGACTCGGGCAGTGAAAAGGGGTCTATTTACTTTTACATTTTCGATCACAACAGCTGATGGGCAAGAGTTAGGTGAGATGGCCAGTCGTCATTCTGACCTCATCTGTGCACACTGACACTGTCATTGTCCCCAGAGGTTCTGTGGAGGTAACAGAATGTGAGCTTCGAATGTGCCAGCCTGCCTAATTCAGAGGCTTGTGAGAAGCCATCTCCTTTTTTGTGAGTTAGTACAGAGGCTCAGGAGAAAGTGTGACTCGAGGCTGAATCCTTGCATCCAAGGGACGGGAGCGGGCAGTGTAGGTGGCAGAGCAGAAGCCAAGAGCAGAGCCCAGGTCAGAGTCTGAAGGAGGAGGGAGGCAGCTACAGTCAGACAGGGAGGGTGCAGACTTCAGAGTCTCCAGGCCTGCCAGGGGGCCCCTGCAGTACCTGAAGTCTCCTGGCAGCTCCAAACAACAGCTAGTCCTAAGCCATGGAGAACATTTCATTTCCTAGAATTCCTCTAAGGAGACATGATCCTGATAGGAAACTCTGATGTGAGTTTCCTCAGAAGGTAGGATTCGGGTCCCCGGGTGTGTCTGTTGGAAATCATCACACTTTTGTGAGGATTAAATGAGATATGTGTGAGGTGCTTAGACAGTGGTGGGCTCGATGGGGAGTGCTATGCAGAAATTTGCTACACCTCATTGCTGCTGCTTATGTTGTTGCTATCATCACTCAGCCACTGACTGCTGCTCCTTCTGTTGCCCTTTTTAACTTTTCTACTGCTGATATGGAAATGGTTTCTTGTTTTCTTTTTACATTAATTAATTTATTGTCATTATTATTATTATTATTATTATTATTATTATTATTTTGAGATGGAGTCTCCCTCTGTCACCCAGGCTGGAGTGCAGTGGCGTGATCTCGGCTCACTGCAACCTCCACCTCCCGGGTTCAAGTGATTATCCTGCCTCAGCCTCCCAAGTAGCTGGTATTACAGGCATGCACCACCACTCCCGGCTAATTTTTATATTTTTAGTAGAGATGGGGTTTCACCATATTGGCCAGACTGGTCTCGAACTCCTGACCTCAGGTGATCTGTCTGCCTTGGCCTCCCAAAGTGCTGAGATTACAGGTGTGAGCCACCACACCTGGCCTTTTTACATGAATTTAAATTATACAAAGTTCATGAACAATCTCCTGGTAGATTTTTTAAATATTGTAGATAAGACAGAAGCTTTTACTGCTCCGAGTGTTGTACCTTTCCCATCTCCAGAGAAGTAACCACAATTTTCCATTTTCAATAGTGTATATATATTTTTCCAGAAAATATACTCACAGGATATTCACAGAGATATATTTATACTCCTGTACATAACAAGGAGTGTATATTTACATACACATATTTGACATATAGCAAATGCCTGCGTAGCACTCTCCATTGTGCCCACCACGGTGCTAAGCACCTCACACATATCTCATTTAATCCTCACAAAAGTGTGAAGATTTCCAACTGGCACACCCGGGGCCCGGAATCCTACCTTCTATATAAAGTCCCATCAGAGGATATGTGTGTATTTATTCCTATATAAAAGGAATATATGTACACACACGTCACTGTTCTCTTTATCTCTAGGCACACTCACTCATAGGAAATAGATGGCATTGTTACTTGTGTATAGTCTTTTAAATAATTGTTAAATATTGAGCTACCAGTCTGTAACCTGCTTTTTGACTCAGTAATACATTTAGAAGATGCCTCTGCATCAACGGGAAAAGATCCACTTCCTTCCCTTAAACTGCTGTGGAGTAACCTACAGAATGGCTGTAACTAATTTAATTTGACACTCCACTGCTGAAGGAGATTTAGGTTGCTTCAACTTTTTCCTGATTACAAGTTATACTGCCAGTAAATATCCTTGCCTATATGAATGAGGGCTTCCGTAGGGAACTTCTGTACCACACAGGATACATTGAACTAAGTTGAAATATAAATGAGCAGCAGAGAGAAAATATTTGCAACATATATAACAAGCTGTGACATATATTGCAGTTCTGGATTATGATCCAGAATCATATAAAGAATGCTTACAGATCAATAAGGAAAAGGCAGAAAGAACCAGAGAAAACAATGAAAAATGGGTAAAGGGCACAAACAGGTAATTCTGAGAAGAGAAAATTAAATGATTGATAAATATATAGAAAAATGATCTTCCTTTCTTGCCAGCAGGGAAATACAAATAGTAACAGAATATCTTTCATGCACTAATTTCACAGAAATTAAGATCCTGATGCTATCCAGTGCGTATAAGAGTAGGAGGAAGCAGGTTTTGTAATCCACCACTGGTAGGAGCGTAATTCGACAATTCACTACTTTTTTTCCATTTATCTTTTATTTAATTGTTTAATTTTCTTAAATTTTAATTGCCAAATAATAATTGCATATATTTATAGGGTACAATGTGATATTTTGATATATGTATACATGGTAGAAAGATGAAATCAAGCTAACTAACATATCCATCGCCTTACCTACTTTTTTGTGGTGAGAATGCTTAAAATCTACTCTTTAGCAATTTTGAAATGTGTGTTATTATTAACTATGGCATCATGCTGTGCAATAGACCACTAAAATGGATTCCTCCTGTACAACAGAAATTTTAAAACCTTTGACCGGCGTCTCCCCTTTCCCATCCTGCACACTCCCCAGCCTCTGGCTTTTAAAGCAGGACACCCAGGGGCCCAGCATGCCTCCTGCCCCCACTGCCAAATTCCCTTCCACCTGCAGATTCATGGCTCCTTTCAATGTGCCCCTTTCAGCCCAGGGGCTCTGCAGGGTGGGGAAGTGTGGGGAGGGAAACCTTGATCAGCCTGGAGGCAAATACCAAATGCCCAAATACCAAATAACTGTTCTCCTCCCAATCCCAGGCCATGTGGCTGATAGCTAATCACCCCTCATTCCTTCCCCACAGGGTAGAATTTTTCTCCAGATTCCTCCAGGATCCCATTATAGTATAGCTTCTTTCATCCTCTCTACGCCTCCTCCACCAACATGTTCAAGGCAGACTGCCCGAGTTCAAGTCTCACCGTGTGACTGTGACTCCCTTGTCTAACTCACCTAGGTTTCCTCCCCTACCTAATGGGAGGCTATTCAGGGCACCTGCCTTATGGGCTGATGGTGATTACGTGATGAACTACGCCATTAAAACATCAGAAGAGGGCCTGGTATGAGCA
Source organism: Homo sapiens (assembly GCF_000001405.40). Lineage (NCBI taxonomy): Eukaryota > Metazoa > Chordata > Mammalia > Primates > Hominidae > Homo > Homo sapiens. The sequence goes on along the minus strand of NC_000007.14, from coordinate 41,467,449 downwards.
AGAGCTCAACAAGGTTAGCTTCATCAACTGTCTCAAGCCTATCTGTGGATGAGGTTTAAATTATTCAGTGGGAAACTCCTAATCCCCCCTCTCCCCAGTAAAGCAAATGCAGTGGGATCTGGGGAAGGAGATGAGAGCAAAGGGAGTATTCGTATCCAGCATGGGCCTAGTGCTCCTTTCTACTTCCTCCCGTGAAGTTTCAACTTTCTTTAGGTCATTATGTTTTATTTTTTGCATGTACCACAAACCACAGAATAGGACCAGTGACTTGTATACCACGTACTTTAAAGATGTAAGGTATGTGTTGATCACACAATGGGTGAATACTTGAGGGCTGGCAGGAGCAGGAAATGTGAGGTACAGAGCTCTTGTGAAGAGAAAAAGACAACTTGGTATAAGGAGAGTGGAAATGCAGTGGGAGGAGGAGGAAAAGTGGTAAGAAATGACAGGTGACAAAGGCATGCTACAAAGTTCAGTGACTGACATTAAGTGGGGTAGGGGACAAATATTTGCTGAGCACTTGCTCTGTGCCAGACATGTACTGGGCGAGTTCCTATATGTCACATGTAACCCTCACAATAATAATGAGGTCATTTTGGCCAAACTCATTGCTTGTGTTTGTTTGCATTTGTTTTGTTCTGAATGAAGAAACAAGGCTATCCAAACGTACCTCTGACTGATCCCCGATACTCTACTGCACCTGTTTTCTAGGAAACCTTCTTGAGAACTTTAGGTAGGGGATGGTAGATTACATGTAAAACCAAGAATGGAAGAAAGAATTAATTCTCTGGCAACAGCAGGATGAAAGCACTTTTGTGCACCAATGATTAGCAGATGTTGATCTGGGGTTGCAGTTATTGATGGAAGAGGAAAGTGGGCAAAGGGTTAAAAGAGAGAAGCAAAGTGGAGATAGGGGATTTAGGAATCGTTTACCAAGAAATCTACAAGAGAAAATGAGAAAACACAAAATGCTTGAAGCAGTTTTAAGCAAGTTGGAAGCAGAACCCCCCAAAAAGCCAAATAGGTCGGAGTAAGGTGAAAGAGAAAGTAATCAAAACTGTTACAGAAGAAAATAAGAACAAGGAGCCATGGGTTTGAGTTGAGGATGCGTCTGAATAGCCATCTGCTAACCTTAGCCTGAAGGAGAATAGCCCAAAATTCATGCTCACTTAATAAGGACAGAAGGACTAGCTGATTTCATAGACACAGTGGCATTGACAGAGGGTGTTATTTCAGTAGATTTGTTATATTGTTTTCCAAAACCAAAGGCACAGTGCGGTGCTGTGAAATAGAGTTTTTCAGAAGACTCTGATTTTCGGTGGCACAGTGTTTCCTGGCACTGTGGTAGTCGAGTAAAGGGATGCTTGGTTGTCATTACCTGGAGAGCAAATTGTGGCTGATTTCAAATGGAAAGATGCTGATGCCATGTAAGCAGCACCCCCCAAGCAGTTACAACTCCTCCACTTTTGATACTACAAAAAGGAAATCAGTACTATCCACTGGCATAGCAAAATTTTCTTACCTTCTAAATTGGTTCCCTTTGCTCTTTCTGTGAAAATGCCACACAGTCCGTAACCTTCTAATGTCCACATTGCTGGGAATTATTAGGAGGACAAAAGTTCCCAGGACAAAGTTTCACGCTTTATGCAAACACAGCCTCATTTCTATTATTTTCCTTTTAACCCTGAGCAATTAAGCTGGAAACACAAACATGAATTTTATTTGTGATGACTTTGCGTGTCCTCTGACATGAACCTCATTCTCTTTGGGATCAGCAGAACCCTTACTGTCATGTACGGATGTCTTTGTTGCGCTCCTCCACTCTTGCATGATTAAGTCATTTATTAACTTGATAAAACATGAAGCTTGATTGTATAAGGCCAGAGTCAAAGTCCTGAATTACCATTCTTGTCTAAAACAAAACTCTAAATGACAAGTACTGGTTTGAGGAACATGACTTGCTCTTCTTCATGCCAGATCTCCTTGGGGGTTACTGCTGCACATATGTGGGTGAGAAAGGGCTTAATGGGGGGGATAGATTTTTTTTCCACCTGTATCCCATAAAACGTCCTGCAGATAACTGTGACCTAGTGTAACAAGAGATTTGGAAAAAGAATAAGAAGAATGTTAAGAGAATATGAGAAGAGAATGAAAGCAGAAAAAAAAAAATGTAGAAAGGCTCCAGAAAGATTCGTTTTTATTTTTAGTACTTGAAGATATCTGCAGATTTTCTTGTAATAACTTGGAAATAACTAGAATTAAACTGCCATCAGAGAAAGGAACACTGAATGGTTCAGAGATTATATAAATACCCTACAGAGAAAGATGTTACCTCATCCTCATCCTCATTAACTCTTTACCTGATTCATGAAATTAACATGACTAAAGAGAAAACAAGTTACTTGTATGTGGGATCTAGAAAAAGTTGAACTCATAGAAATAGGAGGAGGATGGTCACCAGGGGTCAGGGGTTGAAGTAGGGGAAATGGGGAAATGGCGGCCAAAGGACACGAACAAGTTATAAGATAAGTCAGTTCTGGAGATCTGTTATACAGCATGATGACTATAGTTAATAATACTGTATTATACACTTAAAATTCTCTAAGACAATAAATCTTAAGTGTTTTCACCACACACACGCAAAAGGTAACGACGTGAGGTGATGGATACATTAATTAGCTTGATTGTGGAAATCATTTCACACCATATACATATATCAAAACATCAGATTGTACACCTTGAATGTATACTATTTTTATTTGTCAATTATACCTCAATAAAGCTAGGGAAAATATAAGCTTAAAAAAAAAAAAGAAGAGAAAACAAGTCAATCCAGGGGGATGGTGAGAGAGATTGACCAGCCAAGAACAAATGAGTTACTAGGACACATAGTCATTGTCACTGGAGGAATATGTGGGGAGATGGAATAGTAACCAAAGGATTTTGAAGATTCCAGGCCCCCTGGCAAGACTACAGACTACCCTCTATGTGGGGATAGACACAGGGTATTGTAACCAATGGAGTTCAAAGATTGCTGAGCTTTTGGCAAATCCAACCCTGTGGTGAAATTGATTTTTACCTGATCCTTTCAAAGGTTCCATTCAAATTACTCTTCTTTATTTGGTTCCATGTTCACCCAAAATACCCTCTAATTATGCCCTTTGTCCCTGGGAAACTAAGCCTAGGGAGTGGAGTGACTATGCCCTGACCTTACAGACTTTGAACATGGAAATGCTTGCAGAGTCATTTGCATCATAAATCAATAGATTGGCACTTTGCATATTGCTATGTTATTACAGTGAGACAAGCAATACATATACGGAATCATACAGATGACAAGAATCCCTCTTTATGTGACACTTACTTCCATACAATTGATATGTTGGCATTCTTGTATATGCCTCAATCTGCCCACGAGAGTGGAAACATCATCAGTGTGTTTACAGAATCAAGCGTCTCTGCCTATATGTTTGGACTAGACTCAGAACCATGGAAAATTTCCCAAAGCAAGTGCCTCCCTGCTAGAGTTCTCTCAGAAAACCATCAGCTGACCTCTCAAGCTCTGAAAGCAGAGAGTTAAACTGTGCCCAAAGCAATGCTCAAGCCTTGTTTCTTCTAACTCAGGGAAGGGGCTGGAGCTGTAACTGTGACAGATACCATATGAATGCAGTGCCTGGGCTGGGTGGAACATCATCCATTCTTCTACAGCATCATTACTAAGTGTACAGATTGTTAGCTTATATCTAGACAGCCATGTGCAAAACATTGGGCAAAGGCCTTTATGTGCATCATTTCATATATCCTTCATAACAATTACAAGAGAAGGCTGCATTATTGCCCCGTCAGGGATTTACCTCTACTTTGATCATGACCCTTCTCCAGTGGAATTTCTGATTTTTCTGCTCTTTCTCCTTTCACAGATGTTAAATATTTATCTTCACTTAGACTTCTCCCAAATCTTACCACCCTTATAGACATTCTACTCACATCTTCATGAGACTCAAAACCCTTCTATTTTCTTTTTATAAATCCATACTGACCTGGACCTCTGCATTTATGCTATCGCCTACAAATAATGAAACCAGAACCCAGAAAAATTATGAGCATTTTCTAAGTAACACAGTGGTGCCACCGGGCATTGAACACACCAAGCTGCAACACAGTGGTGCCACCGGGCATTGAACACACCAGGCTACCTTTTGCCAGAACCCATGTGCCTACTGACTGTCTTGTTCTAATGACTCATTTCTTTTCTTTCTTTTTTAACACCTTTGGTTAGAGAATGATACCATTCAAGCTGGTGGCTCATGATCAACCTAATTGGCTAAACCACTCCATCTATGTCAGAGAGATGCTCTGCTCCCGGTTGAGTGTGACTGCATTTGAGTCTTCCCAAGCTCACTGTGGCTGGAGGGAGGGCTTCATGCACCACCAATAAAAAGAGACATTGCCATACTGACTGATATGCACACTGTGTGTGTGGAAGAATGCAAATACCAATATCATTTTATGTGAGGTCCACGGCTCTGTTATTTTCATCTGGACTTTAGCCCATAATTTCATTGCCATCAGGGATTTACCTCTACTTGGATCATGGCCGTTCTCCAGTGGCATTTCTGATTTTGCTTCTCTTTCTCCTTTCATAGATATTAAATATCTATCTTCACTTAAAATTATCCCAAACTTCATGTCCTTATAGGAACTCTACTCTCCTCATTTTAAGACTCAAAACTCTTCTACGTTCTTTTTTTTTTTTTTTTTTTTTTTTTTTTGAGACGGAGTCTTGCTCTGTCACCCAGGCTGGAGTGCAGCGGCGCGATCTCCGCTCACTGCAAGCTCCGCCTCCCGGGTTCACGCCATTCTCTTGCCTCAACCTCCCGAGTAGCTGGGACTACAGTTGCCCGCCACCATCCCCTGCTAATTTTTTGTATTTTGTTTAGTAGAGACGGGGTTTCACCGTGTTAGCCAGGATGGTCTCGATCTCCTGACCTTCTGATCCGCCCGTCTCAGCCCCCAGTCTACGTTCTTTTTATAGATCAATGCTCACCTGGATCTCTACATTGATACTGTCTCCCTCAAATACAGTCCCAGGACCTGATGTGCTCCATGCACCTCCAAGTGAACGATGAGCAGGTTTCCAAAAATTGTGTTGCTATGACACAACTCCCAGGCAAACAAATCTTGGGTGTAAGCGACTAATGTCAGAGAGCCTTCCCCTTCTCAGAGACAGACATTTGACTACTGTCTGGAAGTACAGCTGGAAGAGACTACACAGGGGAGCCTGTTTTATAGGTATGGAAATGGGCCCACTGAAGCCATTTGATTTTCCTTCCTTGCTAGCTAGTTGACAGGTGAGTATACAGAAAGTGTGGAACACATATTTATTGAATGAATACATGAATGAAATAATGGATGATGAATACATGCTTGACTATTGCCTCCATCTAGTACATTCTAAAACATAAACCATATAATATCTCCTTCTGCTTTCAACCCTCCATCAGCTTCCAGTTATTCTTGGTATAAAACAGAGATAATTTACCATGACCTCTAGGGACCTTTGTGATCCCTGACTGCCCATCAGACCCAGTCTCTTACACCTGGCTGCCTCCTTCATTCCATTCCAATTCTAGTGACTTTGTTGCTCTTCAGATATTCCAAGTGCATTCCCATTTCAGGTCTTCATGGATGTTAGCCATACTGCCTGGAATAATTTTCCCTCAGACCTTCACGAGACTTAGTGCTTTAGCTCATTAGGTCTCTGCTCCATGTCACCCCTTCAGGCAGGTATCATTTATGTCTGTCTTTCCTACTCAACCAGAAGCTTCATGACATGGCCTGCCCTAGTTATATCTCCTGGACCTGCATCTCTAACACTGTGCATGGAACATATTTATGTCCAATCAACATGTGTTGAATAAACTAATGAGACCACATTGCCTCCACAATAAAATATTATATGATCTTCTGAGACAATGGCTACATCAACTTATAAATAAACATTACGCATTATACAAGAAAGTGAGATCATCAGATATCAAATACAGAAATATGGCCATTCACAACTGTTAGCTTTAGGGTGAGACATTTATTCGATCTGGAGCTATCACACACTTGGAAACTAAAGGATACATGTATTTCTACAAGCATTGTGGTGTATAATAGTTTGCATCACATGTAGAGAATGATGACCAGTTAATTTCCCACATAGATGCCTTTAAAAAAATTGTGAGGCCTACTCTCATAAATTTTTAAGGGCATCATATAATGTTTACTATAGGCAAAATGTTGTACATCTGATCTCTAAAACTTATTCATCTTGCATAATTGAGACTCTACACCCTTTGAACAGAAACTCTCCATTTCCTCCTGCCCCCAGCCCCTGGTAACCAACATTCTACTCTTTGTTTCTATGAGTTTGACTGTTTTTGATAGTTTTGATATCCTAAGTGGAATCATGCAGTATTTACCCTTCTGTGATTGACTGGCTTATTTTAGTTAGCATAATGTCCTCTGGGTTTGTACACATTGTCACGTATTGCAGAACATCCTTCTTTTTAAGGCTAAATAATATTCCACTGTGTGTATGTACCACATGTTCCCTACCCATTCATCTGTCAATGGATATCTAAGTTGTTTCCATAACTTGGCTATTGTGAATAGTGCTGCAATGAACCTGGGAGTGAAGATATTTCTTTGAGATCCCGAATTCAATTATTTTGGATAAATACTTTGAAGTGAGGTTGCTGGATCATACGGTTATTTTTAATTTTTTTGAAAAACCTCCATACTGTTTTTCCTTAGTGGCTGCACCATTTTGCATTATCACCCATAGTGTACAGGATTCCAATTTTTGCACATCTTTGCCAACACTTATCTTTTTAAAATATAATAGCCCTCCTAATAGGTGTGAAGTGATATCTCAGTGTGGTTTGATTTGCATTTCCCTGATGATAAGTGATGTTAAGTTTATATTTTCATTTACTTCTTTGCTGTTATCCTTAGTTCTAATTCACCTATAGAGATCAATTTTCCACTGACTGTAGAGGAATACCAGTCCCATTTTCCTAAAGTTACAGCACATCACTCTTCTAGATGACCTTGACCCCTGTACATCCAGGAACATCTGCTTAGAATGAATCCACTTAGTTTACATTTATTCAACCCAGAGCCTTCTTCTCCATAATTTCTGCTGGTCACCCTTGAGGTTTCCAGGATAAGGAAGGTAAGACCCCTGCCCTGGAGGAGTGCCCACACATGAGCATGTACAAGTCTGGGAAGAAAGTTGAGTGGGGAGTAGTAGACACATGTGGCAAGTAGAGTTTCCTTTTTTTGCCCCAAGCCGCATTTCCTGTTTCATCATCACACTGAGCCTGCATTCCCATGCCGAAGAGCAGGCTCACAGGACAATGCTCTTCAGAAAAGGAGCCAGACAGTAAACACGGTTGTGACATGATTCTGGAGCCTCATCATTTTGTCCTTTATTCTTTTTAAAGCCAGTTCTCTCAACCACGCGTTCCCCTCTGTTGGCTGGGCAGGGCACCTGGTCTCTAGGAAACCACACACTGTGAAGGCTGCTTCTGGCCAAGCTGGATCCCCTCGCAGGGTGGTGGCTCCCCAACTCTGCTGAGCAGCTGTGAGGTCTGAGTGTCTGCCGGGTCCTGACCTCTCCCAAGGGCTCCCGCAACTGCATCTGGTTACTCTTTGGCCAGGGGCAGAGACCTACCCTGGGCATAGCCACTGCCCTTCCTGAAGCTATGGAGATGATCTAGTTCTGCAGAAACTGGAGGCAGAGCCAAGAGAGAGCCAGAAACAGAGATGCTCTGATCTCAGAGATTTGTTTTTCTTCTTGTGGCTTTTCAGAAGAGAAAAACCTTAAGGTTGCTTAGGACTTCTGAATCAAAAATACGGAAAAACAAAAACAAAAAAACAGAAAAAAAGTCAACTCTTTCCCTGAATTATAAACTCTCAAGAGACAGAAAAAGAAGGTAGCTCTCCAGGAGGAAGGAGAGCCAAGTTGCTGCTTCAATCGCTTCCCCCAACCACACCAGGAAGTCATAGTGTGGGTCATGAGGCTTCGGGAAGGGTGACAGAACAGTTCTGCTCTGCCTGGTATGGGGCTTACAACAAAGCACGTATTAAATTGCCCAGCATAGGGCAGACTAGAATACAAATATTCAGATATTCAAGTATTTTTCTTTTCTTTAACTTCTCATTGCCCACTACATTTTAAAGTGAAATGTCGGTAAGGGAGGTGCTTAATGAAGCCAATGGTCATGTCTTCATTTCTGGATGAATGCCTATTTTTAGATAGAGACACATCTTGAATGAAAGTTCATCTCTTCCCAACACATTTATCTTTCTACAAAAAATGGATAATTCAGGATTTCTTTTGTGATGAAAATGGTGAATAAATGATGTGCCATTCTTTGAACTCCAACATCCTCGGATGTTGGCTGCACCTGGGTTCCTTGCCAGGCTCGGCAGCCTGCTTTCTAGCTATTAATTATTTCTACTGGCCAGGTGCGGTGGCTCACACCTGTAATCCCAGCACTTTGGGAGGCCAAGGTGGGTGGATTACCTGAGGTCAGGCGGTGGAGAACAGCCTAATCAATATGGTGAAACCCCATCTCTACTAAAAATACAAAAATTAATGGGGGCATGGTGGCATGTGCCTGTAATCCCAGCTACTTGTGAGTCTGAGGCAGGAGAATCACTTGAACCCAGGAGGTGGAGGTTGCAATGAGCCAAAACAGTGCCACTGCACTCCAGCCTGGGCAACAAGAGCGAAACTCCATCTCAAAAAAAAAAAATATATATATATATATGCATATTATATATATATATATATATACACATATATATATATATATGGTTGTTGCCATTACTCTGGTTTCCAGAAACAAAACACAGAAGATTTCATAGTTCAAAGAATGGCACATCATTTATTCACCATTTTCATCACAAAAGAAATCCTGAATTATCCATTTTTTACAGAAAGATAAATGTGTTGGGAAGAGATGAACTTTCAATTCAAGATGTGTCTCTCCTATTCCTATCTAAAAATAGGCACTCATCCAAAAATGAAGACATGACCATTGGCTTCATTAAGCACCTCCCTTACTGACATTTTACTCTAAGATGGAATGGGCAATGAGAAGTTAAAAGAAAAATACTTGAATATCTGAATATTTGTATTCTAGTCTGCCCTATGCTGGGCAATTTAATGTGTGCTTTGATATTCTCATGCTTATTTACTGTCCACAAAAAAAAGGAAGAAGAAGAAAGGAAAGAAGGAAGGAAGGAGAAAGAAGAAAGAAAAAAGAAGGAGGGGAGAGGAGGAAGGGAAGGGAAGAAAGGAAGGGAAGGGGAGGGAACCTTGAACAAGTAATGTTGCATAACAACCAGTTTTTATTATGACTGGAGTTCAGAGTCTCATGAATATTTCTCTTCAATAAAATTTTAGATATGAAATATGAAGAGGACAAAAATAATATAATGAATACTGATATTACCACATCCAGAATTAACAACTGTCAACATTTGTCTTATTTGCTTCTAACAACAAAACATACTTTATTAATAATAACAAATTTTACCTAGTGCTTACCCTGTGCTGGTTCCCTTTCAGCACTAGAACAGTTTCACATCCTGTCCAGAGAGGAAGCCCTGCCATGAGTTTAGATGTGGATATTTAGTCTTTTTAAGTACTTACATGTGTTTGCACATATAAACATGTATAAACACATCTCTATATAAACAACATATAGTGTTGTGTGTGTTTTTAAAATTTTCATGAATAGGATTATGTTTGTGCAATTTGGGAATTTCCTTTTTTCACTCAACATTATGGTTTGATCTAGCCTTGTTGATATAAATGTCTCAAATTCATTTCTTTTAATTGCTGTGTTTAATTCTATATGAATATATCATGTGATCTATCCATTCCCATAAAGATTAACATTATTCCAAATCATGCTTTAGTGAACACCATTTTACATGTCTCCTTGTGCTCATATTGGATAACTTCTTTAGATTATGTATTTAGGAGTTGAAATGTTATAAACACTTTCATTTTTCTTAGTTGACTACAACATTTTCTCGAAATCACCTATGCCAATTTAAGCTCTCAACAGTAGTAAATGTAGTACATTGCAGATGGAATTTCAAAATGGAATAACCACTATGGAAAGAAAATTGTCAGTTGTTACACAAATTACAAATTCACCTACTCTTTGACCCAATAACCCTACTTCTGAAAATTTGTCCTACAGATATCCCTGTATACATTTGCATAATATGTGAGCAAGATTATTTACTGAAACATTTTTTATGACACCAAAAGACTAGAAACTACCCAATTATCCACCAAGAGAACCCTCTCTAAATTAATTATGGTATATTTAAATGTTAAATACTATGCAGCTGAAAAAATGAGAGTCTTCCTAACATACTAGCATGGGAAAATCTCCAGAATACATTAAAACAAGTGAAGTGCAGAAACAGTGTATTTTTTTTGGTGTAAGAAAGGGGAAAATATAATCATATTGCTTGATTTTGCATAAAGAATTTTTTTTATAAGCGAGAAACAAATAAAAGTGGTTACCTAGAGTTGAAGATGGGGAATGATGTAGACTAGGACAGAGGTAGGAGCAAGAGTTCTATATTGTATTTTATGCCATTTTGGTTATCATACCATGTAAAAGTACTGCTTATAAAAACTGCACAAGTGTATATTTTTTCACATCATCACCAAAATCATATTGTTTGGCTTTTAAACTTTTGTATGATTTACATTGATCTGCATTAATTTGTTATTCTTTAATAATAATAATAATTGTGATGAATATTATATTTGTAGATAAGAGTTTTATAAGATGTATAAAGCACGTATTATATGCCTACTACTGTTTTAAGCATTCTATATTTAACTCACTCATCACAAAACATTGAGGTAGTTGCTATTGTTGTTTACAGCTGACAGATGAGAAAATTAAGGAAGAAAGGTGCTAACTGACTTTCCCAAAATAATTATTTTAGTCTGCATTCTATTTTGACTTTCATTAATTTACAACCACTTTTTGGTGGTGCTGTATTTATTTTTCCTTGTATTTATGCTCACCTTTTTATACTGTCTTGTTTTAAATGTATGTCTTGCAAATACTTATAACTGGATTTTAAACAATCTAACTTGAGGTCTCTATCTTTGAATTGAGGGAAATTACTGACATTATAGTTGCTGAAGTATTCTTTATTTATTGTTTCAATCATATTTTATGCTTTATAGTTATGATTTCTTCTTGCTTTATTTCTTTATTAATTTTCTGAATTCTATTAAGTTAATTACATTTTTATTTTCCTCTCCCCAGTTTGGAAGTTACCCTTTTGTTCACCATTAACTCTTTCATTCTATATTCATTGTTCATTGAGAATAGCAAACTTTTTTATGTCTACAATATTTTTAATTTCTACTATTTCATGAATAATTGTTTTCTGTATTTTACGTAATATTGTTTGTAATTATATTTTCCCTTAATGCGTTGAAGCCAGTGTTCTATTGCCTTAGGTTATGTATTATTACTATTGAGAATCATCAAATGATTGTCATTTCTGGGTATTGTCTATTTTATTAGCTTTTAGAATTTTCTCTTCATCTTCAGATTGTGCATTTTCTCTACAGTGACTCTATGTAATATAGTCTCTGTTTTTAATCCTCAAAACTATCCATCAATGGAAAATATTAGGGCTTATTTTCAGTTATGGAAAATTCTAAGCCATCATCTATTTGAACTCTGTCTCTTAACTCTTCTCCCTATTCTTTCTTTCTGAATCAGAGAGTTAAGTTGAACTTTTGATCTATCCTGTGTCTCCTGCCTTTCTTCCATATTTTCCAAAACTTCATCTTTCTATACTGATTTCTTAGTTTTGTCTTCCGTCTTAAAAATTCTGTCTTCATCTTTTCCCAGTAACCAGTTTAACTCATCTAATGAAACTTACATTTGGTTTTTTGATACATACATCTGTTCTTGTTTTTGTAACCTTCTGTTTTGTTTTTGTTCTTCATTTTTCATGAATAGTATTCCATCTTTCCTCTCTTTGAGAATATTGTATTTTTTTATGAATGAACATTTTTCTATTATCTCTATTTTCACATGTGAATTTTTCAATTTGGTGATTCTTTTTATGCATCTAGACTTCCTCATCTGCGTTGTAATTCTCATTTTAGAGTTTGTCTGTGGGGAATTTTTTCCAGTCCGTGGTATGGGCTGCTGCCACCATAGTCTTTAGAAGACACATGGTTCTAAACTAGATGTCAGACTTTACTACCACAAAGATGGCAAACAGGTAGGCCTTCTATTATGCATGTTGAGTCCTGGCCTCGATTGGTAATTCTGCTTCTATTCCTGAATATGGAACTCCTCCTGCCTTCATTCATGTGAGGCAGCTTGGTCCTACCTCCCAAACTTCATGCAAGGAGCCTGCCACGTACAGTGTGTGCTCAACCCCGTCCATCCCCATGTAGCTGTAAAACCCAAGGGCAAGGGTTTAAGTCCTTCTGATCTTTAACCCCTGCTTCCTGCTGTGGATTTGATCTCTGGTTCTGGCCCACAATATATCTTGTAAAGTGCTTTGTCAATTTATTTGTATTAGAAGCTTCAGGTTCCAGTGAGTGTTCAATCTGCCATCTTGAGCTTTCCTTTCCACATATATCCAATGTCTCCTTCTGGAAGAAGAAAAATCTTTTAGGTGAAGGATCATAACAAAAGCTATGTGAGCAGAGCTGAGGTTATGTTTGTCAGGTTATTTATAAGAGAGAAGAGATAAGTTGGAGGAAGAACACACAACGCTTCATCGTTATTGCAATAAACTACTGGCTTCAATGTGTTAAGGGAAAACATAATTATAAGCAATAATATGTAAAATCCAGGAAACCATTATTCATCAAAAAGTAGAAATTAAAAATATTTTAAACATACAATACATTTATGTTTTTATAGTGCTTTTATTTTTGGTTTATAGAAATGGAAATTTCAAGTGCAGCCTTGTTGGTGGTGGAAGTGGATGAGCCAAGCACCCATTCATCACAGCTCACTGCTCTTGTCACTATTGTCTTCCTCATGGAGGGACATGATGCTCTGTAGCCATGTCTTTAGCGAAAGTCAAAAGGGGAAAACAAGATTGTCTCCAGAATGTGTTTTTCAAGAAAAAAAGTGACAGTCCATTTCTGGAGAATGAGCATGTGTTCCCTATGCAGAATGGTTTGTCTGTCTCAATGGGATGAGGCTGCCTGTTTTGCCCACCACTGTTTGTGGCCTGCAGGCTTTTCTATTTTCCATCCCCATTTCAGACTTTACCTGCGATACACAAGGTTGCCTATCAAGTTACAGAAACTCTGCTCCAGATGGGAGAGACTCTTGAGGATTGTGGATATTTGTTTTACGTATTTTTAATCATAACTTGAAAATGGACATTCATGTGAGCATAACTGTAAATAGTAGCCAACTCTTCTTCCTTTCTTCCTAATTCACATTCTATGGTACGTATTGCAATTGAAAATGAGATTGATTTCATTGTTTGAAGTATTCTTTACACTACTCTCCTGATTTTTTGTTTGTTTGTTTGTTTAAGTCTAGTTGGATCCAACTGAGACCAGGACATGGTAAGCATTACGGAAATACTACTAAGTAGGCAGAGTGGGAAACAAAAATGACGGGATGAAGAAATATCTGAAGGAGATGAGTTTATTTATTCCTGTTTATACATCTTCAGCTCCTTTAATATACCTTCAACTCTGTCTTAGTTCATTCCAGTTGCTCTAATAAAATACCATAAAGCAGACATTCACTCTTCCCGGAGACTGTGAAGTCCAAAGTATTGGCAGATTCCGTGTCTGGTGAGGGCCCATTTTCTGGTTCATAGAAGGTGATTTCTCACTGTGTCCTCACATAGTGGAAAGGGCGAGGGGTCTCTCTAGGGCCTCTTTAATAAAGGCACTAATTCCATTCATGAAGGCTCTGCCCCATGACCCAATCACCTCCCAAAGACCCCACCTCCTAATACCTTGGGGGCATGTGGGAAGGATTTCAACATATGCATTTTGGGGAGACATAAACATTCACACCATGGCAAATGCCCCTTTTCAAAGGGAATGCTGACTCTGACAACCACAGGAGCCCAAAGGAAAGTTTCCTCTGGAAATTAGGGACAAAGCTTGCTGGTAATGCAAGTACACCGGGGTCACGCCTTGGTTCTGCTCCTTCGCTGGCACATGGAGATAGAGGTTATTTCACCCTTCAAAAGTATCTGCTCATGTGTAACATAAAAATACTGAAGTCAGTCCTACTGTGTTAGGAGTGGCTGCCACACCCCGAGTGCTCAATGTTGTCGTGATTGTTGCTTCAGAAAGATCATTTCACCTCACCAATTTAGCAGCAAATTGCTATTAAAAATGGGCGACAATATAAATAAATATATTTTATTTTTATTTATTTTTTTATTTTTTTGAGGTGGACTCTCACTTGTCACCCAGGCTGGAGTGCAGTGGCGCGATCTTGGCTCACTGCAACCTCCATCTCCATCTCCTGGGTTCAAGAAATTCTCCTGCCTCAGCTCCCTGAGTAGCTGGGATTACAGGCACATGACACCATGCTTGGCTAATTTTTGTAATTTTAGTAGAGACAGGGTTTCACCACGTTGGCCAGGCTGCTCTCGTACTCCTGACCTCAAGTGATCTGCCCGATTCAGCCCCCCAAAGTGCTGGGATTACAAGCATGAGCCACCACTCCCAGCCAATAAATATATTTTAAAATAGACAAAAACTCTATTCTGCAAGGAAGGCTTACTGACTCCTCTTCTGCACTGAACCACAATGAAGAATTAGACTGTGACGACAGGGGAAGAAGACCCTAAAAACTGAGGAGTTGTGAGACATGTGATGCGTTACTATACAAGGTGGTGGACTGCTGTTTCCCAACAATCTCTAGGAAGGCTTGGAGATTATGTGGACACACTGGGGCCTCGGATGGTTTCCTGAATTCCATTTTTACTCTGATTTCTTCCTGTTTCTTCTACTTTATCATCGTTTT